>NC_000011.10:9150909-9453939 GCF_000001405.40 Homo sapiens | reverse complement strand
GGACGTGGAGGTTGCAGTGAGCTGAGATCGCGCCATTGCATTCCAGCCTGGGCAACAAGAGTAAAACTCTGTCTCAAAAAAAAAAAAAAAAAAAAAATTGGCCGGGCATAGTGGTGGGCGCCTGTAGTTCCAGCTACTCTGGAGGCTGAGGCAGGAGAATTGCTTGAACTCAGGAGGTAGAGGTTGCAGTGAGCCACGATCGCACCACTGCACTCCAGGCTGGTGACAGAGCGAGACGAGACTCTGTCTAAAAAAAAAAGAAAGTGTCCTTGAAGCACAAAATTTGTGATGAAGTCCAATTTGATTTTTTCTTTCTTTGCTTGTGTTTTGATGTTGTATTAAGAAACCAGTCCCTCATCCAAAGTCGTGAAGATTTATGCCTATGTTTTTTTGTTTTGAGACAAGCGTCTCTCTCTGTCACCCAGGCTGGAGTGCAGTAGCATGATCACAGCTCACTGCAGCCTCAATTTCCCTGGGCTCAGGTGATCCTCACATCTCAGCCTCCTGAGTAGCTGGGATTACAGTTGTGTGCCACCATGCCTTGCTAATTTTTGTGTTGTTTTGTAGAGACAGGGTTTTGCCTTGTTTCCCAGGCTGGCCACATACTCCTTGGCTTAAGGGATCCACCCACCTTTGAAAGTGCTAGGCATGAGCCACCATGCCCAGCCCTACTCCTGTTTTTTTCCTAATTTTATAGTTCGAGGTCTTACATTTAGACCTTTAATCTACTTTAGTTAATTTTTATGTATGATGTGAAGTAAGAGACCACCTTCATGTTTTGGATGTAGATATCTGGCTGTCTCAGAGCCATTTGTTGAAGATTCTTTCTCATATTGAGTGATCTTGGCACCCTTGTTGGAAATCAGTTGACCATAAATGTAAGGGTTTATTTTTGGACTATCGATTTTATTCCATTGGTCTATCTATGCCTTTTTATTTTTTATTTATTTATTTATTTTTTGAGACAGCGTCTCGCTTTGTCGCCCAGGCTGGAGTGCAATGGCATGATCTTGGCTCACTGCAATCTCGGCCCCCTGGGTATGAGCAATTCTCCTCCCTCAGCCTCCTGAGTAGCTGGGATTACAGGTGTGCACCACTGCGCCCAGCTAATTTTTGTATTTTTAGTAGAGACGGGGTTTCATCATGTTAGCCAGTGTTGCGGGAAGTCAGGGACCCTGAATGGAGAGACCGGCTGGATCCATGGCAGAAAAACATAAATTGTGAAGATTTCATGGACACTTATCAGTTCCCAAAATGAATACTTTTATAATTTCTTACGCCTGTCTTTACTGCAGTCTCTGAACATAAATTGTGAAGATTTCATGGACATTTATCACTTCCCTAATAATACTCTTATAATTTCTTATGCCTGTCTTTACTTTAATCTCTTAATCCTGTTATCTTCATAAGCTGAGAATGTACATCACCTCAGGACCACTATTGTACAAACTGATTGTAAAACGTGTGTTTGAACAATATGAAATCAGTGCACCTTGAAAAAGAACAGAATAACAGCGATTTTCAGGGAACAAGGGAATATAACCATAAGGTCTGACTGCCTGCGGGATTGGGCAGAATAGAGCCATATTTTTCTTCTTGCAGAGAGCCTATAAATGGACATGCAAGTAAGAGAGAGATTGCTGAATTCTTTTCCCAGCAAGGAATACCCTGGGAAACGAGCGCATTCCTGGGGGGAGGTCTATAAAAGGTCGCTTTGGGAGTGTCTGTCTTATGTGGTTGAGATAAGGACTGAAATACGCCCTGGTCTCCTGCAGTACCCTCAGGCTTACTAGGATTGGGAAATTCCAGCCTGGTAAATTTTGGTCAGACCAGTTCTCTGCTCTCGATCCCTGTTTTCTGTTAAGATGTTTATCAAGACAGTATGTGCACAGCGGGACATAGACCCTCATCAGTAATTCTAATTTTGCCTTTACCTTGTGATCTTTATTGCCCTTTGAAACATGTGACCTTTGTGACCTACTCCCTGTTCGTACACCCACTCCCCTTTTCAAGTCCCTAATAAAAACTTGCTGGTTTTGCAGCTCAGGGGACATCATGGGCCTACTGATATTTGATGTCACTCCTGGAGGCCCAGCTGTAAAATTCCTCTCTTTATACTCTTTCTATTTCTCAGACCGGTTGACACTTAGGGAAAATAGAAAGAATGTACGTTGAAATATTGGGGACTGGTTCCCCCAATAATCCAGGCTGGTCTCAAACTCCTGATCTCAGTTGAGCCACCTGCCTCAGCCTCCCAGAGTGCTGGGATTACAGGTGTGAGCCACCGTGCCCAGCCCCATTGGTCTATTCTTACACCAGTACAATGCTATTGTGCTACTAAATCATGTTCTTTTTGAAGATTGTTTTGGCTATGCTAGGTCCCATGTATTTTCATATAAATTTTAAGATAAGTATGTCAGTTCCTGCAAAGATAACTGGGATTACATAGGAACTACACCTAATCTATAGATACATTTGGGGAATTTTGCCATCCTCACAATATTGTCTTCCAGTTCATGAATGTGGGGTGTCTTTCATCTTTTCTTTCAACAGCATTCTGTAGTTTTTTGTGTCCAAGTTTTGTACTTACTTGCTCCTGTTTTTTAATGCTGTTGTAAATGGAATTTTCTTTTCCTTTTTTTTTTAAAGAGATGACATCTCGCTCTGTTGCCCAGGCTGGAGTGCAGTGGCGTGATCTTGGCTCATTGCAACCTCCGCCTTCTGGGTTCAAGTGATTCTTCAGCCTCCCGAGTAGCTGGGACTACAGGCGTGTGCCACCAAGCCTGGCTAGTTTTTTTTGTATTTTTTAGTAGAGACAGGGTTTCACCATTTAGCCAGGATGGTCTCCATCTCCTGACCTCGTGATCTGCCCACCTCAGCCTCCCAAAGTGCTGGGATTACAGGCATGAACCACTGCGCCTGGCTGGAATTTTCTTAATTTCATTTTCAGTTCATTTATTACTCTTGTATAGAAATACCACCAATTTTTTTTTTTTTTTGAGATGGAGTTTCGCTCTTTTGCCCAGGCTGGAGGGCACTGGCATGATCTTGGCTCACTGTTAACTCCTGCCCCCCGGGTTCAAGCAATTCTCCTGCCTCAGCCTCCTAAGTAGCTGGGATTATAGTGCCCACCATGCCTGGCTAATTTTTTGTATTTTTAGTAGAGATGCGGTTTCGCCATGTTGGCCAGGCTGGTCTCGAACTCCTAACCTCAGGTAATCCACCTGCCTTGGCCTCCAAAAGTGTTGGGATTACAGGCGTGAGCCACCACACCTGGCCAATACCACCAATTTTTATATATTGATCTTGTGTCCTGCAACCTTCAAGTTGTGTTTTGTTTTTTTTTTTTTTTTTTTGAGACAGCATCTCGCTCTGTCGCCCAGGCTGGAGTGTAGTGGGGGGATCTTGGCTCACTGCAACCTCTGCCTCTGCCTCCCAAGTACCTGGGATTACTGGCGCCCACCACTACGCCGAGCTAATTTTTGTGTTTTTAGTAGAGACAGGGTTTCACTATGTTGGCCAGGCTGGTATGGAACTCCTGACCTCAGATGATCCACCCATCTCAGCCTCCCAAAGTGTTGGGATTACAGGCCTGAGCCACTGCGCCTGGCCTGTGTGTGTATATCCTTTATGGCTTTCTAGATATAAGATCATGTCATCTGTGAATACAGTTTTAATTTCCTTTCCAATCTGCATGTCTTCTATTTCTTCTTTCCTATTTTCCCTGACTAGGACTTCCTGTACAATGTTGAATAGAAGTGGCAGAAGGGAGCATCCTTGTCTTCGTCTTTGGTAGAACATTTTTCTTTCACTATCAAGTCTATTAGCTTTATAGTTTTGTTAGATGCGTTTTATCACATTAAGGAAGTTCCTTTTTCTAGTTTCTTGGATTTGTTTAAAAAAAAGATTCAGAAAGAAACCTTAAAATGCTCCGGTAGACTGGGTGCGGTGGCACACACCTGTAATCCCAACACTTTGGGAAACCGAGGTGGTCAGATCACCTGAGGTTGGGAGTTTGAGACCAGCCTGACCAACATGGAGAAACCCCGTCTCTACTAAAATTACAAAACTTAGCTGGATGTGGTGGCACATGCCTGTAATCCCAGTTAATGGGGAGGCTGAGGCAGGAGAGTCTCTTGAACCCGGGAGGCAGAGGTTGAGGTGAGCCGAGATCATGCCATTGCACCCCTGCCTGGGCAACAAGAGCGAGATTCCGTCTCCAAAAAAAAAAAAAAAAGGCTCTGGTAGTTATAGAGCTCAAATATTGTATGTAATTGACAAATCCCAATTTATATATGAAAGTAGAATCTATTATTTTTTTTTTTTCTGAGACAGGTCTTACTCTGTCGCCCAGGTTGGAGTGCAGTGGTGCAATCTTGGCTCACTGCAACCCCCGTCTCCCAGGGTGAAGCAATTCTCCTGCCTCAGCCTTCTGAGTAGCTGGGATTACAGGCATGCGCCACCACGCCCAGCTAATTTTTGTATTTTTAGTAGAGATGGGGTTTCACCACGTTGGCCAGGCTGGTCTTGAACTCCTGGCCTCAGGTAATCTGCCAGCCTCAGCCTCCCAAAGTGCTGGGATTACAGGAATCAGCCACCATGCCCAGCCTATTATTATTTTTTAAGACAGGGTCTTGCTGTATTGCCTAGGCTAGTCCTGCACTCCTGGGCTCAAGTGATCCTCCGGCCTTAGCCTTCCAAAGTGCTTGGATTACAGGCATAAGCCACCGTGCCTGGCCCAGCATCTATAAATATATAAAGGAGAATTCTCACCTGTGCCTTAACACCTGGAGGGGGCCGGGCGCAGTGGCTCACGCCTATAATCCCAGCACTTGGGAGGCCGAGGTGGGTGGATCACGAGGTCAGGAGTTCCAGACCAGCCTGGCTGAGATGATGAAACCCCTTCTCTACTAAAAATAGAAAAATTAGCCAGGTGCAGTGGCAGGCACCTGTAATCCCAGCTACTCAGGAGGCTGAGGCAGGAGAATCACTTGAACTTGGATGGCAGAGGTTGCAGTGAGCGAAGATCGTGCCACTGCACTCCACCCTGGGTGACAGAGTAAGACTCCATCTCAGGGAAAAAAAAAAAAAAAACCACCACCACCACCAAAAAAACACCTGGAGTGGGGATGACTACCTCACACAGACACACACACACACAAGAACTTATATATTTCTCCTATAGTGCTAAAACCAAAGATTTTGCCTAGCTTAAGAACCACATTGTCCAGCTTCTTTTGATATGCATGGTCATAAGAATATGTTTTGACCCTTTATATAAGGGGCAACAATGAGTACAGCCTACTGTATTGGTCCTTAAAGGAAAGGGATATATCTGTCCCCATTGTTTGTTTTATGCAGTCATAATACTACATACAAATCTATTCAGTGGTAATACTACATACAAAGGATGAAGGGCCTAGAACAGTATTGGATCACTTCAGTTAGCTGAGTTACAGCCTGGGTCTAGAAGACCTTTGGAGAAGCATACTGCTTCTGCTAATGCTAGTTTTTGGATTGCCAGGTCAACTTAAAATGTTAACTGTTTATGTTAAAGAATCTATTATCCTAGCCTTCTCTAATTTGCAGGTCTGATTTAGGTAACTCCCCCAATTGAGAGATGCCAGTACTATCTCCAAGAGCACTTTCCAGGTAACCTTTGTTTACCATGAGCCAAAGTGTGAAGTGGCTATTGCAAGAATGGCCAACTCACCAAGGATAAAAGCTAGAATTCAGTAGGCACTGATAAATGGTCACAGAAAATCTTTACCAAAATTTAAATTACAAAGAACAGAACTGACAGTTTTATAACTGATGTTTTAAATTTAAGTCATTTATTTTACAAACAGAGACTACCTATTATACTTAAGACATTGTGTTAGATCTTTGCCAAAGACATGGTTTAGTCATACTAATGTAATCCATTTTTTAACTTTCCATATTAATTTAATTTTTAATTCATTTTTCTTTATGCTTGCTTCAGGGGCTACATCTGGGACTGAATAGCAGCATATGGCCCAAGGGCTGTGGTTTTGCCACTCATGCTCTATACTCTAGTCTCTTCCAGAGTTGAGTATAGCAGTCACTATCTTAATACAGTGTGTCACTATTTTATTACCTGCAGAGAAACAGATTAACTTCCTTTATTTAATACTGATAAATAGAAAGGCTTTTTCAAGAAAAAAAAAGAAAGCTTACATTTACAAAAGTGATTTATGCTAATATGTGCCATTAACAAAGACAAATACTGAAATCCACACAAAATCAGAATTAACTTCTACAACTAAAAAAAAATTACAGGGTAATAAAACTGTAGGAAAAGCTGTATGTAAAAAGAAAAAAAGACAAGTCCCTATGTAGCTAATTACAAGAGAATATTGTAAATACATTCAAAAAGTTTTCCAAAAATCCTGCAGCCTCATCTAGAAACTGATACATGTTAAGATTCTTGATCTATACCAAATTATAATGTTAAAGGAAATCATGAAAACTGAGGTATATATTTGATGCATTAGAAACTATCATTTGAACACTATTTAAATAGTTTAATTATAAGGTCTAATTTCAAGTTAAAGTCTGTAAACGGAGATTAGTTTGGATTATATGACACAGGAGACAATAAAACATGTTCTCAAAGACATGCCAATACATTTTCTTGAAACAAAACCTCAGCAAATGAGAATTTTCATACTGTGCATGGGAATAACTAAAACCTTTATTAGATATGATTTTCCATTAACAATAATGTGAAAATTAGAATTATGAATTCAAAAAGCAGTGAAGTCTGAAAATTTAAAAAGTAGACTAGGTATTAGGGGATTAAAGGTAAAGGAAGACGAGAATGTTTCTTTAATACTATTCATTATTTCCCCTCTGTACACAATGTTGCATATATACAACTACTTCATTTTTATTGACTTTATATAATAGTGAAATCCCTTTAAGCAACCTAGGGTATACAGTTGGTGTCCAACTTTCAGGGGATTTTCGGGGGGGAGTAGAAACACTTGATTAACAGTTTTCACCCACACACGTTAGACAATTTTTTTCTTTTTTTGCCAAGATTTTAGTAGTAAATTCATAAATATAGGAAATACTTTCACTCCTTCAGTGTTAAAATAGAAAACCAAACAGTGCCAACAGTAGTGGCTTAATTATTGGTATACAAGAAAAACACAACAACAATGGGTTTTCTTAATTACGCATTTTAAATATCAATATGTGCATTTGTTTTTACAGTTATAAATTTTTTTCTCACCTGTTTTAGACAACAGCTTGTAATAGTTTTGAATCCATTAAGATGTTGCTTTCAATTTGAAATATTTTGTGTATACATGTATATAAAAAATAACCCAATGTATGACTCATCTGACCGATGTTTAAGATCAATAACGGCTTATTTTTCAACATGCAGTTAGGAAGAGAGGGAAGCAAGCCAACCTCTCTACAGTATCTTTTTGCTGGCTTGTTTTTGTAGTGGTATCAATAGTGGTTTTTGGAGGGAACCATGTGCCTTCAGCCTATCTAGTCAAGATCAGATACCACGATCAACAAGAGCGGTAGAAGAGATGGGGAAAGGGGAGTGGGTAAGTGTTAAATATCAATTTTGTAAAGTGTGCATTTTGTACTCCTTCTAGGCACAGGATTAAAAACAGGCCAATGAGGAAAAATTTGTTATAATTAGGAAAAAACTGCAATCAAATCAAGACATAATAGCCGAATTAAGTTCTTTTAATAGATTGCATATATAGATGTTTAGCCATACTCTTAGATCAACTCTTTAAGAGCAGAACTTTATATCCAATTTACATGCTCTAGATACCACCTTTTTTATTTTTTACAGTAAGGTCTGGTATTCAAATACCCACTTGTACACTGACAGCTTTAAGAAAAACAGGACACAGAGGGAGTTGTCATTTTTAGCAGCAATGAAATACCACTAACCCCTTTTTACATACCGAATTCAAGTCACTATCAGAGGTGAGTGCACCACAAAGTCACCAGGTACAAAATTGCTAGTTCATTTTTAAATTAATAACTTGAAATTACCCCTGCCCCCCACCCCATTACATCTTTTTATAAACAGCAAACATTTTGCTATTTTATACATAGGCTAGCAGGCTTGTTTCAATATGAAAGTGCTAATTCATTTACAGATTTTTATAATCAGTTATGTAGTGCTACAATAAATGTCCAATAATCTACATAGGAACAATGATGAAAATGATGAAGACTGAATAAGGCTATCAGATGACCTTATCTTATTTACATATAAAGAATAGATACCCAATGGTGAGGAAGAGACAGAAATTGGACAAATACTCATAGGTGTAAAAATTACATCTACCTTTGAGTTTTATACTGTAAATGAGACATTTTAAATAGTCCTGTAGCCCATGCCTATTTTTTCCTCAGAAAAAGAAAAGCTGCCTTCATGACATCCCCTCGTTTCAGATTTCCACAGTGTCACTTTGAAGCTTCAGAGTCAGGATCTTACTTTCTTCAAAAAATAAAGAAAATACTCCCTCTAAGGTACCTCCCATCCCCCCCCACCCCCAAAATCCCGCTGATTTCTTTTCCAGTGCCAGGTTGCATGATCAGGTCCCATCTCCTGGGGTTGTTGTTTCTTTTGTCCATCTATTGATTATTAGTTTAGAATAGATAACATGAACCAGTTCTGGAACCACTACTAGGAGGAACACAAGCTCTTCACTACAAGCACACAGCAGGAAAGAAAGAGATAACTCAATTCATCCCTGGTGCTGGGCCTCCAAAATTGAAAGAACTTGGCACAACTGGAGCACTGAATTTGTATCCTCCATGCTTCTCAATCATTTTGGATTCTAGAAAACAAATAAAATTTTAGTAGGGCATTCAATCATCTACTAACTTGGTGAGAAACTGACAAAACATTAAACAAGCCAGTAGCTTAACCATCATTAGTGGCCAGGAAGTTCCAAAATCCATGATTTCTCCAATGTATAAGGGCAAGGGAGCATGCATTATGTAGAGAATATAATCTCTTTTACTGTATGCTGTAGACTTCTTAGCCAATTTTCACTTCCCACTGTTAAGAAAAAAATCTTTTTTTTTTTTTTTTTTTGAGACAGAGTCTGGCTCTGTCACCCAGGCTGGAGTGCAGCGGCACGATCTTGGCTCACTGCAATCTCTGCCTCCCAGGTGCAAGCGATTCTCTCCTGCCTTAGCCTCCCAAGTAGCTGGGACTACAAGTGCGTGCCACCACGCCCGGGTAATTTTTTGTATTTTTAGTAGAGGCAGGGTTTCACCATGTTGGCCAGGTTGGTCTAGAACTCCCGACCTCAAGTGATCCATCCGCCTCAGGAGTCAGGAGTTTTTGAGACCAGCCTGGCCAACATAGTGAAACCTCGTCTCTACTAAAAATACAAAAATTAGTTGGGTGTGGTGGTGCGTGCCTGCAATCTCAGCTACTCGGAAGCTGAGGCACGAGAATCACTTGAAATCGGGAGATGGAGGTGGCAGTGAGCCGAGATTGCACCACTGCACTCCAGCCTGGGTGACAGTGTCACTCAAACAAATAAATAAAATAATTTTTTTAATTTATAAAAAAAAGTCTATAGATAATTGTTTGCATTAACAATGGTGTATAACCTAAAATGTACTTTTGTTTATTTTTTTTTTTAGAGACAGAGTTTCACTCTGTCACCCAGGCTGGAGTGCAGTGGCGCAATGTTGGCTCACTGCAACCTCTGCCTCCCAGGTTCGAGCGATTCTCCTGCCTCTGCTTCCCAAGTAGCTGGGACTACAGGTGTGCACCACCATGTCCAGCTAATTTTTGTGTTTTTTAGTAAAGACAGGGTTTCACTGTATGTTGGCCAGGCTGCTCTCAAACTCCTGACCTCAAGTAATCCGCCAGCCTCAGCCTCCCAAAGTGCTGGGATTATAGGCGTGAGCCACCGCGCCTGGCTTAAAATGTACTTTTAAAAATTGCACACTGAAACATTTAAAGATGAAAAGATATGTCTGGGAGCTATTTAACTTCGTAAGTTTTTACATTTTTGGAGACGGGGTCTCACTCTGGCACCCAGGCTAGAGTACAGTGGCACAATAATGGCTCACTATAACCTACACCTCCCACATTCAAGTGATCCTCCAGCCTCAGCCTCCCAAGTAGCTGGGACTACAGGCATGCACCACCATGCCTGGCTAATTTTATTTTTTGTAGAGATGATGTCTCACTATGTTGCCCAGGCTGGACTTCAACTTCCAAACTCAAGCAACCCTCCTGTCTTGGCCTCCCAAAGTGCTGGGATTACAGGCATGAGCCACCACGCCTGGCCAAGTGTTTAAATTTTTTTTTTTTTTTTTTGAGACGGAGTTTCGCTCTTGTTGCCCAGGCTGGAGTGCAATGGCGCGACCTCGGCTCACCGCAACCTCCACCTCCCGGGTTCAAGCAATTCTCCTGCCTCAGCCTCCCGAGTAGCTGGGATTACAGGCATGCCTACCACGCCTGGCTAATTTTGTATTTGCAGTAGAGATGGGGTTTCTCCACGTTGGTCAGGCTGGTCTCGAACTCTAAACCTCAGGTGATCCACCCGCCTCAGCCTCCCAAAGTGCTGGGATTACAGGTGTGAGCCACTGCGCCCGGCTTAGGTGTTTACATTTTTAACAGAACTTTCTACTATCTAACCATCACCATGAGCTAAAGTTATTGCAAACTGAAAGTAGTCTTCAACTGTACTTTTTTTTGTTTTTTTGAGACAGACTTTTGCTCTTGTCACCCAGGCTGCAGTGCAATGGCGTGATGTCGGCTCACTGCAACCTCTGCCTCCTGGGTTCAAGGACTTGCCTGCCCCAGCCTCCCAAGTAGCTGGGATTACAAGCATGCGCCACCATGTCTGGCTGTGTTCTCTAGTTTTTTTTGTTTCTGTTTTTTTGGAGATGGAGTCTCGTTCTGTTGCCCAGGATGGAGAACAGTAGTGCAATCTCAACTCACTGCAACCTCCGCCTCCTAGGTTCAAGCAATTTTCCTGCCTCAGCCTCCTGAGTAGCTGGGAATATAGGCATGTGCCACCATGCCTGGCTAGTTTTTTGTATTTTAGTAGAGACAGAGTTTGGTCATGTTGCCCAGGCTGGTCTCAAACTCCCGAGCTCAGGCAATCCACCCACCGTGGCCTCCCAAAGTGCTGGAATTACAGGCATGAGCCACCACACCTGGCCCAATTATACTTAAAAATAAACAAACTGGGGCTGGGTGTGGTGGCTCACGCCTGTAATCTCAGCAGTTTGGGAGGCCGAGGCGGGCGGGTCATGAGGTCAGGAGATTGATACCATCCTGGCTAACACAGTGAAACCCTGTCTCTACTAAAAATACAAAAAATTAGCCAGGTGTAGTGGCAGGTGCCTGTAGTCCCAGCTACTTGGGAGGCTGAGGCAGGAGAATGGCATGAACCCGGGAGGTAGAGCTTGCAGTGAGCTGACATCGCATCACTGCACTACAGCCTGGGCGACAGAGCAAGACGCCATCTCAAACAAACAAACAAACAAACAAAAAAAAACGAAAAAAGCCAACTGTAGCCAAAGCCAAAATTAAGTTATCTTGAATTAAATCCCTCAGATTAGAGTTAATTCCTATCACCTGCAACAACTATACCTTTTATATCATCTTAAATGATAAAATTTAATGATATAAAATTAAACGATATAAAATTTTAAACCTATAAAAGTCACTAATTAAAGAGGAGTTACAGTTAATTAACATACCATGGGCTGCTCTTCTTTGATCAGCCAGAGTTGCTATGTCCTGTAACTGTTTTCTTTGTTCTTCATTAAGACCGTGAGTCAGTGCCTGATACCACACAGGATTACGATTTTGAATAGCTATCAAAAAATAAAAACAAGGGAAAAACAACATGAATAAGAGAGGCTTGGTAGCTCCGTTCTACACTATTCCTCCTACTCCATCCCGAGGCAATACTGAAATTCTGATCTATTTTATATTCTCCCAATAATTTTTAAAATTACCATATTTGTGAAACAACAGATATAGGAATAAAAATTAACTACAGCTTATCTTTATGGCTCCAAAAACTCTAATCATTCTTACGATCCATCTCTCCAGCAAATAAGGACTCAGCCTAACTAGTTCTTATATAGTAAGTAACAAACCAGGGAGACTTCAGGAATAAAGCTAACCCAACCATCTTAAAAGATTCAGAGCTAAAGCAACTTGAAAATCATCAAGGCTACTGTGGTACATGGGCCCCGTGTTAGGAACCATTCTTTAGGGACTGACATGTGGTGTCTGTCTACAAAGTACAAGGCACAGAAACAACAAGTTTGGCACCTCAATCAGTTCTTGCTGCCATGTAGCTCAGAAACCAGCACTTTGTGCTTCTGTAACCTTGCATCAAAACTGCCTTGTCATGGGCTTAGAAGACTCAAATCCTTGGTTATCAGATAATGTATTCTATCAAAAAATATATTCATCAGTTCCCAGTGCATAGGAAATGATATATAACAGCAATTAACTCTGAGAGGAAAAGATGTTTCAAATACAGGGGAAATTTAATTTCTTAACGTGGATGGTAAAACACAAATGCTATACCTTGTTGAAATCCAAGTAAATGATGGTAAAAACCAACCAGAACCTAGTATTCTGGAGCCACATACAATGACACATTATAGGAACAGTGGACTTTTCTTGGAATATTTAACAGTGTACGTGGCTCCAGAATCCTAGGCATATATAATTCAAAAATCTCAAGGTTAAATTAGTTGTTTAAAGCTAAAAATTTGATTATGCCGAAAGTGCTAATTTAGTAATAATAGATTAAATTAGTTAACACATCACAGAATATAGGAAAAAAAGAATTATAAGATCATATGCCATAAATGCTAATATACTCTTAACACGTTAAGTATAGGTTTGGGCAGGAAAAAAGGATACACACAAATAATAACATACAACAAACAGGTATACACGTAAGAGTGGTTACTTCTGAGGAAAGCTGGGAGATTGGGAATCAGAAGTAGCAAAGAGGCACTGTCACTGTATACTTTTTTGAACTACATTATTTTCCTATAATCTTCCAAAATTACAATCTAAATGTAAAATAACAGGATGAATAAAGAATACTCAGAAACTATGGCAACCTTAGAAATAATTTTGGTTACTTTGCCTAACCAGCCTTTTCTAGTCTGGGTTTGATATCCTCCAAACTCTTCCTTTAAAGGGCAGGCAGAAACTACAACAGATTTGTTCAATGAAATGGATCCACATGTAACAAGTTGACTTACTTTGAAAGATAGCTTTAAATATCTGATACTCATCAACAGGGTTATCTTCATCATCAATGATTGTGGAATAGCCTTCCAGAGCAGTCTCTTCAGCATCATCTTCTTCCCAATCTTCATCATCTCCATCTTCACCAGCCTGCTTAGCCAGAATCTCCAAATATTCTTGCCCATCTTCATCAATATCATCTTCATCACTCCCCAGTTCCTCTGCCAAGTCATAATATAAGTACTTTTATAACAATGACATATTTTGTTACTCAACAAATTGACAATCATCTCAATCACTGTCAGTAAATTACAAGTCACAAGTGACAAGAGAGAGCTCCAGGAATTGGTGTTTAAATACATGTTCAATAATGAATAGAAATGAAAATTTCCATAGGAGTCCAAGAAAACCAACCTTGATTTAATGTGTTCTTAATACTAGACATCTGAAAAAGAACTGCGCAGTATGAACACACTACCGTTACACCCACCAAACCTTTTGTAAGATTTTTTTTAAAAGGCTGGCTAAGTTAGTAAATGATAAAAGACAAAAATAGCAATAGCTATCTTATGTTGAAACCCTTATAATAATTTCTCTTAATATTTTATCAATTTATACACTGATAGTGTACAGTCTTATAGATAAAATGTATTTATCAACATTTAATTAACATAATGTTATAGTGCAAGTATGCTTAGGTTTTAGAATTAATAGATGATAGGATGGATGTCTCCAATAAATTTAGTCAACATTAAGACCATAAATCTTTAGAAGCTTAAAAATAAAATGAAAACCCCATAATTCGCCGGGCGCGGTGGCTCACGCCTGTAATCCCAACACTTTAGGAGGCCAAGGCAGGCAGATCATGAGGTCAGGAGATTGAGACCACCCTGGCCAACACGGTGAAACCCCATCTCTACTAAAAATACAAAAATTAGCCGGTGTGGTGGCACACGCCTGTAATCCCAGCTACTTGGGAGGCTGAGGCAGGAGAATCGCTTGAACCCGGGAGTCGGAGGTTGCAGTGAGCCAAGATTGCCATTGCACTCCAGCTTGGCGACAGAACGAGATTCCGTCTCAACAACAACAACAAAAAAAAACAAACAAAAAAAACCCCCATAAATCTTGTAATAGTAACTATAATGATATGTGTACCTTTGTTAATACTGTTAATTCAGTGCCATCTGCCAAGCACTATTTAAGCGTCAAGGATTCCCTCATGTAATCCCCACAACTTTTTTTAAAGAAATGGGGTTTCACGGCTCAGTGCAGTGGCTCACGCCTGTAATCCCAGCACTTTGGGAGGCCCAGGAGGGTGGATCATCTGAGGTCAGGAGTTCCAGACCAGCCTGGCCAACATGGTGAAATCCTGTCTCTACTAAAAATACAAAAATAAGCTGGGCATGGTGGCACGTGCCTATAATCCCAGCTATCTGGGGGGCTGAGGCAGGAGAATTGCTTGAACCCGGGAGGCAGATGTTGCAGTGAGCCAAGATCGCGCTGTTGCACTCCAGCCTGGGCAACAGGAGCAAAACTCCGTCTCAAAGGAAAAAAAGCCAAAAAACAAAAAACTGGGGTTTCACTATGTTACCCAGGCTGGAATCAAACTCCTGGGCTCAAGCGAATCTGATACCTCAGACTTCCAAGTAGCTGGGACTATAGGCTCATGCCACCATATAAAAAAGGGAACTATAATCTCTCGCTCTTAAGTGGACTCAGCACTTCGTGTCAACTCTATTATTATATACATAATTATTTGGCTTTGTAATACTTTCCCACAGTCGGATAGAAAACTTTTGAAGAACTGCATGACATCTCATTCATCTTTGTATCTACAGTGCTGAGAATGTGTAAAATAAACAAATCTTTGTTGGTTGCATACTATAATGGTTTGAACTGTTCTACATGTTGGTAATACAGCTGAAGTTCCTGATTACATCACTCTAGTGAGAAGAAAGGAAGTCTTTTCTGTGAATGAAAGCATTTGGGTATGATCCCACATTTATTTGGGAGAAGGGCTAGTGATATATATATATATTTTTTTTTAATCTGAGATGGAGTCTCGTTCTGTTACCCAGGCTGGAGTGCAGTGATGCAATCTTGGCTCACTGCAACCTCCGCCTCATGGGTTCAAGCGATTCTCCTGCCTCAGCCTCCCAAGTAGCTGGGACTACAAGTGCCCACCACTACACCCAGCTAATTTTTGTATTTTTAGTAGAGGTGGGGTTTCACCATACTGGCCAGGCTGGTCTCGAACTCCTGACCGTGTGATCCACCTGCCTCAGCCTCCCAAAGTGCTGGGATTACAGGCCTGAGCCACTGCGCCCGGCCCAGTGCGGTAATATTTCTAAGTAGATAAGTTTTGTCTTCTTCCATTGAAAATCCCTTACCGGTTTCATCATCATCTTCAGCTTCATCATCATCATCACTGTCATTCTCATGTTCTGCATGGCAGGCATATGCTCTTTTCAATCCGTTAAATAAAAGGATAAAAGCCGGCAAAATCTGTCCAGAAACCTGATTTAAAACTTGGGGTATCTGTTCCATATCAATAAGAGCACAGAGTCCGAGAACACACATCTTTCTGTCATGAAGCCTAAAAAAAAAAAAAAAAAAAAAAAAAAAAAAAACTGTTTTCTTTTCTTAAATAAGCAGAGTTCCTCCCAAAGCAAATGTAGTAAAATTGCAATACATCACTTACCCCAAGAAACAGTCAACATCATTAAGCCACTGTGTAATAAAATGATTTGTAACTGGTTCAACATTATTAGGGAAGCGAAGATTTTCTAAGGTATTGAGTAGTAGGTGTGGATTATAATACAAAGCTGCAATTGCAACTTGCAGACACATAGTTCGAAGTTCACTTGTCTTAACCTCTCTTGTCAGTCTTTCTAAGGCTGCTTCCACGAATAAGGGAATGCACTACAAAAAAAGATAGCAAGATATTCTAAGACTATAATTAATAGCATGCAAACATTCTAAAAATATTAACTTCTTTGTTGCCTCAATTAACCCTATTGTAGCATTAGATGACCAATATTTACTGCTGAGGCACTGCACTGGGAAATCTAATTTTAGAGAAAGTCTAGTAGTCTTCATGGAGCTATTAAAAGCTCACGACGGGCCGGGAGTGGTGGCTCACGCCTGTAATCCCAGCACTTTGGGAGGCTGAGGCAGGCGGATCACGAGGTCAGGAGATCAAGACCATCCTGGCTAACACAGTGAAACCCCGTCTCTACTAAAAATACAAAAAATTAGCCAGGCGTGGTGGCGGGTGCCTGTAGTCCCAGCTACTTGGGAGGCTGAGGAAGGAGAATGGCGTGAACCTGGGAGGCAGAGGCAGTGAGCTGAGATCGCGCCACTGCACTCCAGCCTGAGCGACAGAGCGAGACTCTGTCTCAAAAAAATATATGAAATAAATAAAAAATAAATAAAAGCTCACGATGATATCAATCATGGCTTCACAAGTTCCTATTAAAATTGACCGTGGGCCGGGTGACGTGGCTCATGCCTGCGATCCCAGCACTTTTGGGAGTCTGAGGTGGGCAGAACACTTGAGGTCAGGAGTTTGAGACCAGCCTGGCCAAAATGGCGAAACTCCTTCTCTACTAAAAATATAAAAAATTAGCCAGGTGTGGTGGCAGGCACCTATAATCCCATCTACTCAGGAGGCAGAGGCAGAGAACTGCTTGCACCTGGGAGGCAGAGGTTGCAGTGAGCTGAGATTGCGCGACTGCACTCCAGCCTAGGCGACAGGGCGAGACAGCGTCTCAAAAAAAAAAAAAAAAAAAAAAAAAAAAAAAAAAATATATATATATATATATATATATATAAAATCAGGCGGTTGTGGTGGTGTATACCTGTAATCCCAGCTACTTGGGAGGCTGAGGCAGGAGAACTGCTTGAATCTGGTTGCAGTCAGCAGAGAATGTGCCACTGCACTCCAGTCTGGGCAACAGAGCAAGACTCTCACTCAAAAAAAACAAAAAACAAAAAACAAACAAAACAAAACAAACAAACAAAAAAACTGACCATGGATATTTAATTACTAAAGCTATCCAAAAAATCTTAAGCAAAAGTTTACCTTTCATGATAACAAAGTAGCCATAAAACTTAGTCCAATTCCTGTACATTAAACATATGATCATTATTATATATTAGTTACATTTTGAACTAAAAATATTAGTTGTCTAGATGTCTCAATAAACAAAAACATACAGAATATGCAACAAATGCCAAAAAATGAAGAAAGAAAGTGGAAGGAAAAGATTACCCCTCTGAACTACAAATCATTATTAGCTTCACTGACCTGGTCAATGCCACGCCCTTTGCACTGCAGAATGATGACCTCTAACAATTTTGCTGCATGACACTCTGCATCTTCTCCTGCAACTCCTGTAAGAACCTGATCAAAACAGAATATAAATTGCAGTAAGGCTTTATCCTTTAAATCAGGTATCTAAATCAAGGAAACAATTTCCTACCCTGTGTACAGGCTCTGAGTATTACTTGAGGTACCCTAATTAATATGAATAACTGCAATGTTCATTGCACAGATGAAAGACTAAAGGATCTGGATAGCTGTGAGGATCTGGAGCTGTCTGCCTCCTATCTTTCATAGTCTAGCCCTCTGGCATCTTGGTCTTTGTGATCAAAGCACCTATCCTGTAGTGCCATTCTGGATTACAGCAAGTTGACAACCACTAACTTCTCATACACAGGTGGTAGCTAAAACACCTAACCTTTCTCACGTAAAGAACTACAAAAAGCTAAGATGTTGACATTTCTAGGAAACCCTTTTCTCTTTAAAAAAGAAAACAACAATAACACAAAAAACCAGTAGGGGAGAGAGGAACGGAGGGAGGAAGAGGCAGCCTGTTGAGGGCAAATGTTGCCCTATAAACTCCAGACAAGAAATGAACATGGACTTGAAGGCTAGTGAAAACTAGATGAGTATAAACATATGAATAAGTGTTCAGGAATAGAAATGTAGATAGTATAGGTATATCTCTGCTCCCAGAATATTAATATAAATAATATAATTGGCAGTAAAAAATGACTAACATAACTAGATGATTATGTGTGACTTCGTGTTCAGAAAGGAAAGAGATGAGTGAAAGAAATCTAAAAACTTCATGGAGCAAATCATTTTCTAACGACCTACAACAGACATTGCTAGAAATTAAAATGCTTCCAATTACACTGACTTTGATATTGATGGACTCCAGTTTATTTGTTTCCCCAACCAAACAAAAGGGGGACATTCATTTCCTATTGCTTGTTGTAAACCTATAGCTGCTAACCTTTTCCTTTATAAAACATCTCTATCCATTCCTAATCCTTTCAAAAATCTCTCAAGTTCTTGACTCTTTCCTTCTTTTGATTCCATAAGACTATGTTAGTTAAACTCCGGGCACTCTAAAATTCAAAAACAAATTCCAAGTGTCAGAGGGCACACAAAAGACATATATTTATCAAAACTGTGGCATCTAGGGACCAATGACTTTTAACTTTTAAAGCCCTTAATTCTGTCAGATCCATGTTTACATGTTTATTACTACAATGTGGTATCACATGAGTTTTCACAATTTCATACATTTTATAGCAGAAGCCTCATGAAATCTGATATATAAAAATGACCTACCTTTTTGCACATACTGTATATCATTTCAAGATACTTGGTGTCAGACAGAAGTGTGTCTGTATCAACTGTTACATAATTATGAAGGAGGGGCATCATATCTGTATTAATAAAAAACATCGGTTACACATCTTTAGTAACACAAATGCTTTCTTTGCTTTTGAAAAATTTCCTTAGAAAAAGGCAAATCTATGAGATCATTTTGTCTCTAACATTCACCTTTTTTTGGGGGGAGGGGGGACACTCTCACTCTGTTGCTCAGGATGGAGTGCCCAATACAGTGGTGTGATTAAAACTCACTGTAACACCAAAATCCTGGACTCAGGTGATCCTCCCACCTCAGCCACCCAGGTAGCTGGGACTATAGGCACACGCCACCTCGCCTGATTAATTTTTAAAAGTTTTTTTTAGAGACAGGGTCTAATAGCCCAGGCTGGTTGAGAACTCCCGGACTGAAGTGCTTTCCCACCTTCCCAAAGTGCTAGGATTACAGGTGTGATCCACTAAGCCTGGCCTTAACATTTAGTTTTAATTAAAACATATTCATTTATAATTAAATGCAGAAATGAACCTATTATTAAAGTGATTTTCTTTGTACTTAAACATAAAAATTATAGACACATTTTTACATTTATATGGAGAAGATTACAAGGGGGTGTGTGGGTATGTATCTGTGTTAACAAAGAATAAGCCTAAAATAACTAAATTATATAGCAGAAATCAATATCATGCATCACCACTGAGAGCATTAACTTCTACTGATAATTGTTCCGAACAGTGAAGCAGTCTGAACATTCAAAAGTGTACGTTCAGGCCAGGCGCAGTGGCTCATGCCTGTAATCCCAGCACTTTGGGAGGCTGAGGTGGGCGGATCACCTCAGGTCGGGAGTTCGAGACCAGTCTGACCAACATGGAGAAACTCTGTCTCTACTAAAAATACAAAATTAGCCGGGCATGGTGGCGCATGCCTGTAATCCCAGCTACTTGGGAGGCTGAGGCAGGAGAATCACTTGAACCCAGGAGGCATAGGTTGCGATGAGCTGAGATCGCACCATTGCACTCCAGCCTGGGCAACAAGAGCAAAATTCCGACTCAAAAAAAAAAAAAAAAAGTGTATGTTCAAATGATAAGCTACAAATAAATCAAAGCAGGGAAAACCCTCAGTATTTCCATGCTGCTTTGACTCACCTGTAAAGTAATCAAAGCCATCTTGCTGAAAGACTTCAAATACAAGGGGTAGTAGCTGCCACATCTGTGGAGACACTTGTTGACATGTCAAACTGTGCGCTAAAGAGAAGATCTCCTCATAGAATTCTAAAAGAGAATACTAAGTCATTAGGAAAATGCTTGCTCATGTGAAATAGCACTAAATTCTTAGCACAATCAGAGGTATAATACCTAAGACATGCTGTTGTAAAACAGTACCAATGACCTGTAAGCAGATTCCCTCAAGCTGTTGGGTTATCTAAAAGAGAAGAAAAAAAATCATATGCAGTTACAGCCTACTAAATGACTTAGTAAGACAACGCATATTATAATTCAGTACACTTAAATATAAAGTCAATATTGTGAAAAAAATAAGTCTTTGTTTTAAAATGACTTACACATTATGAAATTGTGATCTCAGATAAAAATAGAATGAAATACCATTACAATGAGAAAAACACAAGGAATGGCTAGCTTAATTTACCTAAAAAGGAAAAAACAACATTCTCGAAAAATGCAAACAACTATGAAAATAAAGGAGTTGGCCGGGCGCGGTGGCTCACGCCTGTAATCCCAGCACTTTGGGAAGCCAAGGTGGGTGGATCACCTGAGGTCAGGAGTTTGCAACCAGCCTGGCCAGCATGGTGAAACCCCGTCTCTACTAAAAATACAAAAAATTAGCCAGGCATGGTGGCGGGTGCCTGTAATCCCAGCTACTTGGGAAGCTGAGGCAGGAGAATTGCTTGAACCCAGGAGGTGGAGGTTGCAGTGAGCCGAGCGCCATTGCAGTCCAGCCTGGGCAACAAGACCAAAACTCCATCTCAAAAAAAAAAAAAAAACCATTTGGAAGATAGCCCATCTGTTATGTGCAAATAGAGATTAATTCAGCTCAATGTAATTGAAAAGTCACCGTCAATGACTCACAGAGAAATTATCCGAAGGAAGGCATTATTGCTACGAATCTCAATAATCCTTAAGTCACCTTAGTTTTTCAAATTTTATTAGATATAGTGAACCATGGAATGTGAACTCAGCCCCCAACTCAAGACTGACAAGAAATACAAATTCCTCTATAATTGTCTAGATAGTCCTAAATTAGATCCCAAATCCCTGAGGGCCATAAGAATGTTAAGGGGAGGAAGGGTAAAATAATATCCACTAATCAGATATAAAAGCAAGACATCCATTTCAAATATACAGAACTTAATACATTTACAATTCCTAAAATAGAATAAACAATTAATCTGTTAAAACATAAAGCACCTATAGGATTGGTCATGGCTTCTGCTTATATTCAATTATAAGGCAGAATACAAAAACAGTTTACGTGGCTGGCGTGGTGGCTCACGCCTGTAATTTCTGCACTTTGGGAGGTCAAGGGAGGCGGATCACTTGAGGTCAGGAGTTCCAGACCTGCCGGCCAACATGGTGAAACCCTGTCTCTACTAAAAATAGAAAAATTAGCTGGGCATGGTGGTGCGCGCCTGCACTCCCAGTTACTCAGGAGGCTGAGGCAGGAGAATCACTTGAACCTGGGAGGCAGAGGTTGCGGTGAGCCAAGATGGCGCCACTGCACTCCTGCCTAGGCAACAAAGGGAGACTCTGTCTCAAAAAAAAAAAAAAAAAAGTTTAGTGAAAAACCTCATGCTGCAAAAGGCAACTTGCAGAAAACATGTAATTTACGGATAAGAGATACATTACAAGCATCTGCATTGGAATTATAAACACCAAATTCATGACAGTGTTACTTCTATGGGAAGAAAGGAAGTAGGGAAAAGGGGTTAGGAAGTGGTCCCCTGAGGGCTTTCAACTGCATCTATCTCAAATTGTTTTTTCTTTCTTTCTTTCTTTTCTGACACAGTGTCTCACTCTGTCGCCCAGGCTGGAGTGCAGTGGCGCGATCTATGCTCACTGCAGCGTCTGCCTCTCGGGTTCAAGTGATTCTCCTGCCTCAGCCTCCCAAGTAGCTGGGATTACAGGCGCCCGCCACCATGCCCAGCTAATTTTTGTATTTTTAGTAGAGACAGGGGTTTCACCACGTTGGCTAGGCTGGTCTCGAACTCCTGACCTCAGGTGATCTGCCCACCTCGGCCTCTCAAAGTGCTGGGATTACAGGCATGAGCCACTATGCCTGGCCGCCCAATAATGGATTTTTTAAAAAATGGAGTTATTTAAAACATACAGAAAAGAGTAAATAATAAGAAAACTATAACCAAAACTTCTTAATCACCTAAACTTTATTACATTCTTAACACTTAGAATATTTCCATTATGTTAAGAAAAACAATTTCAGGGTCAGGTGCAGTGACCATTGCAATCCAGCTTGGGTGACAGAGTGAGACTCCATCTCAAAAAAAAAAAAATCCATTATTACAATTCTTACTTTTCCAAAAGACAACTAGAAAAGAAGAAAACTAGGAAGATGGTAGTGATGGTTGCATAACAATGTGAATATACTTAATATTAGTGAACTATATACTTAAAAATGGTTAGGATTGTAAATTTTATGCTATGTGTATAACCAAAATTTTTCAAAGAAAAAGAAAACTAAGAAAAATATTTTTGTTTTTCTGGGAACCACCATATTTCTGGATCTGAGAAAACATAACGAGGAGCCAAAATCCTGAGCCCTAAGATGGTAAAACAAATACCTGCTTCCTATTCCTTCTACTAATACTTTAGAACTTAAAATATAATGTACCAATCTTATCTTTATAAAAGGGAAAATGGCAAAAACATGGTACATGAGATGCCAGAGAGATATTAGAGCCCTCTAAAAAGCATAAAATGGCTTGAAAAACTGCAACACTAGATCATCTTCTTACCTCTTTATGATCTTCAACTACACTAAGAAGTGTATCAATTGTATTCAGAATTCCCATAGCAGTAACTGCTTTGTCATCACTACCTTCTTCATCTGGCCCCGTCTGGATTACTTGGTTAAATGTCATTGCCTAGATTCAAGAGAATATAACTCAAGTTTGTCACTGAAGCATTATAAATATGTTTTGGTCTAAGACTTTTAATTCTTAGAACGTTCTCATTGGGATACCACAACAAATCAATGTCTCCAAATTGATTAATGATAATAAAGAGCTTAAGCTCTATAATCAAATAGTCTGCTCATTGGGTGACCTTAAACAAGCTACTTGACTTCTCTTGACCTTTTCTGCATGCCACTTCGGGGATTTCATAGACACCGTACGAGGACTAAATGAGGCAAGGTATAAAAAGTACTTAATATTATGAATAGTTTTCATTAATATTACTGGTTAACACTTGACAATGTCCAAATAAAAGTATATTTAATCATCAAGGGGGTCACTGATTTATCTTTTGTAAAATTCAATCGATTATTTTGAGCATTCCAGGGCACTATGCAGATAGTCATGCTGCAGCCCGAGGTAGTAGTTAAGAACAAGTACCATGAAGGCCCATATATAAATCCCAACCGCACCCTGCCTAGCTTAGGCAATAAACCATTTTATACCTCATATTTTCTCCGTAAAACAGGAATAATTCTGACACATGATTGTGTTAGAATTAAGTAAGTTAAGTATCTGTCAAGGGCTTTACGTGCTACACAGTAATGTCTGTGAAATATCTACTATAAGGCAGGGGTCCCCAGTCTCCAGGCAGTGGACTGGTACCGGTCCATGGCCTGTTAGGAGCAGTAGATAAGTGGTAGGTGAGTGAGCATTACTGCCGGAAATTCTCACAGGAGCGTGAACCCTACTGTGAAATGTGCATTCAAGGATCTAGGTTGCACACCCCTTATGAGAAACCATTGCCTGTCTGATAAGAGGTGGAACAGTTTCATCCCAAAGCCATCTCCCCCGGACCATCTGTGGAAAAATTATCTTCCATGAAACCGATCCCAGGTGCCAAAAAGGTTGACTGCTATAAGGTAAGGCAAGCCACTGGTGACACAACCTGGAACATACTGAGAGCTACATTAAAATGCTTGCAAATATGGTAGGTTCAAACAACATACCAAATGTTGTGTCATTTCTACTGCAATAGGAGTAACTTCTTCACTATATTCACAGATCATTTTCTGAATTACATTGGTAAGGTCATCATTTTCTGTTTCTCTTATAATGTGAAGAAGAGCCTGCATTACAGGTCTGATGAATGGTGTGATATATTCTTTAGCTGTAAGAGAAAGAGTAAAAAACTTGCGTAAAACCCCTAAAACTTCTTAAAACCTGATATAACAAATATCGATGAGTTTTTTAAAAAAGTACTTTCACATAAAAAGGAAGTATGCCAAGTTTCTAGGATTATGGCTTTTTACAATTAATATATATATATATATTTTATAAGAGGCAGGGTTTTGATCTGTTGCCCAGGCTGGAGGGTAGTGGCAATCGTAGCACACTGCAGCCTCGAACCGTCGGGCTCTAGTGATCCTGCTGCCTCAGACTCCCAAGTAGCTGGCACTACAGGTACATGCCACTATGTCCAGTTAATTTTTAAAAATTTTTTTTGTAGAGATGTTGCCCAGGCTGGTCTTGAACACCTGGCTTCAAGCGCTCTTCCCACCTAAGCCTACCGAAGTGCTAAGATTACAGGTGTGACCTACCGCACCTGGCCAACATTCACTTTTCTTGACATACAAAAATCCTTTACCTTTTTCTTGATTGCTGATCAATACTTGAAGGGCAATGGCAGCTTCCACTTTCACAGGCATTTCTCTATCATCAATCAGACATCTTCTTGTTAGCTCTAAGGCTGTTTGAAGGTTCTGATCACTTTTGAACTTCACTTCACAAAAATAGTGAAGTACCCAGCAAGCCTTTTGTAAAAACACAGTGAGTTACTGTAGATACCTTACCTTAAATTCCCCCAAGCTAATCTCTATTCCCTGAGTTCTGTGTGTGGGAATTTGGAGGCTGGCCAGTGGTAGATGTGTCCAGAGACAACACTAGACCAGTACTATGATCCCAAGTTACTCTTTGGCCGCATGATGTTTGTGTGGATAGCAAGATCTGAATGAAAAACACAGACAGACACTGCTACCAGACACAGATGAAACCTATGCACACATTACAGCAGCCATGTAAAGATTTACATTAAACAGAAACCTAAAATAAGACACAGGCTTCAAAGTGAACATTTAAAAGTTTCAATATAAAAGTCCACAGAGTCATTCATTACAAGACAAAAGTATATAAATAATGCAGCTTTAAAACATACCCTTGCTCTCATGTAGCCTAGTTCACTGCTGAAGAGAGGGAATACATGATTCTGCAACATGTATTCCATCTGATCTTTATAGATCTTTTTCTGTAAATATAAACAACAGTTATTTTGATACAGTTCCAAATATAATCATCTCAATTTCCAAACAGATATAACACTATTAAAAATGACTATTAATGTTACATATATTTATTCTCATTCTTTGAACCCCAGAATCCACAACCAATTTTCGTATTCCAGAACTTCACCACCAAAAACCACTAAACACATTTTCACGTTTTTATATTCCTTGATTAGAAAGCCATTATGCCAAATCTTACCAGCAATAGTGTTCGAATGATGTAAGTTTGGTTAATTTTATCTGTTACTATGAAACTTTTATAAGGAAAAAACTTGTCTGATAAAGTTTCTGGCTGAAAATAACATAACCTGAGAAAAATCCTGCTTTCAAACGAATAAACTGGCTATCTAAAAAGGCACACTCTTTTTTTTTTCTTTTTTTTTGAGACGGAGTCTTGCTGTGTTGCCCAGGCTGGAGTGCAGTGGCACAATTTCGGCTCACTGCAATGTCCACCTCCCAGATTCAAGTGATTCTCTAAAAAGGCACTCTCAGTATTCAAAGTGAGTATTTTCTAAGTGGAAAGAAGCTTTTTAGAAGAGTTCCTTAAACTGCACATTAAATCAACATTAAAAACATAAGACACTTATATATCAACACTTACATAATCAGACATGACAACTTAATGCAATGTGAGACCCTAGACTGGGTCATGGAACAGAAAAAAGGACATAGTGGGAAATCTTGTGAAACTTTAAAAAGGTCCATGGATTAGTTGATAGTAGCATACCAAAATCAACTTCATGTTTTTGATAACTTTGCCTACCTATGTAAGGTATTACCACTAAGTGAAGCTGAGTGAAAGGTAAGAATAGATAAACTTGAATTTGCCAAGAGAACTCACTAATTCTCAGCCTTCTATGCCACAAATGATTAGAATGTCTTTAATACATACTTTATAAACAAAGAGAAGGATGGGTGAACAGGTATAGAAAAGATGAAAGACGGCCGGGTGCAGTGATTCACGCCTGTAATCCCAGCATTTTGGGAAGCCGAGGCGGGTGGATCACCTGAGGTCAGGAGTTCGAGACCAGCCAGGCCAACATGGTGAAACCCCATCTCTACTGAAAATACAAAAATTAGCTGGTGTGGTGGCAGGTGTCTGCAGTCCCAGCTACTCGGGAGGCTGAGGCAGGAGAATCGCTTGAACTCAGGAGGTGGAGGTTGTAGTAAGCAGAGATCACGCCACTGCACTCCAACCTGTATAACAGAACGAGGCTCCATTTCCAAAAAACGAAAAGATAAAAGACACAATGACTAAATATTCTGTGAGTACTTAGTGCCTGGCTTTAGAATGTAAAGATTTCTAACAACTCAATTATAAAAAGACAAATAACCCAATTAAAAATGGGCAAGGGCCAGGCACAGTGGCTCACGCCTGTAATCCTGGCACTTTGGGAGGCTGAGGCAGGCGGATCACCTGAAGCCAGGAGTTTGAGACCAGCCTGGCCAACATGGCAAAACCCCATCTCTACTAAAAATACAAAAATTAGGCTGGGGGCAGGCACCTGAGGCATGAGAATCACTTGAACCCGGAAGGTAGAGGTTGCAGTGAGTCGAGATTGCGCCACTGCACTCCAGCATATGGCGGGGGGGCGGGGAGGCGGAAATCTCAGCTACTTGGGAGGCTGAGGCAGGAGAATCACTTTAATGTGGGAGACTGGTGGCTGCAGCGAGCCAAGATCTCACCACTGCACTCCAGCCTGGGTGACAGAGCAAGACTCCATCTCAAAAAATAAAAAGAAAAAAAACAAAGGCAAGCAATTTTTTTGGGGCAAGGAATTTGAATAGATATTCTCTAAAGAAAATATACAAACGGATAGTAAGCACATGAAAAATTTCAAAGCCACAAAGACATAATGCTTCACGTTCACTAGGATGGCTATAATCAAAATATACTGCTGGCAGAAATATAAAATGGTATAGCTACGTTGGAAAATGGGTTCTGCGGTGTCTCAAATTATGACAAGCAATTCATACTCCTAGGTATATACCCATGAAAAATGAAAACGTATGTCCACATAAAAATTTAAACATGAATGTTCACAGCAACATTTGTAAGCAGCCAGAAAGTAGAAACAACTAATGAATGAGTAAATAAAATGTGGTATATTAATATAATGAAATATAATTTGGCAACAAAAAGGAAAAAGTACTGAAACCTGCTATAACACAGATAATCCTTGAAAACATTACACTAAATGAAAGAAGTCACCCACAAAGAGCTACGTATTATATGATTCCATTTATATAAAATGTCCACAATAAACAAATCCATAGAAAAAATGTGGACTATAGGTAGCCTAGGGTTGGGAGATTTGGGGTGATATGTGGAGTGACTGCTAATGTATACAGAGTTCCTTCTGGGGGTGATAGTTATACAACTGTGAATAAACTAAAAACCACTGAGTTGTACACTCCATAAGGTTGTTATTTTTTATTTTTTTATTTTTTTTTGAGACGGAGTCTCTGTCGCCTGGACTGGAGCATGGAGTGCAGTGGCATGACCTCGGCTCACTGCAGCCTCCGCCTCCCAAGTTCAAGTGATTCTCCTGCCTCAGCCTCCTAAGTAGCTGGGATTACAGGTGCCCACCACCATGCCCAGCTGATTTTTTTTTTTTTTTTTGGAGACAGAGTCTCACTCTGTCGCCCAGGCTGGATTGCAGTGGCGTGATCTCGGCTCACTGCAAACTCCACGTCCCGGGTTCAAGCCATTCTCCTGCCTCAGCCTCCTGAGTAGCTGGGACTACAGGCGCCAGCCACCATGCCCGGCTAATTTTTTATTTTTATTTTTAGTAGAGACGGGGTTTCACTGTGTTAGCCAGGATGGTCTCGATCTCCTGACCTCATGATCCACCCACCTCGGTCTCCCAAAATGCTGGGATTACAGGCGTGAGCCATCACGCCCGGCGGATTTTTGTATTTTTAGTAGAGACGGGGTTTCACCATGTTGGCCAGGCTGGTCTTCAACTGCTGACCTCAGGTGATCCCCCCGCCCTGGCCTCCCAAATAGCTGGGATTACAGGCATAAGCCACCACACCCGGCCTATTTTTTATCCTTATAGAGATGGGGGTATCACTATGTTGCCCAGGCTGTTCTCAAACTCCTGGGCTCAGGCAATCTGCCTGCCTCAGCATCCCGAAAGTGCTGGGATTATAGAAGTGAGCCACTGTGCCTGGCTGGCTATTTATTTTTTAAAACTACTTGCATAGTCATGCACATACAAACACACTAAAGAATACCTTCAGAAGTATTTCAGCTAAAGAGCCAATCATATGCAGGGCTCCATCTTTTTTTCGAGGGTCAGCATTTGGTTCTGTAAGAATCTGGTAACAAAATCCCATAGTCTTTTGCAGTACCTAGATTAAAAGAGAAAAGTATTGTTACTGAATAGGCCAACAGTCCTTAAAAAACATACTAACAAAATGACTCACATGACTAACATTTAAAAAGTGTATAGTTGAATAAATTTTAAATAATACAGAAAAGTTATCTAAACATTAAATAAGCCTACCTCTTTCCTCTTACTACAGGCTGTAAACAAAAGTGTCTGGGCAGCAGTGGTAGGAGAAATGAAATCTTCAAACACATCTAGAGAACAAGTTTAAAATTAAGACAATAAACATTAATTTCTTCAACAAAGCATTAAAAAACATGCTTAATCTTTACATAAGGTATGAAAATGATCCCAGATCCCTTTATAATTTTGCAAAAGCAGAATTCAATGTCTTTTCTGTACAAATTGAATGCTTTTGTTTGTTTTGAGATGGAGTCTCGCTCTGTCACTCAGGCTGGAGTGCAGTGGGCGATCTCGGCTCATTGTAACCTCCATCTCCCAGGTTCAAGCAATTCTCCTGCCTCAGCCTCCCAAGTAGCTGGTTTACAGGTGCCTGCCACCACGCCCGGCTAATTTTTGTATTTTTAGTAGAGATGGGGTTTCACTATATTGGTCAGGCTGGTCTCAAACTCCTGACCTCAAACGATCTGCCTGCCTCGGCCTCCCAACACGTTGGGATTTACAGGCCTTAGCCACCGCACCTGGCCTGTGAAAATTAAATGTTAATCCATGAATTCCTCCTAATAGCTTTCATTTTTATTTATTAACTCAGAACTCAGCAGTTTAAATCGTATGTATGAAACACTACTGATGTGAGAATTTTCACAACAGGGTCACAAAAGTACAAGCTGCAAAAAGCACAAATGACTTGGTAAGAATAAGGACCAATATTCAACATTATTAGCCAAATTACAATTCTTTAGTTCTGTGCAAGGACTTCATGTGACACCAGCTTCCTAGATGTGTTTTCTCATTTCCCACTCATATGATGGCTAACATAAGATCCAAAAGTATAGTTAAGACATTTAGTGTTGAGGTGTAATCTTGAATATCTAACAGTTTTGGTATTCAGTAATAAAAACTTAACAGTATTGAATTTGTGTCTGCCAAAAATAAGATTATCATTATCAAATGTCATAATTAATAAATAGCCCCAAAAAGGACTACACAAGGGATCAATTACATTAAAACAACAAAGAAGATACATAATACCCCCTAGGTTGGCTACATGCAATCACTGTAATCTTAATTACTGACATTTTTTGTTTCTAAAAACGTGAAAATTCCTTACCAAACTTCATGCGTATATATTCGTAAGGGTCTTCTTGCCAAAGTTCCTCATCAGCATCTGTATAGCACATCAATGGAAAAATAACATCTTGGATAATGCCCTGCAATTTAAAAGTTAAGAAAACAATAACCATCAGTTTTCAAATTTAAACCTTCAAATTTCCTTTAAGTATTAAAACCAAAGTAACACTATATGTATTTTAAAGCTTAATATCAAACGTTAGTAATGCATTTAATGTGTTCTAAGATCAACTATCAAACTACATGTACTTCCCCTTTCTGTAACAAGTAACTTTAAGATATATGTGTACAAAGGTCGCAATTAAGTATTCTAAATATATATAGTCTATAAAATTCTACAGCTCTAAATAAAGCACATAAATTATTCATAGAAATAGCAGGTAAGTCATTTATACTAGAAATGAATCTGGTGAGATAAAGTCCCTTGGCTACTCCAAATTACATGATAAAATATAATCATAGTCCAATATTAAGAACTTAAATTGCAAGTTTGAAGACAACAGTTTTGGATTAAAAGATAAGTTGAATATTCACAAGATACCTCTCATAACTTTATGTCACTGTCTTATCTCCTTTTTCTGCTATACTCTCAAAACAATCACCAGAAGTAGTCTAAGTAACACAACTCAACAAACATGCAATTTTTCAACCTTTATGGCAATTGATGTCATTTCTATTATATTTACTATAAAAACATTTCAGATAAAAATTATTACTTGTATATGGGGCTTCAGATTCTTCCAGGTGAGAGCATGAGAAACTCCTTGATTAATATAATTTAATGTCTGTTGTAAAACTCGAGGAGCCATATATTGCTTCTCCTTGTACTGATATAACACCTTCAATAAAACCTTGGAAAAAAATTTTCGATCACAAATCAATGTTCAAATAGAAATTTCAACCACTTACAAGCCAGTAAAAACAGTTAACACATATTTTAATGACAAGCTCATCATCAAGAAAAACAACCGTATACTTTGAAAAATAATTTAACTCATTTCTGATTAAGAATGAAAAGAAGAGAAAACTATATACTATCTTCGTTTTTCTGGGGTTTTTTTTGTTGTTGTTGTTAGAGACAGTGTCTCACTACGTTGCCCCGGCTGGTCTCTAACTCCTGGCCTCAAGCGATTCTCCCATCTCAGCCTCCCAAAGTGCTGGGATTACAGGTGTAAGTCACCACACCTAACCCATTTGCTACCTATTGAAAAACCACAGTATTGGGAGAAAACCCTATCTTGTTAAAGCCATCTTCTGGGAAAACCTTACCCAAAGCAGTCAACTGCCTATTTAGCATCTGTCAATAGTTCTAACTCTACTTCATGTTTCAGAACACTGACACACAAAATGTGGTCCACAAACCTCTAGTGGTCCCCAAGACTATTTCAGAGGATCTACTAGTTTAAAGCTACTTTCATAATGATATTGTCTTTTTTTAAAAAAAAAAACAAAACTGTGTTTTGAGTAAATGAGTATTTGCACCAATGGTACAAAACCATGGTGTTAAATGTTCTGATGCCTTATTTGAATCAAGAGTATGATATTAAATTCACAGTATTTTTATTTATTTATTTATTTGTTTATTTATTTATTTATTTGAGATGGAGTTTTGCTCAATGGTGCAATCTCGGCCCACCGCAAACTCCGCCTCCTGGGTTCAAGTGATTCTCCTGCCTCAGCCTCCCGAGTAGCTGGGATTACAGACATGCACCACCACACCTGGCTGATTTTGTATTTTTAGTACAGACAGGATTTCTCCATGTTGGTCAGGCTGGTCTCGAACTCCTGGCCTCAGGTGATCTGCCTGCCATGGCCTTCCAAAGTGCTGGGATTATAGGCGTGAGCCACCGCGCCCGGCCAAGTCACTGTATTCTTTACAGCCATATTCTTATAGAACAAGTTTTCTTTTTTTTGAGACGGAGTCTTGCTCTGTCGCCCAGGCTGGAATGCAGTGGCAGGATCTCTGCGCACCGCAAGCTGCACCCCCCAGGTTCACGCCATTCTCTTGCCTCAGCCTCCCAAGCAGCTGGGAATACAGGCGCCCGCCACCACGCCCGGCTACATTTTTGAATTTTTAGTAGAAATGGGGTTTCACTGTGTTAGCCAGGATGGTCTTGATCTCCTGACCTCGTGATCCGCCCGCCTTGGCCTCCCAAAGTGCTGGGATTACAGGCGTGAGCAACTGCGCCCAGCCTTAGAACAAGTTTTTCTTAAGAATTTTTTTTTTTTGAGATGGAGTCTTGCTCTGTAACCCAGGCTGGAGTGCAGTGGCGTGATCTCAGCCCACTGCAACCTCTGCCTCCTGGGTTCAAGCCATTCTCCTGCCTCAGCCTCCCCAATAGCTGGGATTACAGGCACGCACCACCACGCCCAGCTAATTTTTGTATTTTTAGTAGAGACGGGGTTTCACCATGTTGGCCAGGCTGGTCTCGAACTCCTGACCTCGTGATCTGCCCGCCCTGGCCTCCCAAAGTGCTGGGATTATAGGATTATATTCTCAAAAATGAATAAAACGAGTCCCTCATTTCAAGGAAAATTGCTGACAATATGTTACTGGTGTTAAAACTTGAGGTTTCAAGCAAAAATTAGAATTCTGGGCCGGGGGTGGGGGTTCATGCCTGTAATCCCAGCACTTTGGGAGGCCAAGGCAGGCGGATCACCTGAGGTCAGGAGTTCAAGACCAGCCTGACCAACATGGAGAAAACCCGTCTCTACTAAAAATTCAAAATTAGCTGGGTGTGGTGGCACATGCCTATAATCCCAGCTACTCGGGAGGCTGATGAGGCAGGAGAATCGCTTGAACCTGGGAGGCAGAAGTTGCAGTGAGCCGAGATTACGCCACTGCACTCCAACCTGGGCAACAAGAGAAAAAAAAATTATTGTCTTAACATATAATAGGCCTGTTATTATATTTTAATGAACTGTTTACTCTAATTTCTAATATGATAAATATTACTAGGTATAACTCACATAAATGAGAACCCAATGGTATCCTAAGTAATTTGAACATAAAGAGATCCTGAGACCAAAAATGTTTGAGACCTGGTACAGGGTCCAAACAGGCACTCTTTAGATGTCAAAGAAACTGGGAATAAGCAATATATAAATTAACTTAAAGATGCCATGTTTCCACTGAGAAAAACTAAAAACAGACTTACTTGCTGGACACCAACAGCAAATGCCTTCAGAAATACTTCAGCAAATTCATTATACTCCTTGGAAACATTGCCAGGGCTTCCATATCTAAAAGAACATCAAAATGCCCATTGTTTCTTTATAATGCTTTATGCTAGCACTTTAAAGCAAAACCTTAATAAATTAATTTAAATCACCATATATGGATGAGATTACCTTTCAAAAAGTCTTGCTAAAATATGTAAGGCCCACTTCTTGCATTTCCACCATGGTAACTCAGGTCGATCATCTTCTTCAACTTGAAGTGTTTCCTTTAAAAAGACACTTATTTAATGATAGAGATAATACAATATAGGAGGAACAGCATGAGATGAGAATAGATTGACAAAAATGTGAATGCTTCACTAATGCTGGCCTTTTTTTTTTTGAGATGGAGTCTTGCTCTATTGCCATCTCAGCTCACTGCAAGCTCCGCCTCCCGAGTTCACACAATTCTCCCGCCTCAGCCTCCCAAGTAGCTGGGACTACAGGTGGCCGCCACAACGCCCAGCTAATTTTATTTTTGTATTTTTAGTAGAGACGGGGTTAGCCAGGATGGTCTCCATCTCCTGACCTCGTGATCCACCCGCCTCCGCCTCCCAAAGTGCTGGGATTACAGGCGTGCGCCACTGCACCTGGCCTGATGTTGGCCTTTCATAGTAGAAGGTTAGACTTGGAAAAGTATTAACCCTATTTAAATCAAAGAGGCATCCTCACTGCTTCACTAGTTGGTTATAAAAGACATGCTTTTTAAAATAATTCTACAAGCTTAAAGCCAAACATTTTAGCCAAGATCTAAATAGTATAGTCAAGGCCACGACAATTGTAGCTTAATCAAAATCAGTATATTTCATAATGGAAAGGGCATGAGAAACTCCATTTCAGAAATCTAGTTTCAGATATATAAGTATAAATGCGCAACGATTTGTGTATGAGAATATTAATTATCATATTATTTGTAATGGTAAAAAATTTCCAAGAACCTGAAGATTCATTAATAATGTTCAATTATGGAAGATCCATAAAAGACTCCTATACAATCACTGAAAGAAGGAATTGGATCATTATACATTAATAACCTAAGACATCCATAACATATATATATATATATATATATATATATTTTTTTTTTTTTTTAGACAGAGTCTCACTCTGTTGCCAGGCTGGAGTGCAGTGGCACAATCTCGGCTCACTGCAACCTCTGCCTCCCTGGTTCAAGTGATTCTCCTGCCTCAGCCTCCCGAGTAGCTGGGACTACAGGCTTGCACCACCACGCCCAGCTAATGTTTGTATTTTTAGTAGAGACAGGGTTTCACCATGTTGGCCAGGATGGTCTTGATCTCCTAACCTCGTGATCCGCCCGCCTCAGCCTCCCAAAGTGCTGTGATTACAGGCGTAAGCCACCACGCCCAGCCTATCCATGACATATTTTTTTAAGTAGGATAAGGAAGTGAATATACAGAGCAAGTGAACACTCTCATACATCGCTAGTGAAAGCAATGCTACAGCCACTTTGGAAGTTACTTGTAAAGTAAAACATACACCTACCTTATGACCCAATTCCTTTCTTTGATATTTATGCAAGAGTGTGAAAAACATGTGACCACAAAAAGACACGTAAGAATGTTCATAGCTTTATCTATAATACTGAAAAAGTAAAACTACCCAGATGTCCATCAACATACATAAATTGTGATATATCTATACAATGGGATACCGCTCAGCAATAAAAAATAATAAACTACCACTATACAACATGAAAGAATCTTATAAATATATTAAGTGAAAGAAGCCAGGAACAAAAGATTACTTACTAAGTTCTAAAACAGATTAAATCTATTGTGCCGGGAATGAGATGATGCCAGAGATGACTAGAACCAGCCATGAGCAAACATTCTGAGGTGATGGCTACATGGGTACATAATAATTGTGCTAACTCACTGAACTGTTTATTTATAATCGGTGCACGGATTATAAATTGTACAACAAAAAGGTGCACAATATGTATATGAGAACTTTAAAAGTTATATTTTATATCTATTAAATGTGCAAAGAAAAATATACACCAAACTAGTTTCCTATGGAGGGTGTAGAAATGTTGTTTCTTCTGCATTGTTCATAAACCTTTTTGAAACAAATCTTTAAAAAAATTAAACTACAAAATAGGACTTTGGTCTCACTTATGCGATTAACAATATTATATTGGATAAATTACATAACCCTCCCATGTGTAAGTTTAAAATAAAAGTCAGAAGGATTTTGAGGGTTAAATAAGTATATATTAATAACAGTACATAAAACACACTGTAAAATAGGCTAGGCACGGTGGCTCACACCTGTAATCCCAGCACTTTGGGAGGCTGAGGCGGGTGGATCACAAGGTCAGGAGTTTAAGACCACCCTGGCCAAGATGGTGAAACCCTGTCTCTATGAAAAATAAAAAAAGTTAGCCAGGCATGGTGACAGGCACCTGTAATCCCAGCTACTTGGGAGGCTGAGGCAGGGAATTGCTTGAACCTGGGAGGCAGAGGTTGCAGTGAGCTGAGATCGCACCACTGCACTCCAGCCTGGGCGACAGAGTGAGACTCTGTCTCAAAAAAACAAAACAAAACAAAACAGCGTATTCAGTAATCTGTAAATTCCCCTATATCTCTAGAAAACTAGACTATAGGCCGGGCACAGTGGCTCACGCCTGTAATCCCAGCACTTTGGGAGGCCAAGGTGGGCGGATCACCTGAGCTCAGAAGTTTGAGACCAGCCTGGCCAACATGGTGAAACTCCATCTCTACTAAAAATACAAAAATTAGACGGGCTTGGTAGCACACGTCTGTAGTCCCAGCTACTTGAGAGGCTGAGGCATGAGAATCGCGTGAACCTGGGAGGCGGAGGTTGCAGTGAGCCGAGATTGCGCCACTGCACTCCAGCCTAGGCAACAAGAGCGAAACTTCAGCTTAAAAAAAAAAAAAAGAAAAAAGAAAACTAGACTATAAAGAAAAATTATAATAATTTTAAAAAGTTTGATTATACAAATAACACAATTGGACAACTCTGAATGTACTAAAAACTACCAAGTTGTACTTTAAAAGAATAAATTTTACTGTATGTGAGTTATTTCTCAATAGAGTTATTAAGAAAAAATAACATAACTACAAAAGTTGGCCAATCTGTAAATCAAGTTCTTCCTCTTCCTCTGTACGTGGGCATCTGACAAATTAACTAGGCTAAGAGCCAGCTATGAGCTCTTAATTTATGAACTGAGAGGGAACAGAAGATTTAGGATGAAACAAAAGGACAACAGAAGAAATTAAACCAATAATATATTTAAAAAAACACCCTTTACAACTTTTTACACTAAGTAAATGTACAGATGTAATGCATATATAAACAAATGAAAAGGTACCTCTAATCTAGAAAAAAATACATCACCATATTATAAAAATTCATAAAGAATGTTACAGGAAACACCAGTTAAAGTCTTCAAAAGATCATTAAATATTTACATTTAGTAATATAAGAGAACATACAGAAACTTACATTAGGTACATCCCTGTTCACAACAGTCTTTAAAATTTCTATCCATTCTGTCAGGTTCTGTTGGTTTATCAGTTCCAGTGGTAGTGTATACTAAATAAAAGTCAAGAATTAATATTTCGAAATCCTTGCTAAAGAAAATCCTACTTCTTTTTACTCTTCACAATACCTACCAAAAGTATTTCATTCAATCCACATTTCCTGCTTTTAGTACATAGGCAAACTTCTTTGCTTGTTATCTATAATGGTAAACAGTGAGTGGGCATCCTTGCCATATTCCCATTTTACTGGGATATTTTATTTTCACCATAAGGTGTGATATTTATTGTAGATTTCTAATGAACACCTTTCATCAAGTTAAGAAAGATTCTGTTCTAGGATTCTAACAGTTGTTTATTTTTTTCAAAGCAGACATGGTTATTTAATTTTATCAAATGCTTTATCTGACATCCATAAAGATGTTTACAGGTCTCTATTTTAACGTGATGTAAGGGTTAATTACAAAAACTAATTTCTTACTGTTGATCCATTCTTGTATTCCTGGGATAAATCCTATTTCTCAGTAGGCCAATAAAAAAGTTATCCAATTTGGGATTTTAGGACATCTATTTTCACAAGTGAGACGGGGCTATATTTTTACAACAGGTATGCTAGTCTCAAAGAATGAGTTGAGAAAGTATTTTGTCCTATTCCCTATGCCCTATGATAGTTTTCAAAAAGACCTATTATTTAATCCAAAAGTTATGATCCTCCTAGTTAGAAAAAATATTGAAAAGACTAGTGTTTATTCAAATTACTTAACAAAAGAATAACCTAAGAGTCCAATAGAATGGCATTAAGGTGCCCTTAGATTCAGAGTGGGAGATACCTGAATGTCTTTAAAGATCTAGCAAAGACATGCAAAATCCAACCAAGGAATAGAGTTAGGCAAGTACAGTCTTAATGGAGGTGAAGTCATAGATCTTTCTTCCTTCTTTTTAAGAGACCAGGTCTCGCTCTGTCAGGATGGAGTGCAGCCTTGAACTCCTGGTTTCAAGCAATCCTCCAACCTCAACCTCCAGAATAACTGGGATTACAGGCTTACAGGTGCGAGCCACTGTGCCTGGCTCTGATTTATTTAAATGAGATTTTTAAATGTAATGGTATGACTTGAACCAATGATCTTAGCAGATGAGATAAATCCTTCTATGGTACATGATACAACAAAAAGAACCAGAATTTTCCTGGTTTTTAAAAATCTGTTTTACAAGTAATTACATTTCACTGCGAATACTGACCCAACCATTTCTTTTTTTTCTTTTTTTCTTTTTTTTTGGGACGGAGTCTTGCTCAGTCGCCCAGGCTGGAGTGCAGTGGTGCGATCTCGGCTCACTGCAACCTCTGCCTCCTGGGTTCACACCATTCTCCTGCCTCAGCCTCCTGAGTAGCGGGGACTACAGGTGCCCGCCACCACGCCCAGCTAATTTTTTGTATTTTTAGTAGAGACAGGGTTTCACCATGTTAGCCAGGATGGTCTCGACCTCCTGACCTCGTGATCCGCCCGCCTCGGCCTCCCAAAGTGCTGGGATTACAGGCGTGAGCCATCACGCCCGGCCCCAACCATTTCTGTAGTGGGTATCTTTTATCCTAGAAAAATTTAGAACATACAGAAATAATAAAAGCCATTACTGTGTACCAGTAAAGCCCACTGATTTAGTATTTTTGCGACAAGTTTAGGAATACGTTTTGTACTGAGACAATCTATGTATATTTTGCATATCAAGTATGTGTTAGACTTCAACTGTAATCAAGTAACTGGTTTTCAGATTCACTAATTCTTTTTTTTTTTTGAGACAGAGTTTTGCTCTTGTTGCCCAGGCTGGAGTGCAATGGTGTGATCTTGGCTCACCACAACCTCCGCCTCGCAGGTTCAAGCTTTTCTCCTGCCTCAGCCTCCCAAGTAGCAGAGTTTACAGGTATGTACCACCAAGCCTGACTAATTTTTTTTGTATTTTTAATAGAGACGGGGTTTCTCCATGTTGGGTCAGGCTGGTCTCGAACTCCCCTCCTCAGGTGATGCGCCCACCACAGCCTCCCAAAGTGCTGGGATTACAGGTGTGAGTCACAGTGCCCGGCCCAGATTCATTAATTCCTAAGGTGAAAGATACTTTCTAAATTGACTAATTTGGTTGCAGTGGATGGTTTAAGATAATTTGACATTGCCCATTTGCAATTTAATATTTATTAGGGGCCAAGCACGGTGGCTCGTACCTGTAATCCCAGCACTTTGGGAGCCCAAGGCAGGTGGATCACGAGGTCAGGAGTTCGAGACCAGCATGACCAACATGGTGAAACCCTGTCTCCATTAAAAATACAAAAATTAGCCAGGTGTGGTGGCACGTGCCTGTAATCCCAGCTACTCAGGAGGCTGAGGCAGGAGAATCGCTTGAAACCGGGAGGCAGAGGTTGCAGTGAGCCGAGATCACGCCACTGCACTCCAGCTGGGCGACAGAACGAGACAGTCTCAAAAAAAAAAAAAAAAAAAAAAAAAAAGATTCATTAGGGTTGTTTATGTATTTGGGGAGGAAGTATGCTTGTTTAGACTTATAATTTTTGCAATTTCTATTTTGCTAGAAAATCATCCACTTAATGTAGATTTTCAAGTTAACTATTATTCAAATGCTGAAATTCTTTGTTAATTTTTAACACGGTAAATGACAGACTAACTTTTTATGCATAAAAACTGCTTCACAGATATTACCTGAACAAGAGCATAGAAGATCTTGAATATCTGTTTCTGGATGAGGACAGACTGATCAGACTGGTCAGAAAGAAGCTGGATAAAACGATCCTTTAGAACTGGCAGAAAATGCTGCATTGCTGCTACCAATGGACTCCGCTCCTCTGGTTTTTTATACCTTTGAGTAGGAATACAAACTAATTCTGTAAGAATTTATTTCCACAATTGTATATATATTTAAACTATGCATTTATTTACACAAATATAATCAAATACTTCTTAACCAATTTAGAAAAAGAAAAATATCTAGAACAAAACCATAAAAAGGAAGCATCTTGAATAAAACCTTGAGTAAAGATTATCCAGTATTTTCTGAACATGTATTATGAGGTCAATAATCTTCAAGGCACACATGAGTATCCTCACTTTTGTAGTTGAGGAAACTGAGGCACAGACGTTAACTATCTTTCTCAGTATTACATAGTTAGGCATGAACCTAGGCAACTGGAATCCAAGGTCTGCCCTCTTAACCACTTGACTATGCAGTCTCTAACTGTGAATCAATTGATATAGATGAGGAGGCATAATGAAATTTTTTATTTATCAGCTGCTACTATTCACACAAATATAATCAAATACTTCCTAACCAATTTAGAAAAAGAAAAATATCTAGAGCAAAACCATAAAAAGAAAGCATCTTGAATAAAACCTTGGGTAAAGATTATCCAGTATTTTCTGAACATGTATTATGAGGTCAAAAATCTTCAAGGCCCACATGAGTATCCTCACTTTGATAGTTCAGGAAACTGAGGCACAGAAATTAACTATCTTTCTCAGTATTACATAGTTAGACATGAACCTAGGCAACTGGAATAGGTTATTGACCTCATAATAAATGAGGAAAGTAATAATAAATTATAAATATTTGTATAAATTATAAATAATAAATTAGGAAGTATTTGATTATATTTGCGTAAACAGTAGCAGCTGATAAATAAAACTGATTATTATTACCATCCTTAAGTAATTTACATACCAACAGCATTAAAGCAGAAATGGTATGTATAAAGCAGAAAATATTTTATTTCTAAAAGCATCATAAACCGTAAGTTCTTCTATTAACCCATAGGGCAACAAAATGTGACCAACAGGCTATCAATTATGAGCCAAGATTGTGCCACTGCACTACAGCCTGGGTGACAGAGAGACTCAATCTCAAAAAAAATAAAAAAGTATCGTTAAAAAGTCTGTTGGGGGCCGGGCGCGGTGGCTCACGCCTCTAATCCTAGCACTTTGGGAGGCCGAGGCGGGAGGATCACGAGGTCAGGAGATCAAGACCATCCTGGCTAACACGGTGAAACCCCGTCTCTACTAAAATGCAAAAAATTAGCTGGGCGTGGTGGCGGGCGCCTATAGTCCCAGCTACTCGGGAGGCTGAGGCAGGAGAATGGCATGAACCTGAAAGGCAGAGCTTGCAGTGAGCCACTGCACTCCAGCCTAGGCAACAGAGAGAGACTCCGTCTCAAAAAAAAAAAAAAAAAAATCAATCAATCAAACAAATTTGTAACTACACAAAAGCAATTCCAGTATCCTTTTTTTTTTGGAGAAAGTGCCTCACTCTGTCACCCAGGCTGGAGTGCAGTGGTGATCATGGCTCACTGAAGCCTCAACCTTCCAGGCTCAAGCTATCCTCACACCTCAGCCTCTTGAGTAGCTGGGACTACAGGCATGTGCCACCACATCTGGCTGATTACTTTCTTTTTTGTCTGTAGAGAGTAGGGGAGAGACGGGGTTCCACTATGTTGCCCAAGCTGGTCTCAAACTCCTGGGCTCAAGTGATTCGCCTGCCTCAGCTTCCCAAAGTGTTGGGATTACAGGCTGAGCCACTGCTCCCAGCCCCAGCTTCCATTATTAAGGAGTCAATAGGCAGACTAAATTTTTAAAATACAGATTACTGATTATAGAAATCATTATTCTAAGAGCCACAGCTTATCTTTTTGGAACAGATATTATCAAAACAGCTTTAAATTGGTTTTCCATAGCACATCCCAGTTGTATTTATTGGTATCCCTCTTCCTTAAGAGAGAAAATATAAAGAATTGAGTATCTGAGTACATTTTAAAATGATACTGGGAGACTCTTTTTAAAAGCTATTTTTTTTCCTACCAGGTGAAATGAGTAACAAAGTAAATCACCAGGAATAAAAAATACAAAAAGGAATGTTCACATTAACAATGACTGCTAAAGCTATTAACACTATCTACTGACAAATTATTTCAAATATTACTTTAAAGTGCTAACAAATTATACCTAGCATACATTTTAAAAGGTTATCTATACCTTTGAGTTGACAAAATAACAATTCACAAAAGAAAGCCATTTGCACTCTCCAATCTGATTATACAAACTACAATTATACACAAAATTCCCTTTAAACACTAAAAGTGAGAACTAATATTATGCAGCTCTATTTATGCATCACAGGTCCATCACCCACCCTAAGAGAGTTTAAATACTTGTTCTACATCAGATATTCTCTCCTACCTCCCTCAATACCCTGAATAGTGGACTGGGAGTTGAGTGGTACTAGTTGTTAATCTAAGCTAATGAGTAAAAAATTATGGTACCAAACTTATTACTACCCTGTAAGACCTGAACATTCCTGAAAGGATGAAAATATGACACTAATAAAATTCTACTACCACAAGGCTGTGATGTGTCAAACTGCAGAACCATACTCATAGAAAATCCTTAAATACTAGTCTTATCACTATTCTGTTAAAAAAAAATTTCAGTGGTTCTCAGTATCTAAAAGATCACATCCAAATTTCCCATTCTGGCACTCAAAACCCTCTTTAACATGGTCCCAATTTACCAGTCCAAAACTATTCCCAACCTCTCACTGGAAATTATCAGCACCATTAAGCAGTCTCCTCACTACCCACTAAAGACAGCATCTCACATTTCCATCTCTTTCTTTGTTCATACCACTCCATATGGTGTGACACGCCTTCCTCTTCATATGTTCTTTGTGTTCCTTCAACTGACAAGCATTTCCTGAGGATCTATGCTCCTGAGGACCACCAAAAATTCCAATTTCTCTGTAAATTTTCTTAGAACTGCTTCAGTCCACACAGATCCCTTGTGAACACCTTGTGCTTCACAACGAAAACACTGGCTGAAAATGAACTGAATTCCAATGATGTAGCAGCCTCCTGTATCTCCCACTTAAAAATCCCTGTCATATTCCCTCCTGCTAAGATTATGGGACAGGAGGGCCTTGAACCTCCTCAATGATATTGACAGCTTATTGTTTTTATTCTCTCCAATTTTAGTCACTCACTTACCAGAACTGTAACAGCTGGAACATTCCTTAGCAGGAAGATGGGTAGCTGGTGGGAACACAAGAAAACACCAGTACCAATGCTGTAAATGGTATATTTCTCTCCTGCTCAGAGAATAAAAGCAGCAGTTCATCAGCCACTTTGAGATGGGACCCAAAGAGGGTATTGGAGGCTAACTGCAAGTCCCAGAATTAGAGGGGTCACAATGGCATCTGTGTAGCTGTTAAGACTGGCAATAAAGTCACGATCATGGTATAAAAGTCTTCCTTATGCCTTCCTCGTAATATCCCATCAAACCTTTTCAAGTGCCTATCAACTATAGACTTAAAAAACTCCTTCAACATGTGGCTTACCACTCTCAGTGCTATACCTCAACTTTCTAGGTTAGATCTTTTTTTCCTGATCCCTAAAACAAGATCTAAAATAATCACTTGGCCTAAAATCTTTTTTTCTAATACTAATGACCTATATGAACTATAATCTGCTTAAATATGCAACAATGAAATAGGTGAGTGTGAATCCCCCAAAACACACTGATTAAAGAAGATCACATGAAATTCCAATGAATTCTTCTTAAAGAATCAGAGGAAGTTAATCAAGAGCCTAAATTAAGATAAAAATTCACAGAAAAAAAAGCCACAAGTAATAAAGAGCTTTAATCCTCAATGTATTCTGATCACCTTCACATTTTAGAAAAACTTACCTGAAGGACTTTTATCAGCACACATTGAGGAGGCCGTCTTTAGAGACAACTTAGTTTTTGAATAGGTAAAGAGACGGTGATTAAGAAAAAAGGGTGCAAGGAGTTTCTTAGTAGAATAAAGAAAAGCAACTGCGGAGTTAGAATGCTATGTCAAAAAGAAAATAATAAATTGAAATTACCATATAATTCACTAATTTTATTATCTATGCTAAATATAATTTTACATGTTCAAATTGGCTTAAATTTTCCCAACTTTTCCTACTTCTCAAAGCTCTATAGGAGTTGAAAGAAACACTTACTCATAATTTTTCACAAGCTGATAAAGGCAAAGAAGAATTCCTAGCCAACAAGCACTGTTATCGGACTGAAGATAAAAGCCAATTTTGTCCACAATGGCAGTCCAGCGGCTTGGATAATCATGTTTGATGATGTGATGAATGCATGTAGTAAGCTGTACCCTGGAAGCCAAAAAAAAACAGTAAGGAAAAAATCCTAACTAGGTAAGATTTTGCTAACCCATAGAAAGGAAAATAGCTGTTTAGACAAAATCTAATTTCAAAATAACCCAGTGATTTTAGATGTACACAGAATATATATGATTCAGAATAAGTCACTGAGCAAACGAAAACCAGCAAATGTTACAAATACAGGTGTTTTATTTTTCATTCCTATCATCAATAAACAAGTTTCATTTGAGAACATCAATTAGGCTGGGTGCGGTGGCTCACACCTGTAATCCCAACACTTTGGGAGGCCCAGGCGGGAAGATCACAAGGTCAAGGGATCAAGACCATCCTGGCCAACATGGTGAAACCCCATCTCTACTAAAAACACAAAAATTAGCTGGGCCTGGTCGTGCACACCTGTAATCCCAGCTACTCCGGGGGCTGAGGCCACTGTGCCCGGCCCACAAGTTTTATATGAAGTTTTTGGTTTCGTCAATGTGAAATCAAACTGTAGTAAGAAAACAAATTACAGGCCAGGCATGGTGGCTCACACCTGTAATCACAGTACTTTGTGAGGCCTAGGCAGGTGGATCACTTGAGGTCAGGTGTTCCAGACCAGCGTGGCCAACATGGTAAAACCTCGTCTCTACTAAAAATACAAAAATTAGCCAGGGATGCTGGTGCACGCCTGTAATCCCAGCTACTCGGGAGACTGAGGCAGGAGGATTGCTTGATCCCAGGAGTCAGAGGCTGTAGCGAGCCGAGATTGCGCCACCTCACTCCAGCCTGGGTGACAGAACAAGACTCAATCTTAAAAAAAAAAAAATGACTAAGGCATTCTCCTACAACAGCATCTGTTGGGTAAGTTTTCTGCTACAAAAAAAACAGGCCTATATGTTCTGAAAAGCCCCCAAAAGCCCCCCAGAAAAGCCGGGTGCAGTGGTTCACGCCTGTAATCCCAGCACTTTGGGAAGCCGAGGCAGTTGGATCACGAGGTCAGGAAATCGAGACCATCCTCGCCAACATGGTGAAACCCTGTCTCTACTAAAAATACAAAAATTAGCTGGGCGTGGTGCCATGTGCCTGTAATCCCAGCTACTCGTGGAGCTGAGAGGCAGGAGAATTGCTTGAACCTGGGAGGCGGAGGCTGCAGTGAGCAAGGATCGTGCCACTGCACTCCAGCCTGGCCACAGAGGGAAAGTCCATCTCAAAAAAAAAAAAAAAAAAAAAAAAAACCAAAAAACAAAAAACCCTGAAAGTTACACACCTGCAGAAATGGGTAAATTTTAAAAATACATACCTGATGAGCTCAGGAGAATGGATAATGGCTTCTACAATATTTTCTCGAATACAATGGCGATCTTCTTCTGGAATAGTATAAGGGGATATATCCCCTGGTGCTGTTTCTCGATCAGGCCAATACTGTGTTATCATATTTTTCAGATAGATAACACCTAAAATACAGATCAGTTTGACAAAAGAATGTTTACTGTGAAAGTACTGTGAAAATCCCACAAGTGTCCATACCTCAAGTATTTCTTTCACACTACCGTTTGTAAAGCTATGCTTTCATTAACAAAATACTACATTCAATTATTTTTAAAGTTGATAATGCACAAATTGAACACTGTTACAGCAATCAAGCACAAAGTTATTACGAATCACACAGCATAAGAAAACTCTGCAAATAAACAACCCCAGAGAAAACTGTTTTTTTTTAACGTCACAACACTTTTAACCCTGTTTTCTACAGGAGAGTTAAATTAAATCAAATCAGTTTTCTAAATGAAGCCTCTAAAGACAAAACCATCATACATATCCCAACATAGCTTCTACAACTAATCACACAAAGGTAATAAAAAAACCAGTTCTTATCACAGAAAAATAATAGCATATAAAGGTTCTTAATCTATAAATTTAAGTATTTCAATCCCATACCACTTCAAATTCAAATTATGTTATGGGAGAATTTACTGTGTTCAGAAATTACAGATTGCTATTTTTCTGTCAGTTATCATACTGCTACCTTTGCACATTGCTATTTGACAAAAGTTAACAAACTGATGAAGTGGTAAAATCCAGGCTGCTAGCAAAGCTTTTTACCCAGCACTTTCAGAGAGTGGGGGAGAACAGAGTCACAAATCTGTAAGATGTACTGTAAAGGGAAACTGTCCAAAATTAATTCTTAAATTCTGCAAAACACTCGATCTTCTCTAATTAGCAATTCTTATCTCAAGTCCTGTACTTATTTGAACAAGGATAACCGACAGAAATAGGATTTTTATATTCTAGTTTGCTTTAATTTAGGAATTAAATATTCCATATTATAGTAATTCAAATAGATTAAGATTATATATTAAAATACCCCTCAACAAGGTATTTTTATGAGATGGAGTCTTGCTCTGTCACCAGGCTGGAGTGCAGTGGTGCGATCTCGGCTCACTGCAACCTCTGACTCCCTAGTTCAAGCGATTCTCCTTGCCTCAGCCTCCCGAGTAGCTGGGTTTACAGGCATGCACCACCATGCCCAGGTAATTTTTGTATTTTTAGTAGAGACAAGGTTTCACCATGTTGGCCAGGATGGTGTCGCTCTCCTGACCTCGTGATCCACCCACTTCGGCCTCCCAAAGTTCTGGGATTATAGGCGTGAGCCAAGGTTTTAAAATAAACTACACCTACAATAAAGAATCAAATAGGACCAACAAAGTCCAGGTTATTACTACTACAGAATTTTGGTTCTTTTTCTCCAAAACAGAATAGAGACCAATACTAAGACCACACAACAGTCCCAATGTCTCTGGATGCAACCTCTGAATACTTCCATTCTAAGTAAAGAATGGAATATATGCTTATGTGATTCGGAATTTTAAACATTTTTTGCCCCAACAATACAGAATTTGGAATTGCACTGTAAGGATCTCATGATTCAGTCTACTCTAGCCAGAATGCTTGAGCAAAGACAGAATGAACTAATCATTCGAAATCCAGCAGATGAAACCACCATATGCCATGCACTACAGAAATCTCATTCAATTATTCCAAGAACATAATTTTTTTTTCTTTTTTGAGAAAGGGTCTCACTCTGTTTCCCAGACTGGAGTACAATGGCACAATCTCAGCTCACCACAACCTCCATCTCCCAGGCTCAAGCGATTCTCCTGCCTCAGCCTCCTGAGTAGCTGGGATTACAGGTGCATGCCACTACCACCCGGCTAATTTTTTTGTATTTTTAGTAGAGACAGGGTTTCACCATGTTGACCAGGCTGGTCTTGAACTCCTGACTTCAAATGATCCCCCATCTACGGCCTTCCAAAGTGCTGGGATTACAGGTGTGAGCCACCGTGGCCAGCCCCAAGTATATAACTTTTAAATTAATGATATTTTAAATTTTTTGACCAATTCCATAGTTTAACTCCTTCCAATTGTGTACACACTAAAACAATTTCCCAGTGTAATTTGTTTTTCTAATACACATAACCAAGTCTCTAGAATTTATTAATATCACTCCTAAAGGTCAAACACTTAACTTCTTAGTAAAAATTTGGATTTAAAGGCAGACTCTTATCTAAAAACGGGAAAATGTGAGCTTCACTAGTAAAAGATAAATGAGACTTGAATATATATAAAAAAGAAACAAGACCAGGCACAGTGGCTCACGTCTTTGATCCCAGCACTTTGGAAGGCTGAGGCGAGAGGATCACTTGAGGTCAGCAATTCAAGACCAGCCATAGTGGCTAACGCCTGTAAAGCTCAATACTTTGGAAGCCGAAACCAGCCGGGGAAACACAGTGAGACCCCGTCTCTACTAAAAAAAAAAAAAAAAAAAAAAAAAAAAGACCAGCCTCAGCAACATAGTGAGATTCCATCTCTACAAAATAAAATAATTAGATGGGTGTAGTGACACATGCCTGCAGCCCCAGATGTTTGGCAGGCTAAAGTAGAAAGATTATTTGAGCCCAGAAGTTTGAAGATTCAATGAGCTATAACTGAGTCACTGCACCCCGGCCTGGGCAAGGATCAAGACCCTGTGGAAGACAGGAAAGGAAGGAAGAGAAGGAGGGAAAGGAGGAAGGGAAGGAAGAAAGGAAGGGAAGGGAGGGAAAGGAGACAATAAAAATTACCCTTTTCTATTAAATTAGAAATATTTACAAAAAGATTTACTGCTGACCAGGGAGTTCAGTCATTTACATAAAATTGTTTGCTTTTAAAGAAGTCATGGCCAGGCATGGTGGCTCACGCCCATAATCCTAGCACTTTGGAAGGCCCAGGAAGGCAGATCACTTGAGCTCACAAGCTTGAGACCAGCCTGGACAATATGGCAGGACGCCATCTCTACAAAAAATACAACAATTATCAGGGCATGATGGTACGTGCCTACAGTCCCAGCTACTCAGGAGGCTGAGGTGGGAGGATGGCTTGAGCCTGGGAGGCAGAGTTTACAGTGAGTCAAGATGAGGCTACTGAGGGCCGGGGGCGGTGGCTCACGCCTGTAATCCCAGCACTTTGGGAGGCAGAGGCAGGGCAGATCACGAGGTCAGGAGATGGAGACCATCCTGGCTAACACGGTGAAACCCCATCTCTACTAAAAATACAAAGAATTAGCCGGGCGTGGTGGCGGGCGCCTATAGTCCCAGCTACTCGGGAGGCTGAGGCAGGAGAATGGCGTGAACCTGGGAGGCGGAGCTTGCAGTGAGCCGAGATCGCGCCACTGCACTCCAGTCTGGGCGACAGAGCAAGACTCCGTCTCAAAAAAACAAAAACAAAAAAAAGATGGAGCTACTGAATTCTAGCCTGGGCAATACAGCCAGTTTGTCTAAAAATAATAATAATAATAATAATTCCTATCTGCCTAGCAGAGTCCAGGTTATTTAATTAATTAATTTAAAGTGATAATTTAAATTCATTTATTTCCTGAGTACCTACACTGTACTAGGCAACATTTTAGTCACTGAAAATGAAAATATACTGTTAACAAAACAGACTTCAGACTAAATTCTATTTCTAAAAATTTTAACAGTTTACTGCATATGGCATATTATGGCTAATTATTTAGCCATTAAAATATGAATCTGAAGGCCGGGCGCGGTGGCTCACGCCTGTAATCCCAGCACTTTGGGAGGCCAAGGCAGGCAGATCACGAGGTCAGCAAATCGAGACCATCCTGGCAAATACGGTGAAACCCCGTCTCTACTAAAAAATACAAAAAATTAGCCGGGTGTGGTGGCGGGCGCCTGTGGTCCCAGCTACTCAGGAGGCTGAGGCAGAAGAACGGCGTGAACACGGGAGGCGGAGCTTGCAGTGAGCGGAAATCGCGCCACCGCACTACAGCCTGGGCAACAGAGCGAGACTCCGTCTCAAAAAAAAAAAAAAAAAAAATCCGAAGACCGGAACTATGTAAAGAAAAGGGAAATGCTCAGTATACAACATTAAGTGAAGTGAGAAAACAATTTTTTTTTATTTTTTATTTATTTTTTTGAGATGGTCTCTCACTCTGTTGCTCAGGCTGGTGTGCAGTGACGCCAACTCGGCTCACTGCAAGCTCCGCCTCCCAGGTTCACGCCATTCTCCTGCCTCAGCCTCCCGAGTAGCTGGGACTACAGGCGCCCGCCACCACGCCCGGCTAATTCTTTGTATTTTTAGTAGAGACGGGGTTTCACCGTGTTAGCCAGGATGGTCTCGATTTCCTGATCTTGTGATAACCCCGCCTTGGCCTCCCAAAGTGCTGGGATTACAGGCGTGAGCCACTGCACCCAGCCCCAACAAAATTTTTAACAAAATAGGTGCAGGGGGAAAGAACAGCAAGAAATAACACAAAAATGTAATCTGTTTTTCTAGAATGATGAAATTATTGGTACTTTGTATTTCCCATAACAAAATTATTACATCTGCAAATAAATTAAAAAGAAATGAAAAGGCTGGGAGTGGTGGCTCACGCCTATAATCCCAGCTACTCAGGAGGCTAAGGCAGAAGAATCGCTTGAACCTGGGAGGCAGAGGTTGCAGAGAGCCGAGTTCGCACCACTGCACTCCAGCATGGAGGACAGAGTGAGACTGCCTACAAAAAATAAAAAAAATTAAAAATGTACACTACATTATTTTTTACAGACTAACATAATATTCAGAAAAGTAGTATGCCACATTTTCAGACTATTTGATACTGAGGGAAGTGGCTCAATATGTTGAACAGGAACTAAAAATAGTATAATACTTTTTAAACTGTTAAAACGATAAAAGCAAAAAGGTGGTAAGAGATGACTATATAAACAAACATGTTTGAGTCTTATAATCACCCATCAGGGAAGGACTCTAAAAATACATAGAACCTTTTAATAAACCCCATCAATTTCTATTTGAAGCTTCTATTTTAATTCAACTAAATGTCAAATTATTCCTTTAAACTCTGCCACCAGATATCAAGGTACCTGATGTTAGCTGTAAACACTGAAGGTAAACAAATTACCTGGGGGGAAAAAATTGCCAAAGGGCCATCCCAAGACACTTCTGCTATTCGATTATGAACCTTTTAAACAATAGATTACATACACTCAATATAATTTAGGAAACTTGCCTGCCTGTCTCACAGGTAAATCCAGCTGTTCCGACATAGTAATCTGGAGCAGTGTTGAGACAAAATTCAGAGACTTGTGTGCCTACAAAGAAAAAAAGTCCATTTTAAACTTCTGCAAATAAATATACTTTAAAATTACAGATCAAAGAGGCTCCAATACATTTCCATTGCTTGGCTTGCACAAAAGGCTCTTCATAACTGGTTCCAGTCTTATTTCTCATCACTCCCTTATATTGAACTTTAAGGAATTTGATGACTTAAATTCTAAAACTTTTTGGATGTTTTCATTAGCCTGTATAGCACTGCACTTCCCATTTATCCCAACTAGCATTCTTTTTTCTTTAATTTTTGAGACAGAGTCTCACTCTGTCGCCCAGGCTGGAGTGCAGTGACGCAATCTTGGCTCACTGCAACCTCCGCCTCCCCAGGTTCAAGCGATTCTCCTGCCTCAGCCTCCCGGGTAGCTGAGACTACATACAGGTGCACATGACCACACCCCGCTAATTTTTTTTTTTTTTTTGAGACAGTCTTACTGTCGCCCCCAAGGCGAGAGTGCAGTGGCGTGATCTCGGCTCACTGCAACCTCCACCTCCTGGGTTCAAGCGATTCTCCTTCCTCAGCCTCCTGAGTAGCTGGGACTAGCGCTACCATGCTCAGCTAATTTTTGTATTTTTTTAGTAGAGACGGGGTTTCACTGTATTGGCCAGGCTGGTCTCGAACTCCTGACCTCGTGATCTGCCTGCGTCTGTCTCCCAAACTGCAGGGATTACACGTGTGAGCCACTGTGCCCAGCCCTAATTTTTTATATTTTTACTAGAGTCGGGGTTTCACCATATTGGCCAAGCTGGTCTCGAACTCCTGACCTCGTGATCCACCCGCCTCGACCTCTGAAAGTACTGGGGTTACAGGCGTGAGCCATTGCGTCTGACCCCCAACTAGCATTCTTTTTTTTTTTTTTTTTTTTTTTTTTTTGAGACACAGTCTCGCTCTGTCGCCTGGGCTGGAGTGCAGTGGCATGATCTCGGCTCACTGCAACCTCTGCCTCCTGGGTTCAAGCGATTCTTCTGCCTCAGCCTCCTGAGTAGCTGAGACTACAGGCACGTGCCACCATGCCCGGCTAATTTTTGTATTTTTAATAGAGACGGGGTTTCACTATATTGGCCAGGCTGGTCTCGAACTCCTGACCTTGTGATCTGCCCGCCTTGGCCTCCCAAAGTGTTGGGATTACAGGCACGAGGCACCATGCCAGGCCCTCCAACTAGCATTCTTAACCTACACTGGTGACAGCAGCTCAAAAACAATACCCTCTGTGACACCTGTTTCCTCTTTTAAGTAATTTCTCCATAGAAACATTTCATTAAATGGCCAGACACATACGAAATCAATAAAAATGAACAGTTTAGTCCAGGCATGGTGGCTCTGGGAGGCCAAGGCAGGCGGATTGCAATGAATAGTTTGGGGGTAGTGTCCAAGGTGGTAATAATGTTATTTCTTGATATGACTGCTGTTTTATACAAGAGTGCTCAGTCTGTGAAAACTGACTGTACCTTTATGACCACCTTTGTGTATACATGTTACATTTCAAAAGAAAAGTTAAAAATCAATAGCTTTGAACATACAATAAAACAATAGACTATATAATCATAATTTAATACATTTATATGAATATGCAATAGAATTTCCCACATTTTAAAATTTTTAAATTTTCCACATTTTACATTATAGACCTGGATCACTTTAATTAATGGTACAAAAAGGTTACATATTCCTAAATTTGTCATATTTGCTTCTGATTTTTTTTTTTTTTTTTAATTTTTTGTTTGCTTTGTTGCCATTGTTGTTAGGTATCAGGTCTCGCTATGTTGCCCAGGCTGGTCCTAAACTGCTGAGCTAGGCTCAGGAGCTCCTGCCTTAGTCTCCTAAAGTGCTGGGATCACAGGCATGAGCCACCACACTTAGCCTGCTTCTCATTTAAAGAACTGAACATTTTATCTTGAAGTGCAGGGCAAAACAATCTTTTAAAAATTAACATTCAAGTCAAATCCCTTCTTCTATATTTTCTGTTTCATTCTCCTTTGTCCCAATATAACCACCACTTATACTGTCATCTTTTAGCTCAAGTATTTTTCTACACATGTTCACATGAACAATATTTTGATTTTTATTTTAGTATCTTCTTTTTTTTTTTTTGAGACAGAATTTCACTCTTCTCGCCCAAGCTGGAGTGCAATGGTGCAATCTTGGCTCACGGCAACCTCCACCTCCCAGGTTCAAGCAATTCTCCTGCCTCAGCCTCCAGAGTAGCTGGGATTACAGGCACATGCCACCACGCCCAGCTAATTTTTGTATTTTTAGTAGAGACGGGTTTTGCCATGTTGGCCAGGCTGGTCTCGAACTTCTGACTGCAGGTGATCCACCCGCCTCGGCTTCCTGAAGTGCTGGGATTACAGGGGGGAGCCACCTGCGCCCAGCTATTTTAGTATCTTCTTACAGACTTTACCCCACTCTGCAAACACATTCTTATAGAGAATTTTCCAGCTGGGTGCAGAATTTTCCTTTGAATATAATTTTCCATTGAATGTAAAAAATTATTTCACATTAGAATCTAGACTTTATTCTTTCAATCACTCCAAAAATTACTTATTTAGTAGGCCGGGCACAGTGGCTCACGCCTGTAATCCCAGCACTTTAGGAGGCCGAGGCGGGCGGACCACGAGGTCAGGAGATCGAGACCATCCTGGCTAACACAGTGAAATCCCGTCTGTACTAAAAATACAAAAAATTAGCCAGGTGAGGTGGCAGGCGCCTGTAGTCCCCAGCTACTCTGGAGGCTGAGGCAGGAGAATGGTGTGAACCCCGGGGGCGGAGCCTGCAGTGAGCCGAGATCGCGCCACCGCACTCCAGCCTGGGCGACAGCGAGATTAGGTCTCAGAAAAAAAAAAAAATTACTTATTTAGGTGTTTGTGCTATAAGACATTATGCCAGCAGCTGAGGCTACAGGGTTGAATATGACAACCGGGCTCTATGACCTCATGGCAACTTACAGTGTTGTCAAGAAAAACAAGATAACCAAATAGATAACTGCAATAAAATACAGTCGGTGCCCCCATATCTGTGGGTTTCAAATCCATGAATTCAACCAACCACAGATGGAAAATGTTTGGGGGAAAAAAATTTTAAATAACAATACAACAATAAAAATAATACAAACAGTACTTAATATAAGTACAGCAACTATTTACGTAGCATTTACATTGTATTAGGTATTAAAAGCAATCTAAAAAGATTTAAAGTGTTCAGGGGATGTGTACAGGTTATAAGCAAATACTACACCATTTTATATTAAGGGACTTCAGCATCCATGAATTTTGATATCCGTGGGGGTCCTGGAACCAGTCCCTCAGTTACCAAGGGAAAAGTGTGTAATGGAAGAAGTAACAGTATTGAAGAATCAAAAGGAGGATCCCCTAATACAGAAGACCTGAACAGAAGGAGTTAGGTGGATGAAAGGGAGGTATTGACCCTTTCCACTACCCTAGATGTGAACATTGCCAACCATTGTCACTTTACTTAAACACCCTTCCACCTATGCCACTCAGCATACCATTTATTCTGGTCTCTCTCCTTCTCAGGCTCCTTTACTGATTTCTCATCCTGTTTAATCTATAAATGCTAGAATTCACCAGGACTTGGTCATAGGCCATCTTTCTTCTCCCCAGATGATCTCATCCAATCACTATCTTTACAAAGCATAATTTTCCACTGAAAATTATTACTCTACTTCCCTGCACCATTTCTCCCAACCTCTCATCACTATCCTCACAGTAATCCTCACCACCTTCCTCTTCATCAACCCAATTTAATATATCAAGTCCTGTCAATTCTATACCCAAAATCCTTCTTTAAAATGCTGCCGGGCGCGGTGGCTCACGCCTGTAATCCCAGCACTTTGGGAGGCCGAGGCGGGTGGATCACCTGAGGTCAGGAGTTCAAGACCAGCCTGACCAACATGGAGAAACCCCGTCTCTACTAAAAATACAAAATTAGCCGGGGTGGTGGTGCATGCCTGTAATCCCAGCTACTCGGGAGTCTGAGGCAGGAGAATCGCTTGAACCCGGAGACAGAGGTTGTGGTGAGCCGAGATTGTGCCATTGTACTCCAGCCTGGGCAACAAGAGTGAAACTCTGTCAAAAAAAAAAAAAAAAGCATCCATTTTCTCCATTCCCATGAACACCAACCTAGTCCAAGTGACTATCATCCCTCTTAATTTAACTATTTGTGCCCCCAATCATTCTCCATTTAGCAGCCAAAGATCTTTTAAAATTATAAATCAATCCCCTTTAAGCAAACCTTTTAACAAGCTTTCTACTGCACCTTCCAAGGTCCTACATGAAGACATCTTGTCCCTGCCATTTTCTTCAGCCTCATTTTTAAAAACTTTCTCAACACGCTCCACTCACTGCCCCACCTACCAGCCTTTAGGTTCTTTCAACAAGAAAGAAACATATTTAACAGATACAAAATCACAGCTAGATAGAACTAGTGAGTTCTAGTGTTCTATAGCACTGTAGGGTAACCATAATTAACAACAACTTATTGTATATTTTCAAATAGCTAGAAGCAGATTTTCAATGTTCCTAGCCCAAAGAAATGATATACATTTGAGATGAATATGCTAATTACCCTGATTTGATCATTACGTTGTTGTATACATGTACTGAAACACCACTGTATCCCATAGATATGTATTATACAATTATCATGTATCAATTAAAAAATAATAAAAGCAAAAAGAAACACATGACTTCATTTCAGAGTCTTTGTACATGCTGTGTCTTTCTACCTACAACATCCTTCTCTTGCATGCTCCACCAGTTAACTGGTTCACAGCTTCGCATTCTTTGGGTTTCGGCTTAAACATTATTTCCTTACAGAAGCCTTTTCTGCCTGATCACTCAAGCTAAAGTAGGGCTCCCTATTGCTCTCATAACCATTATTTTTCTTCATAATGCTTATTACATATTTGTTTACTATATTTGTAGATGGGTCTTATGCCTGTTTCTCCTATTAATTAGACTCTAAGCCCCACTGAGTAGGAACTATACTGTTTATATCCCCAGTTCTTCATATGACACGTGGCATTTAAGCTATTAAAAAAATTCACTGAATGAATTGGAAGAGCCAAGAAATAAATGCCTTGGAAGATGTGATTGCCTAGGGGCAGTGTAGAGTGAGAAAGGTTTTTATATTTAAGGGACAGACAGATGAGCCCAAAGGACACTACTATCCACACTACTAGGGCAGTTTTCAGACCATTTACATTACAGTATGTATCTTCTCTCCTGCATCAAATCATGAATTCCTGGAAAGAACTGCTGCAATCAGATAGTCTTGGTTGTAAATCTAGGTGATGCCACTTCCTAGAATGCTAAGCCTTCAACAAGTTGATTCAGTAAATCTAAGTCTCAATTACAAAATAGGAATAATAAAATCTACTTCACAGGATGGCTACAAGGAGTATATAAAACAACACAGAAAATATCTTAGCAAATATCAAGACATAACAAATTTTATATCCTTTGTATATCCATATTCAGTAGACTCTCACCTTTCTCAGAGTATGCTCTAACATCAGTAAGGTGTAAACGATGTATAGCCAAGTTACCCTTTAGTTCCTTAAATCGCCCACAAAGCACACATACATGGTTTTGCGTATACAATCTCTCTTGAGATCCCAACACTGAAGTTTTTCCTTAACTTGAAACAGACTACTTTATATGATTAGAACCCCAGATTAAACTGTTGGTTTATGTTTGGAAGCCATGTTGGAACAACAAAAACTGCCCAGCACAGTGGCTCACACCCGTAATCCCAGTGCTTTGGGAGGCTGATGCAGGAGGATCACCTGAGGTCACGAGATCAAGACCAGCCTGAGCAACATAGCAAGATGCTACCTCTACAGAAAATTTAAAAAAATTTACAGGCACCTGCCACCGTGCCCGACTAATATATATATATATATATATATATTTTTTTTTAAATTATTTTTAGTAAAGACGGGGTTTCAACATCTTGGCCAGGCTGGTCTTGAACTCCTGACCTCGTGATCCACTGCGCCCAGCCTAAAAATTATAATAGCTGGAAGTGGAAGCATGCGTTTGCAGTTCGAGGCTGCAGTGAGCTATGATCACACCACTCCACTCCAGCCTGGGCAGCAAAGCAAGACCTCAACCCTAAACAACAACAAAAACCACCACTGTTTTTGTTGGCTGGACAGATGTATAGCAACATTAGGTGTGTTAAGGCAAGCAAATCTAACCTATAGTAATAGAAGTCAGAAAAATAGTAACTTGGAGGAGAAACAGTACTGAATAGGAAGAGTATCACGGAAACTTTCTAGGCCAATGAAAATGTTACATGTCTCTTGGTCTGGGTGCTGGTTACCCAGATTTAACTTAAAAAAACAAAACTGAGACTATTTTTACCCCAACTTTCACAGCAGCATTACTCATAATACTGTAAAAGTGGAAACAACCTGTATGCCCATCAACTAATGAAAGTAAAATGTGTCTTATCGATACATACAATAGAATGCTATTCGGCAATTTAAAAAATGAAATACTGATACATGTTACAACAATGTATGAACTTTGAAAACAATACTGTATGAAAGAAGCCAGTCACAAAAGACTACATATTGTATGATTCCAATTACATGAAATGTCTGGAATACACAAATCTACATAGACAGAAAATAGGATTGTTGCCTAGGGCTAGGAATGGGGTCGGGGCGGAATGCGGAGTGACTGGTAAGATATGAATTTTCTTTGTGGGGTGATGGAAATGTTTTAAAGATTGGGTGATGGCTGTACAACTGTGAACATACTAAAAGCCACTGTATTGCATACTTTAAATGTGTGAATAGTTAAATCGACAACACTGAACTATGAAAATAAGCACTTACGACTTTGTTTTTGAGATGGAGTCTCGCTTTGTCTCCCTGGCCGGAGTGCAGTGGCGCAATCTCGGCTCACTGCAACCTCCGCCTCCCAGGTTGAAATGACTCTCCTGCCTCAGCTTCCTGAGTAGTTGGGATTACAGGGGCATGTGCTGCTACGCCCAGCTAATTTTTGTATTTTTAGTAGAGGCGTTTTCACCATGCTGGCCAGGCTGGTCTCCAACTCCTGACCTCAAGTGGTCCACCCACCTGGGCCTCCCAAAGTGCTGGGATTATAGGGGTGAGCCACCACGCCCGGCCCAACACTCAACACTTTATTAACCTTATTACCTTCAAAAACATATAAGTATAAATTTTAAAAGTGCAATGGATGAAAAAAAGCATAACTTTCAGCAAGGCATGGTGGCTCACGCCTGTAATCCCAGCACTCTGGGAGGCTGAGACGGGTGGATCACCTGAGGTCAGGAGTTCGAGACCAGCCTGACCAACATGGTAAAACCCCATCTTTATTTAAAAAAAAAATACAAAAATTAGCCAGACGTGGTGGCGGCTGCCTGTAATCCCAGCTACTTGGGAGGCTGAGGCAGGAAAATCACTAGAACTTGGGAGGCAGAGGTTGCAGTGAGCCGAGATTGCGCCATTGCACTTCAGCCTGGGGAACGGAGTGAGCCTCCGTCTCAAAAAAAAGCATAACTTTATAACTTTCAGACAACTAAGCTGAAGTAAAAATAAGAAAGTATATTTCTGTTAGCGGGGATATAGCACAGGCAATCTCAACCAGGGACATCCATCTAGCTGCCCCATACACATTTCTACCCACCTGAAATCCTTAAGACATGAAGACTTGTATTCTCCCAAAGAAGGTAACAAGTGAGGGCCGGGGGCGGTGGCTCACACCTGTAATCCCTGCACTTTGGGAGGCCAAGGCAGGCAGATCACAAAGTCAGGAGTTCAAGACCAGCCTGGCCAACATGGTGAAACCCCATCTCTGGTAAACATACAATTAACCGGGCACAGTGGGGGGCGCCTGTAATCCCAGCTACTCAGGAGGCTGAGGCTGGAGAATGGCTTGAACCTGGGAGGTGGAGGCTGCAGTGAGCCGAGATCGTACCACTGCACTCTAGCCTGGGCGAAAAGAGTGAAACTCCATCTCAAAAAATAAAAATAAAAATAAAAATAAAATAAGCTTAATTAAAAATATCACTAGTTTCAATCTTTATCACAAAAACCCTTTAAAATTTGGGCAATTATGGTATTATTGTCAACAATTTGGCAAACATCAATACAGGCCTCAGAAGATGCTACAATAGATTTTTTATATGAGTCAAAATATAAATATAACTTCTGGATGCTGCCCCTAATTATATGCCCAGTAGTCCCCTTCTCAAGCTCCTGGATTCTAGCATAGAACTGAAGCACCAAATGAGTCATTATACATCATTAATTAGGGCTAAAACTCCTAATACTCTAGTTTTAAAAGCTCTTAACCATAACACAAAATCACCTTCCTAGACATCTTTGAACCTTCTCATTATCTGTCATCAACCCAGATAATTTCAATAGTCACACTTAATTCATCTCATCAAAATTCTTCAACAAACCCAACTCCATTCTACTTACTAGTACTGACAATGCGCCAGACACTATGGAGAAAAAAAGATCAGTATGAAGTTATGTTGGGAGTTTAATTCCAATTGGGCTAATAAGTAAAATTTCAAGTTAGAACCTAAGGGACGTAAACTCAGAAATCAGAGAAGACTTTGAACAGTGAAAGATAAAAATGAATTGGTAGGTTGTGGCCAAAAAATTTAAAGAGTATGAATTTTTTGTGAAGGGTTATACATGATCAGATTTATGCTATAGGAAAATGAGTTCTTGAAGCACTGTGAAGAATGTAATGAAGAATGTAATTCAAGGAATGATGACTATAAAACATGAATGAAAAACTATTAGTACAACAGGTAGTAGCAACAGGCCTCAAAAACCTAGGCCCCTATTCTACTATACAGCCAAGCTTCCCTGCTGCTTTCTCTGCCACCCAAAATAAGCTCAACTTTAAAAAATAGAAAAAGAAAAACGCACACTCTCACATCAACGAATTTCCCAATATGGCCACCCTTTTAACTTACAATCTTATCCCTGCCCCCTTACTAGCATTCCACTCACTAACACTGTAATCAGAAATTGCTTTCCCCTCTGACTGCGTGGAAAATTAATAATAATTTTAAAAATTAAAAGGCTGGGGGCGATGGTTCACGCCTGCAATCCCAGCACTTTGGGAGGCCGAGGAGGGCGGATCACGAAGTCAAGAGATGGAGACCATCCTGGCCAACATGGTGGAACCCATCTCTAAAAATACAAAAATTAGCTGGGCGTGGTGGCGCACGCTTGTAGTCCCAGCTACTTGGGAGGCTGAGGCAGGATAATCACTTGAACCTGGGAGGCAGAAGTTGCAGTGAGCCGAGATAGCACCACTGCACTACAGCTGGGAGACAGAGAGAGACTGTCTCAAAAAAATAAAAAAATTAAAAGAAAAAAATTAGAAATTACTTTTCCAAGGTTACTGATACTTTAATGCATTTTCCCAGAAAGTCTTCAGTTTGTTTAACCTCTCTCATTTAGGAGTATCAACACCCCTTTCTTTTTTCTAAAAATTTTTTACTCATTTTCAAAAGTAATTCATGCTCTTTGGTAGAGAATTTATTAAATCTATGTAAGAAAAAGGAAATTAGGCCTGGTGTGGTGGCTCACGCCTGTAATCCCAACACTTTGGGAGGCCGAGGAGGGTGGATCACCTGAGGTCAGGACTTCGAGACCAGCCTGGCCAACGTGATGAAACTCCTTCTCTACTAAAAATATAAAAAAATTAGCCGGACGTGGTGGTGGTTGCCTTGTTATCCCAGCTACTAGGGAGGCTGAGGCAGGAGAACTGCTTGAACCCAGGAGACGGAGGTTGCAGTGAGCTGTCACTGTGCCACTGCACTCCAGCCTGGGCAACAGTGAGACTCCGTCTCAAGAAAAAAAGAAAAAGAAAAAGGAAACTAACCACTAACCACAAGCAACCTTCTTAAAATTATCTTTCTTGGCTTCTCTCTTACTTTTATGCCCAAAATCTCCAGTCTGCTTTTTCAGATGTTTATCAAAGTACCCAAAATAGGCATGGTTGAAAGTTTAGCCCTCTAGTCCATCCCATACCTTTGGATCATACTACTGTAATCACCTGCCTGCAGAAGAATATCACTTTTCCATTGCTGCTTTCTCTCCTAAACTTCAGCTCCACATTCCAATTGCCTGCTAGACTTTTTCTACTTGATGTTTACCAGCTCCTCAAACTAGACACTCTGTATGTAACTCATGTCTTCAAAATCAGTTTTCCCTCTGGACCCACATTTTCCAATGTAATCACTAATGTCAGTATCTTTTAAAACATACTCTTCAAACCCGTAACTTTTTTTTTTTTTTTTTTTGAGACAGAGTCTTGCTGTCGCCCAGGCTAGAGTGCAGTGGAGCAATCTTGGCTCACTTCAGCCACTGCCTCCCAGGTTCAAGCGGTTCTCATACCTCAGCCTCCTGAGTAGCTGGGATTACAGGCACGCAACACCATGCCCGGCTAATTTTTGTATTTTTAGTAGAGACAGGGTTTTGCCATGTTGACCAGGCTGGTCTTAAACGCCTGACCTCAGATGATCCACCCACCTTGGCCTCCCAAAGTGCTGGGATAACAGGCCTGAGCCACCGCACCCGGCCAAAACTGTAACTTTGTATTATTTCTCTCCATTGAAATATAACCAAAGAGACTTTCAATTAGCTACTATACTTCAGACCATTTTTAAGGAACACAGGAGGTAGAAGAATCCCGTGCTATCAGATTTTTACATTAAATACAACCAGGTAATTTCAAGAGCCAAGGAACTTCTAACCTTTCTTGTTACTAAAGCATTTGACAAGCCGGGCACAGTGGCTCACACCTGTAATCCCAGCACTTAGGGAGACCAAGGTGGGCGGATCTCGGGAGTTCGAGACCAGCCTACCAACATGGAGAAACCCCGTCTCTACTAAAAATACAAAATTAGCCGGACGTGGTAATGCATACCTGTAATCCCAGCTACTCAAGAGGCTGAGGCAGGAGAATTGCCCGAATCCGGGAGGCGGAGGTTGTGGCGAGCCGAGATTGTGCCATTGCACTCCAGTCTGGGCAACAAGAGCGAAACTCCGTCTCAAAAAAAAAAAAAAAAAAAAAAAGAATTTGACAAAGGCAAATATGACATCTACCTTGGCTACATGAAATATAAGGCATAGTGAGGTTAAGTCATTATAGTCGTAGACTCAGGACAAGGCTAAGGCTCTTCACTGCGTCCCTCTGCCTTTGTTAAAAAAACAGTAATAAGCCAAGTGCAGTGACTCGCACCTGTAATTCTAGCACTTGGGAGTCAAGGCTGGGCAACAAAGACAGACCTCGTCTCTACAAAAAATAAAAAACTTAGGCAGGTGTGGTGGTGCACGCCTGTAGTCCCAGCTAGTTGGGAGGCTAAGGCAGGAGGATAGCTTAATCCCAGGAGAGTCAAGGCTGCCGTGAGCCATGTTCATACTACTGCACTCCAGCCTGGGTAACAGTGTGAAACCCTGTCTCAAAAAATAATAACAATAAAAATAATTTTAAAATATTATTTTTATGCTTTCCAACTAGGAAGTTTTATGTTATTTTATTTTTTAAGATGGAGTCTTGCTGTCGCCCAGGCTGGAGTGCAGTGGTGTGATCTCTGCTCACCGCAAGCTCTGCCTCCCAGGTTCATGCCATTCTGCCTCAGCCTCCTGAGTAGGTGGAACTACAGGCACCCACCACCATGCCCAGCTAATTTTCTGTATTTTTAGTAGAAATGGGGTTTCACCATGTTAGCCAGGATGGTCTCGATCTCCTGACCTCATGATCCACCCACCTCAGCCTCCCAAAGTGCTGGGATTACAGGCGTGAGCCACCATGCCCGGCCAGAACTTTTATTTTATTTTTCTTTTTTTGAGGCAGAGTCTTGCACTGTTGCCCGGGCTGGAATGCAATGACGTGATCTTGGCTCACTGCACCTCCGCCTCCCGGGTTCAAGTGATTCTCCTGCCTCAGTCTCCCAAGTAGCTGGGATTACAGGCACCCACCACCACACCCGGCTAATTTTTCATATTTTCAGTAGAGACGGGGTTTCACTATGTTGATCAGGCTTGTCTCGAACTCCCGACCTTGTGATCCGCCCACCTCGGCCTCCCAAAGTGCTGGATTACAGGCGTGAGCCACCGCATCTGACCTCCAACTAGGAACTTTAAAAAAAAACTTTTTTATTAGAAATCATTTAGCAGCCGGGCGCTGTGATTCATGCCTGTAATCCCAACACTTTGGGAGGCAGAGGCGGGTGGATCACCTGAGGTCAGGAGTTCAAGACCAGCCTGGCCAACAAGGTGAAACCCCATCTCTACCAAAAATACAAAAATTAGCCAGGAGTGGTGGCGGGCGCCTGCAGTCCCAGCTACTCGGGAGGCTGAGGCAGGAGAATTGCTTGAACCCAGAAGGCAGAGGTTGCAGTGAACCAAGACTGCGCCACTGCATTCCAGCCTGGGTGACAGAGCGAGGCTCTGGCTAAAAAAAAAAATTTTTTTTGTATGTTGCCCAGGCTGGTCTCAAACTCCTGGACGAGCGATCCTCTTCCTGCTTTTACCTCCCAAAGTGCTGGGATTACAGGCGTGAGCCACTGCGCCCAAACTCTTTCAGATCTTTAACAAGCTATATCATTGAATAACTTGCTATCTAACAGCCGAAGTATCCAGGGACTTTCCTTCTCCCAAATTCAGAACAGTACTTCAAAATATTCCTGGTGAAGGAATGTTATCTAAACTACAGGCTACTCTGGTCTTCCTAAAATATTTTGCTTAATTTCTAAACATTCCAAATTATCTTACAAATATGCCATTATTTTACACTTTTCCAGACCTAAGATTTTCATTAAATACTTTTAATAAAATGGAATCAAATGAACCATTTATAAGTAAGGTATATCACATACAGCAGTAATAGTTAACCTTTTGTGACAATCCCAAAAGTGATCCAGGGTAGTGTGAGTTAAAAAAAAAAAAACACACACACACACAAAATATCAAGAAACTTACCAAAAGCAAGATCACTTTTTCATATAAAGCAAGTGAGAAAGTAGCACTGCTGCCTGTACATATAAAACCATTAGGCCGGGCACGGTGGCTCAGGCCTGTAATCCCAGCACTTTGGGAGGCCAAGACGGACGGATCACCTGAGGTCAGGAGTTCGAGACCAGCCTGGCCAACATGGCGAAACCCCGTCTCTACTAAAAATATAAAATTAGGCCAGGCGCAGTGGCTCACGCCTGTAATCCCAAGACTTTGGGAGGCTGAGGTGGGCAATCACCTGCAGTGAGGAGTTCAAGACCAGGCTGGCCAACATGGTGAAACCCCGTCTCTACTAAAAACACAAAAATTAGCCGTGTGTGGTGGTGCATTCCTTTAATCCCAGCTACTCGGGAGGCTGAGGCAGAATTGCCTGAACCCGGGAGATGGAGGTTGCAGTGAGCCGGATGGCACCAATGCACTCTAGCCTGGGCAAAAAGAGCGAAACTCCACTCAAAAAAAAAAAAAGGTGTATATACATATATAACCATTATATACCATATTGAGCTTAGGAACTAAGAGTTTAAATGTCTCCTGGGTAAACCCTCTAATTCCACTTACAGCATTTTTCTTGACTGCGAATATAACAGGGGAAAGACTATTGATGCGGAGATCATATCCACCTTAGCCAAAATCAGATCTAATAGTTTCGTCATCCAAAACTTACATGTAGCTTTATTATAGTACTGACCACATGTATTGTATGGGCCAGTGACGTGGTGATTATGGAGCTCTAGAAAGGCAGTGATCATAAATTTCTCTGCATCTAACTACTTAGCTCAGTGCCTAGCACACAGACATTTGCTGTTACATGAACCAGACTGGGAATTATCCTTCGGAATGAGTATTTAATAAAAATCTTCCTGGCATTATATTTAAAAACACCGGCTGGTGTGGTGGCTCATGCCTGTAATCTCAGCACTTTGGGAGGCCAAGGTGAGTGGATCACTTAAGGTCAGGAGTTCGAGACCAGCCTGGGCAATGTGGCGAAACCCCGTCTCTACTAAAAATACAAAAATTGGCCAGATGTGGTGGCACCTGTAGTCTCAGTTACTCAAGAGGCTGAGGACTGAGAATCGCTTGAACCTGGGATTGGAGGCTACAGTGAGCCAAGATCATGCCACCGCACTCTAGCCTGGGCAACCGAGTGAGAACCTGCCACAAAAATACTAATAATAATAATAATAAATTTTAAAAAATAAATAAAAGAGCTAAAGCCTATACTGTTATTTATTAATATTATAACAGGAAGTCAGTCATAAAGCCTATTACTGGGAAATCAAGGAATAACAATAACAAAAAATAACAATTCATGACCTCAAGAAACTTAAAATTATAGTGGGGAGAAGAAAAGTTAAGTAAAATTAGGCCAGGCGTGGTAGCACGTGTCTGCAGTCCCAGCCACCTGGGAGGCTCAGATGGGAGGACGCTGCTTGAGGCCAAGAGTTCTAGGCTGTAGTGTACTATGTAGTGCAGTGGAGCCCACTGCACTCCAGCCTGGGTAACATAGCAAGGCCTTAGCTCTGAAAAAATTAAAAATAAGCCTGGGCAACACGGTGAAACCTTGTCTCTACAAAAAATACAAAAATTAATTGGGCATAGTGGCACATCCCCGTAGTCTCAGCTACCTGGGAGGCTGAAGTGGGAGTGTTGCTTGAGCCCGAGAGGGAGAGGCTGCAGTGAGCCATGATGGTGCCACTGCACTCCAGCCTGGGTGATGGAGCAAGACCCTGTCTCAAAAAATAAATATAAATAAATAGGCTGGGCATGGTGGCTCATTCCTGTAATCCCAGCACTTTGGGAGGCCGAGGTGGGCGGATCACAAGGTCAGGAGTTGGAGACCAGCCTGGCCAACATGGTAAAACCCCATCTCTGCTAAAAATACAGAATTAGCCAGGTGTGGTGGCAAACGCCTGTAATCCCAGCTACTTGGGAGGCTGAGGCAGGAGAATTGCTTGAACCCAGGAGGCAGAAGTTGCGGTGGGCTCATATTGCGCCACTGCACTCCAGCCTGGGCAACAAGAGCAAGACTCCGTCTCAAAAAAAAAAAAATTTATTTATTTATTTATTTTTATTTTTATTTTTTGAGACGCAGTTTCGCTCTTGTTGCTCAGGCTGGAGTGCAATGGTACGATCTCGGCTCACCGCAACCTCCACCTCCCGGGTTCAAGCGATTCTCCTGCCTCAGCCTCCCTAGTAGCTGGGATTACAGGCATGCGCCACCACGCCCAGCTAATTTTGTATTTTTAGTAGAGACGGGGTTTCTCCATGTTGGTCAGGCTGGTCTCGAACTCCCAACCTCAGGTGATCCGCCCGCCTCGGACTCCCAAAGTGCTGGAATTCCAGGCATGAGCCACCATGCCCAGCCAATGTTTTAAATTTAATTAATTAATTAATTTTTTTGAGATGGAGTCTCACTCTGTTGCCCAGGCTGGAGTGCAGTGGCACGATCTCAGCTCACCGCAACCTCCGCCTCCCAGGTTCAAGCGATTCTTCTGCCTCAGCCTCCTGAGTAGCTGGGATTACAAGCATGCGCCACCGCGCCCAGCTAATTTTGTATTCTTAGTAGAGATGGGGTTTCTCCATGTTGGTCAGGCTGGTCTCAAACTCCCAACCTCAAGTGATCAGTCCGCCTCAGCCTCACAAAATGCTGGGATTACAGGCGTGAGCCACCGTGCCTGGCCAAATAAAATTAATTTTAAAAGTAAGCCAAATATGTATGACAAATCAGTGCTATAGAGAAAAACAAGTGAAAGGAGATAGGGAGTATGATGGTCAAGGAACTCCTCAGTGATAAGGAGACATTTGAACAGGGATGGAAGGAAATGAGAGAACAAGTTAGGGGGATAACTATGTGAAAGGAGTTCCAAGGAGTTAAGTGCAAAGACTCTGAGGCAGAAGGGCTATTTTGTTTCGAAACTGTCTATACTATAAACACTTTAATAACATTTACAAATTTTACATTGAGTCAGTGATTATTTCACTTTGTGAAGAGATTCATTCAAATGTCAATGATCTTATTCTTTGGTTCTAAATGAACCAAAACACAGCTTCACTGGAATGAGAGACATCATAGAATAATTCGTTCTTCTATCTTCTCCAAAGCAAGAGCCTTTCAGAAATGTTACTTCCTCATTCTTAACAATATTCAAGACTTGTCTGAGATCTGTCTCCCAAATCAATGTTCTGCCACAAGAAAGTCAAAGCAAAAAATATTTAAATGGAAGAAGGGAGAGGGAGAAGTAGTGTATTAAAATGGAATGAAAGTAAATATACTAATAGAAAATTTACCTTAGGAAGAATATTTAAAAATCTAGGTGTTATAATTGAAAGAAATGTATGAAATGTAAATAGTTAAGGATTACAAAAATAAAGGCCATGTAACAAATTTTCTTTGACAGATTAGCGGTGTTCACTGTTTGACAGTATTCCAAAACAGTAGTTTAATGGTTAAGTAAAAAAGGCATTGAATACTATTTTGATCATTTGTTTATCTTCCAAAAACTAGCTTGTGAAATACCCCAGGTTTCTACTACAAGATGTTAGTGCATATACTAGACATGTAATGTCTATTTGAGGAATAAATGAATTTCAGATTTTCAGGAAGTATTATTTCCCCCATTTTTGTAGAAGCAAACCAACTCTTCAAGTACTCACTTTTAAAATTAATAATTACATGCAAGTATAATTAGTCAAAATAATACGCGATTAGAGCAAAGTCATGGTAGAAATGACCATGACTAAACTTTTAGCTTTTCTAGGCTTGTAACTGCATTACTATTTAATAAGCAAAATAATTTTCAACTTAACCCATGTCTATCACTAAGCAAATCAAAACAAAAAGTGATCCATTGCTCCTTCCATAGTTTGGTAATGGTTCAAAATGGTAATACGGTTCAACTCACTATTTTATATCCAAAAAAATCTAAGCTCCTCCCAAGGTGACTCTGAGTCTAAAAATTTGAACATGTAATCATCACTTTGTGTGGTATAATAATGATCTCATTTACATATAAAATAGATTTAACATTCTGAAATAATTTTACATTTAATTTGTGTAAACTCTGTAGGTAGTCTTCTTGAACTGTAAGTTCCGTGAGGGCAGGGATCTCTAGTGCAGCCCTTTACACTGAAAGTCCAGTTAGTAATATTTCTGCTGTTTCTGGTAAGTCAATATAAACAATGTTTTTAAATTATTTACTTACCAGCTAAAAGACGCATAAAATAGTTGAATTTCTATTTTAAAGTGTGATTTCTTTTTCAGTTAAAAAATGTACACTAAAGTTCAGTAAAGCTGGCAGATTCAGCAGCATGCTGAAGGACAGTTACTAACTGGCAGAAAAGTTACAGCAGCCCTTTTAAGAAGGATTTAAAATACTGATCATTAATACGTAAAAATGCAAAAGTTTAGAAACAAAGAATGACACTGGAGATAGTACAATAAATATTCATGCAATTAAGCTGTTTTCCAAGGAGCGGTCCCCACAAAATATGGGGGAAAAAAAAAACCTTCAGAGAATGCAATATCTGAACTGATAAGGAGCTCAGCATGTTCCAAGGCACTCAGACTTAACATTATCTCACCTGTCTGTCACAGCAACTCTGTGGCGTAATTTTATGAATGGGAAAAACTCAGGATCAAGAGGTTAAGCGACTGGCCCAAGGTCACTCAAGGAATCAATGGTGCAGCTATACCTAGAAGGGTGCACTTCACCTGATCCTTCCCACTACATAAGCCAGCTCCCCGACTGAAGCATTAGGACAGCGGAAAAGCAGGGATCAGACTCTGTGAGTGTCCCGCACTACTCCTATCCTGCCAAGGAGGCGCGGGCTTGCCTTTGAAAGCCTTCCCTAGCAACTCAGCCAGAGAGGAGGAAGTTGTGCCCGAGGCAGGCCACTGATCAGCCCAGCAAAGTGACAAGGATGACAGGCGCAGCCCCCAAAGGACCAGCCGGCATTCCCAGGAGCCCTTCCAAACCCTGCGACGGCGAGACTGGTCTCAGAAACATCTGAAAAACCTCCCAGTAAGTTTCGCCCCCTCCTGGACGTGAGGAACCAGCTGGGAATGAGCCAGAGGTCGGCCAGCCACCCGAGCCAGCCATGTGTCCAACCCGTCACGCCCGCCCCGCCTCAGCCGGCTCCTCATGCCTAGACCGCAGCCAGAGGCCCAGCTCAGGATCCGAAGCAAAGGCAGCCTTGGCTGCAGCCACCACCACCACACCACACCGAGGCGCCCCGGCGTGGAAGTCGCCGTCAGATGTCCGCCCCACCCTCCTGCTGGGACCCTCAACGACGTCGTCCGCGCCTCCGGCCAGGCCCCGGGGGCTCGGCCTGCCACTTCTGCCCACCCGCCTGCCCGCCGCCACCGCTAGCCGGGCGTCCTTACTTCATTGAGCTGGCGCTCCGCGGCCTCACGCAGGGCTGGGTCCATAGTGCCCCGCAGGGCCTCGATAATGGTGTTGGGGTCCATCGCAGCGCGGACTCGGTCAAACCCGGGGCTCGGGTGCTACTGGGCCAGGAATAGCGCCACTCACTGCGCACATGGACCCGCCGCGCTCCGCAGCGGCAACCGGCGCGAAAGGAAAGAGAAGCGCCAAGGCCCCGGATAGAACCTCTTCGCCTCGGCGTGGAGGCGGGAGATGCTCCGGCGACTTCCTGTGGGCGCGCCTGCGGAGCACTTTGGGAGATGTAGTCCACAAACACAGTCCGCAGCCCACGTGGCTGCCTGAGCTGTCGTTCCTACAGACAAGTCTTTCTGTTCAAAAACGAAAAATGTTCAAGTTCCACAAAAAGAAAAGCAAAACAATCAGTTACAAAAGGTTTCACATACTATATCCACAATGTTCATAAAGGGAGTCAGATACAGTGTGTGGTGCAATCGATTGCTAATGGCTGCGTGATTGAAGGAAACTTTCTGAAAAGCAATTTGAGATGTGTTTCTGATAGCCACTAAAATATTTAAACTGCCGGGCGCGGTGGTTCACGCCTGTAATCCCAGCACTTTGGGAGGCCAAGGCGGGCGGATCACGAGATCAGGAGATCGAGAGCATCCTGGCTAACACGGCGAAACCCCGTTTCTACTAAAAATACAAAAAATTAGCCGGGCGTGGTGGCACGCGCCTGTAGTCTCAGCTACTAGGGAGGCTGAGGCAGGAGAATCGCTTGAACCCGGGAAGCGGAGGTTGCAGTGAGCCGAGATCGTGCCATTGCACTCCAGCTTGGGCAACAAGAGCGAAACTCCGTCTCAAAAAAACAAAACGAAACGAAATGTTTAAACTCTGACCCAGTAATTCCACTTATGAGACTTTATCCTAAGGCAATAACACGGAAGATTAAATGAACTTTATGTGTGAAAGGTTTTTATCACATTACGTATTAGTAATTACCAAATACTGAAATCATGGCTTTTTATTGAGTATCCAAATTTTAGTTGGGACTTCATATAAATCACCTCTTAATGCAGAGTAAAAGCATAATCCCTATTAAAATACACCTTCCTGCCAGGCGCGGTGGCTCACACCTGTAATCCCAGCACTTTGGGAGGCCAAGGTGGGCGGATCACAAGGTCAGGAGATTGAGACCATCCTAGCTAACACGGTGAAGCCCCGTCTCTACTAAAAATACAAAAAATTAGCCGGGTGTGGTGGTGGGCGCCTGTAGTCCCAGCTACACTGAGGCAGGAGAATGGCGTGAATCCAGGAGGTGGAGCTTGCAGTGAGCCGAGATCATGCCACTGCACTCCAGCCTGGGTGACAGAGCGAGACTCTATCTCAAAAATAAATAAATAAATAAATAAAAATAAAAGACACCTTCCTAGCCAGGCGTAATCCTCCTGTTGAGGCAGGAGGATTGCTTGAGACCAGAAGTTCAAGGTGACAGCCTGTTAAGATCGTGCCTATGAGTAGCCACTACGCTACAGCCTGGGCTACATAGCGAGACCCCATCTCTAAAAAAAGAGGGAGGTGGGGGAGAAAGAAAGAAAGAAAAAGTCCTCTTTTATAACAGCCAAGAAAAAGTTTGTTTTAGAAAGGTTAAATAACTTACCCAAGGTCACGTAGTAAGAGGTTCAACTAAGATTTCAAACCTAAGATCTTTGTTTTCAAACTTTCCATTGTTTCCACTAAATCACTCTGCCTCTGAAGAGAAATGTTGAACAATATAGGACTGGTTAAGCAAATAGCAAGAATCCAGTAAATTAAATATTTCACAGCCATTAAAAAATATAACAAAAAAGTATTTATGGAAGGATATAGCTTTGTAACATGGACAAAGACTGAAAAGCAAGGTTAGCAAATGAAAATAATTTATTTTCTATTAACAGGATGGTGAGATTTGGAGTAATTTCCTTTCATATCTGTTATTATTGTAACAAAGTTATATAAACAGATATACTTAAAATTAATTATAAGCCTTCAAATACAATGTGTTAAATGATCACTTATTGTTTTTAATTTACAAAAAAAAGAGAAGGAAAGGCTCACGAAAGCCTTTCCCTGAAGCGGTGGGTTTTGCAATGTTACTACCTTGTATATGCCAGCCACTGTGCCTGGAAGTACTGGAAGTAAGACAGAATTATTCCTAATTTAGGCCGGGCATGGTGGCTCACAACCGTAACCACAGCAATTTGAGAGGCTGAGGTGGGCGGGATCACCTGAGGTCAAGAGTTCGAGACCAGCCTGGCCAACATGGCAAAACCCCATCTCTACTAAAAATACAAAAATTGCCTGGCCCGGTGGCTCACGCCTGTAATCCCAGCACTTTGGGAGGCCAAGGCGGGCGGATTACGAGGTCAGGAGATCGAGATCATCCTGGCTAACACAGTGAAACCCTCTCTCTACTAAAAATACAAAAAAGACCGGGCGCGGTGGCTCACGCCTGTAATCCCAGCACTTTGGGAGGCCGAGGCGGGCGGATCACAAGGTCAGGAGATCGAAACCATCCTGACTAACATGGTGAAACCTTGTCTCTACTGAAAATACAAAAAATTAGCCGAGCGCGGTAGCGGGCGCCTGTAGTCCCAGCTGCTCGGGAGGCTGAGGCAGGAGAATGGCGCGAACCCGAGAGGCGGAGCTTGCAGTGAGCCAAGATCGCGCCACTGCACTCCAGCCTGGCGGACAGAGCCAGACTCCGTCTCAAAAAAAATAAAAAATAAAAAATAAAATAAATAAATAAATAAAAATAAAAATACAAAAAAATTAGCCGGGCGTGGTGGCCGGTGCCTGTAGTCCCAGCTACTCGGGAGGCTGAGGCAGGAGAATGGCGTAACCCGGGGAGTGGAGCTTGCAGTGAGTCGAGATCGGGCCACTGCATTCCAGCCTGGGCGACTGAGCAAGACTCTGTCTCAAAAAAAAAAAAAAAATTAGCCAGGCATGGTGGTGCTCACCTGTAATCCCAGATACTCAGGAGGCTGAGGCAGGAGAATCACCTGGACCAGGGAGGCAGAGGTTGCAGTGAGCTGAGATCGCACCAGTGCACTCCAGCCTGGGCAACAGAGCAAGACTCCGTCTCAAAAAAAAAAAATTTACAAATGAAGAACCCGAGGCTCAGGCTACTTAAATTGTGAGGAGTCAGAAAGTTTTCATAATAATAACCTGTAAAAAGTGTAATAGTGTTACAAATACAATCTGTTTAAGAATTTTCCTCTCCCTGAATTGTTTGAACCCGGAAGGCGGAGGTTGCAGTGAGCTGAGATCGTGCCATTGCACTCCAGCCTGGGCAACAAGAGTGAAACGCCGTCTCAGAAATAAAAAGAATTTTCCTCTCCCTGCTCCACTGCTCAAAGTGAAGGCCTTGAAAACAGGCTTATGTTCTATTGACCTTTGTATCCTCACCTCCTACCACAGAGTTAGAATGTAAAGGAGGAGTTTAAAAAATTCTTTAAGTGAATAAATGAAGAAAGGAATTAATAAACTAGTAATGACTTATAGGTGGCTGAGCCAGAATTGAAGCTTCATTCTTCATGATTCAAAAGCTAGTCCTCTTTCTGATATTATATGCCTATTTTAGATTCCAGAATTGACTTGTTTATCACGGAATTGTGAAGATTTTAGCAGAGCACAATGTATATGAAAGAACCTGGCACATAGAAGGTAGTCCAAAAATGTTAGTTTCCTCTCCCTAAAACTGAAAGGGAAAAGAAGTGGTAGTGAAAAATATGGTTTTAAGCTGTAGTGCTGGGAACAGGGAGCCAACGAGGCTTGCAGATCTACAGCTGGCATGGGGCCTGTGTCTCATCCTTCATAGAGAACAGAGCACACTGGGTACAAGATCCTGTCTGGGGAGCCAGCATTCCTGTATCCAAAAAAGGAGCTTGGCCCCAGGGAGCATTCAGGAGCTAGTTGGTAGAGTGATTAGCACACTCAACCTATTTGTAGATTTTAGTTTTATTTTGTCAAGCTAGTGACACAGAGAATGTGACTTACGTGACTGGAAATTTCAGTGTGAACTCCTCTAGGGCAGAGACCACATCCATCTTTTTTGTGGTAGACACAGAAATGAATGAGTGCTCAATAAATAAGTATGAGAAGACTAATGAAAAAAGTGGTTTGTTAAGCCACTGTAAACACAATTACATAACCTTATGGTGTCCCACAATCCCAATCCCCAGCACAGCAGCCAACACAGGTATCTAAGCCTCCTTAGGCAAGGTGAAGGCTGAGAATTCAGAAAAGCATAAACCATAGTCTCAGAGTTGATTTTGAGGTAGGATGAAATTAGACAAAAATTAAGAAGAGATGCGGCCGGGCACAGTGGCTCCTCATGCCTGTAATCTCAGCACTTTGGGAGGCCGAGGCTGGCAGATCACGAGGTTGGAGAGTTAGAGACCACCCTTGCCAACATGGTGAAACCCCATCTCTACTAAAAATACAAAACTCAGCTAGACATGGTGGCGTGCACCTGTAGTCCCAGCTACTCAAGAGGATGAAGCAGAAGAATTGCTTGAACCCAGGAGGTGGAGGTTGGTTGCAGTGAGCCGAGATCACACCACTGCACTCCATCCTGGCGACAGAGTGAGATCCGTCTCAAAAAAAAAAAAAAAAAAAAAAAAGAAGAAGAAGAAGAAGAAGAGCTGGGCCTGACTCAGTGGCTCACACCTTTAATCCCAGCACTTTGGGAGGCCAAGGCAGGTGGATCACCTGAGGTCAGGAGTTCAAGACCAGCCTGGCCAACATGGTGAAACTCCATTTCTAGTAAAAATAAAAAAATTACCACAGTGTGGTGGTGCGTGCCTGTAATCCCAGCTACTTGGGAGGCTGAGGTGGGAGAATCTTTTGAACCTGGTAGGCGGAGGTTGCAGTGACCTGAGATCGCACCACTGCACGCCAGCCTGGGAGACACATTGAGACTCCATCTCAAAAAAGAAAAAAAAAGATAGTTATACCATAAGGGAATGGAAAGAATTAGTGTTCCCTTTACAGGCCCCCATTGGGGCTTTTGTGGGTAAATGCCAATGACGAGACCCTTGATGATAATTGACACGGAAAAAGTTCCCTCGTCCCCCTCTCAGAGTCTGAGATGGCGGTGTGGCTCCCTTCTTCAGTGCCTCACTGCTCAAACCTCTCAGGGAACATACAGACGGGTAAGGCTGTGGGGCTCTGAACCCACAGCAGTGTCTACTGGTGAATGTTTACAGTTCCTAAAGCCCCAGTGGGTGTGTGTTATAGGATGCTCTTTTAGTTTTGCTGTCTATAGGTGGCTTGTGTTAACCAGCTCAATTAGATCCCCTACCTTGTTGCAAGGACAGAGGACTTTCTGTATCCCCGTGTACCGGAACAATTGGATCACACCTGGGTTTGGAGAATGAGTGCAAGATTTTATTAAGTGGAGGTAGCTCTCAGCAAATGGGGGAAATGAGAAGGGGATGGAGTGGGAAGGTTTTCCCCTGGAGTCAGGCCGTTAGCGGCCTGGGTTTTCCTCCAACTGCCCCAGCCAAACTCCGCCTCCTTCTGCTTCTGCCGGTCGGTGGCCTACCGGCATGCCAGTGCCTGTTAGCGCGACCCTCTTGATGTCCAGCCACCTGTGTGTTCCTTCACCGATGTGCTCCTCTTGACGTCCAGCTGCCTGTGTATTCATCTGCTGATGTGTTCCTCTTGATGTACAGCCGCTTGTGTGTCTGCCTGCTACAGTCTCAGGGGTTTCTATAGGCACAGGATGGGGGCGTGGCAGGTCAGGGTGGTCTTGGGAAATGCAAAATTTGGGCAGGAAATGCCTGTCCTCACGCAGGTCCATAGGGGTGGAGCCCTAGTCAGGGATCATGCCTTTTTCTTTTCTTTTCTTTTTTTTGAGATGGAGTTTCTCTCTTGTTGCTCAGGCTGGAGTGCAATGGCACGATTTGGGCTCACCTCAACCTCCACCTCCCAGGTTCAAGCGATTCTGCTGCCTCAGCCTCCCTAGTAGCTGGGATTACAGGCATGTGCCACCACGCCCGGCTAATTTTGTATTTTTAGTAGACACGGGGTTTCTCCATGTTGGTCAGGCTGGTCTCGAACTCCCGACCTCAGGTGATCCGCCCACGTCGGCCTCCCAAAGTGCTGGGATTACAGGAATGAGCCACCACTCCTGGCCATGGATCATGCCTTTTTCTACTCAGCATTTACCTTCTCCGCTTCCATATCATTTAAAGGGATCACACTCTTCCCTTCCCAGCATTCCCATATCAATAGTACCAAGCACCCAAAGTCATCTTAGAGCCCAGGCTGATTTTGTCAAGATATTCACAGATATTGAAACCCCGCATTCTATACTTCCTATGTTATGCCTATTTCAAATAGTCAAAACATTTTAGACCAAATTTTTCATAAAGTTTTGGGGTTTGTTTTTTTTTTTTTTTTTTTCAAATTTTCTTTTTCTTTCTTTTCCTTTTTTTTTTTTTTTTTTTTGAGGCAAAGTCTCACTCCATCACCCAGGCTAGAGTGCAGTGGCATGATCTCCGCTCATTGCAACCTCCCCCTCCTGGGTTCAAGCGATTCTTCTGCCTCAGCCTTCTGAGTAACTGGGATTACAGGCACACACTACCACATCTGGCTAATTTGTGTATTGTTAGTAGAGACGGGGTTTCACCATGTTGGCCAGGCTAGTCTTGAACTCCTGACCTCAAGTAATCCACCCGCCTTGGCCTCCCACAGTGCCAGGATTACAGGTTGTGAGCCACAGTACCCAGCCAATTTTTCATTATATTTTTAAATAAACTAGTCCTCTTATTCATTTTTACGCCTTGGCAAGATTTGTACTCTAAACAATTCAAAACGCAGGGGGAAAAGGACAGACATCGATTCTGTTCTGAGGCATGTACACACTGTGTTGCCTCAAGTAAAACATTTCATCTCACTGTCCCTAATTTTATTTTCCATTCTGTAAAATGAGTAAATAGTCCTATCACAGGCTACGAAAATTATTCTGAAGATCAAATAAAGTTTGAAAATCTTTTGCAAGCATAAAGTTCAGTAATGTAAATTGTTGTTGGTTGTCAGGAAAGGGCTAGGGAGAAGGAAGGTAAGAGGGCAAGGAAGAGTTGAAGTGAAGAAACAGAGACTTTCTGCAGAGCATTGTTCCCGGTAGCTGCGAGTCCTCACATTCAGCAGTTTGATACCGTTTGTGAATAAAACAGTATATTCATAGGAAATCTAGTCAATCTTCTATTGAACGTAGTCACTGAAGACCATTTTCCTTTTTTTTTTTTTTTTTTTTTGAGGGACAGAGTCTTCCTATGTTTCTGACACTAGCCTCAAACTCCTGCACTCATGAGATGCTCTGGCCTCAGCCTCCCAAGTAGCGGGGACTACAGGTGCACATCACCATGCCCAGATAATTTTAAAAATTTTTTGTGGCAATAGAGTCATATTTGCCCAGGCTGGTCTCAACCTTCTGGCCTCCAGCAATCCTCCTATCTCAGCCCCTCAAAGTGCTGGAATTATAGGTGTTACAGGCGTGAGCCACTGCCTCAGTACTTACTACCAGTAAGTACTTTCTTTTTGTCTTTTTTTTTTTCACTCAGCATGTTTCTGAGATTATTTTCATGATGTTGAGTGAATCAGGAATTCCCTCCTTCTTGTTGGTAAATGGTAGTCCATTCAGTTGATATACAATTATCTATTCATCTGCTGAAGGATGTTTGGGTGGTTTCCAGTTTTTAGCTAATGTAAATAAAATTGATATGTATATTTCTATATACAAGTCTTTGTGTGAATATATGCTTTCATTTCTCTGGTAAATAGCTAGGAGTGGAATGGCTGGTTTGCATTGTAAATGTATATGTAAATTTGTAAGAAACTGTCAAACTGTTTCACAAATGGGTTGTACAATTTTATATTCCCACCAGCAATTTATGGGCATTCTGTTGTTCCACATCTTCACCAAAAGTTGGAATTCTCGGTGTTTTTAAGTGTATCCAGTGGAGAGGATATGTAGTGTTACAACATTATTCACAGTATGTAGTTCTCTGATGACTAATGATGTTGAGCATGTTTTCATGTGCTTTTTGCCATTTGTATCATCTTTTGTAAAGTGTCTGTTTCAATCTTTTGCCCATTTAAAAACTAGATTGTTGGCTGGGCGCGGTGGCTCACACCTGTAATCCCAGCACTTTGGGAGGCCGAGGCGGGCGGATCACAAGGTCAGGAGATCGAGACCATCCTGGCGAACACGGTGGAACCCCCTCTGTACTAAAAAAAATTACAAAAAATTAGCCGGGCATGGTGGCAGGCGCCTGTAGTCCCATCTACTTGGGAGGCTGAGGCAGGAGAATGGCATGAACCCAGGGGGCGGAGCTTGCAGTGAGCAGAGATCGTGACACTGCACTCCAGCCTGGGCAACAGAGCAAGACTCCATCTCAAAAACAAAACAAAACAAAACAAAACAAAACTAGATTGTTGCCTTCCTGTTACTGAGTTGTAGGAAACTCTATGAATTCATTTTGTCAGATTTCATCATTGTGTATATTTTCTTTCATTCTGTGTCATGTCTTTCCATTTTCTTTTTCCTTTTTTTTTTTTTAGACAGTCTCGTTCTGCCACCTAGGCTGGAGTGCAGTGGCGCAATCTCAGCTGACCACAACCTCTGCCTTCCAGGTTCAAGTGACTCTCCTGCCTCAGCCTCCTGAGCAGCTCGCTGGGATTACAGGCACGTGCCACTGCACCTGGCTAATTTTTGTATTTTTAGTAGAGAGGGGGTTTCACCATGTTGTCCAGGCTGGTCTTGAACTCCTGACATCAAGTGATCTGCCTGCCTCAGCCTCTTAAGTGCTGGGATTACAGGCATGAGCCACCATGCATGGCCAAGGCTACAAATCTCCACAGTACTGAATACTGTAAGCAATTGTAACACAATGGTAGTATTCATGTATCTAAACATAGAAAACATACAGTAATATGCTATTATAATCTCATGTTCACTGTCCTATATGCAATCCATTCTCCCATTCTCGACTAAACCCTCATTACATGTTGCATAACAGTAATAGATTTTTACATGTTGCTTTGCTAGGATAAACCTCATTTGGTCATGGTGTATTGTCATTTTTACATATTACTGGATTCAATTTGCTAATTTTTTTTTATTTTTTTAACAGAGTCTCACTCTGCCACCCATGCTGGAGTACAATGGTATGATCATAGCCCACTGCAGCCTCAAACTCCTGGGTTCAAGTGCTCCTTCTGCCTCAGCCTCCCAAGTAGCTAGGACTATAGGCGCATGACGCCATGCCTAGCTAATTTTTAAAAAAATTTTTTGTAAAGACAGGATTTTACCATGTTGCCAAAGCTGGTCCAAAACTCCTGGCATCAAGCAATCCTCCCACCTTGGCCTTTTGAAACTCTGGGATTACAGGTGTGAGCCACGGAGCCTAGCCAATTTGCTATTTTTTTTTTTTTGAAATGGCGTTTCGCTCTTGTTGCCCAGGGTGGAGTGCAATGGCGCGATCTCGGCTCTCTGCAACCTCTACCTCCCAGGTTCAAGCGATTCTCCTGCCTCAGCCTCTGGAACAGCTGGGATTACAGGCGCCCGCCACCACACCCGGCTAATTTTTGTATTTTTAGTAGAGATGGGGGATTCACCATGTTGGCCATGTTGTTGAGTGAGTTTTCTTGTTTTTCTTTAACAAATGTTGGGATTTGACCTGGTTAGCAATTAAATTATAGAGTTCAGTTTGATACTTACAAATCGTGTTTAAAGTTTTTTTTGTTTTTTTTTTTTTTTGAGACGGAGTCTTTGTCTTGCTCTGTCGCCAGGCTGGAGTGCAGTGGCGTGATCTTAGCTTACTGCAACTTCCGCCTCCTGGGTTCAAGTGATTCTCCTGCTTCAGCCTCCTGAGTAGCTGGGACTACAGGTGTGTGCCACCACGCCCAGCTTTTTTTTTTTTTTTTTTTTTTTTTTTTTTTTTTTTGTATTTTTAGTAGAGACGGGGTTTCACCATGTTGGCCGGGATGGTCTTGATCTCTTGACTTCGTGATCCACCTGCCTCGGCCTCCCAAAGTGCTGGGATTACAGGCGTGAGCCACCACGCCTGGCCAGTTAAAGGTTTTTAAGATCAAGTCTGCAGGGGGTGGGGGGGCAAAGGGAGGGAGAGCATTAGGACAAATACCTAATGAATGCGGGGCTTAAAACCTAATGACAAGTTGATATGTGCAGCAAACCACCATGGCACATGTATATCTATGTAATACATTCTGCACCTGTATCCCAGAACTTAAAGTCAGAAAAAAAGGGAGCGGGCACGGTGGCTCATGCCTGTAGTCCCAGCACTTTGGGAGACCGAGGAGGGCGGGTCACCTGAGGTCAGGAGTTCGAGACCAGCTTGACCAACATGGAGAAACCCTGTCTTTACTAAAAACACAAAATTAGCTGGGCATGATGACGTACTCCTGTAATCCCAGCTACATGGGAGTCTGAGGCAGGAGAATTGCTTGAACCCAGGAGGTGGAAGTTGCGGTGAGCCGAGATCGCGCCATTGCACTCCAGCCTCGGCAACAAGAACGGAACTCCGTCTCAAAAAAAAAAAAAAAAAAAAAAAAAAAAAAAAAAAGCTATACAACCATAAAAAAATAAATAAATAAAAGAAAAGATAAAATCTGTTAGTATTTACTATAGGGCTATTTTACTATACAACTAATGTGTGGCCTTTTGGGGGTTTCTACTAATGCCCCCCAAGGAATCAACAAGCTTTCTCTAGTCTAGTGTCCTAGTCCTGTGAGATCTCTAGGAACTCTTTTTTTTTTTTTTTTTTTTTTTTTTGAGACGGAGTCTAGCTCTGTCGTCCAGGCTGGAGTGCAGTGGCGCGATCTCAGCTCACTGCAAGCTCTGCCTCCCAGGTTCACGCCATTCTCCTGCCTCATTCTCCCGTGCAGCTGGGACTACAGGTGCCGGCCACCATGCCCGTCTAATTTTTTGTATTTTTAGTAGAGACAAGGTTTCACCGTCTTAGCCAGGATGGTCTCGATCTCCTGACCTCATGATCCACCCGCCTCGGCCTCCCAAAGTGCTGGGATTACAGGCGTGAGCCACCGCGCCCGGCCTCTGGGAACTCTTTAGCTAACCCCTTCCTTGGTTATTATTTGTCCAAGCTGTGAGGTTTCACCCTGCTTATAACCATCTTAATATTCAGAAAACGTGGAGGGGGACCCCATGTGGATTTCTGGAGCTCTTTTTCTGTGTAACCCCTCTTTTCAAAAACCATACTGCTATCTCCATCCACCTCAGCCTCCTAAACTTCAAACTCTTTCTCCTTGACCCAGTGAGACCACAGTGATGTTTATGGGAACCCCTTTCCTATGCTATGGTCCAGAATGAGCCTTTAAATAGAAAACTGGAGAAATTGGAGGGCTTACCTCTTTTGTCTTCCTTCTCTCAGGATCACAATTCTGATCTGCTTCTTGTCTGATGTCTGAAAACACTTGTTTCATATATGTTTTCCAGTTCCTAGTTGTTACAACAGGTGGTGTCCCTTGTTACTTCACCGTGGTTCGAAGCAGAAGACTCTTTAGCTATTACAGAGAAGTGGATATGCTCTTCGTCATCTTAAATATTCAGGGTAATTATGAGGATCAAAGGAGAAATCACCCATCAGATTTATTCTTCTAACTTACAATGGAAAAGTTTTCTTTTATCTGCTCGCTCCTAATGTGGGATAGATATGCCACTTACTTTGCATAGTCTTTTAATATGCAGAGCCAGCACAACAGGTAGACTCAAGGAAAAATAAAGTCAGAATGTTTGTGAAGTAGCTTTGGCTCCAATACCCAGAAAACTCTGACCTCAGGTCAGAGTACCCTGTCTCCCAGGCAAGAAGTCTATGGTTGGGTATTTGGTAGCCTTCATTTTCTAGGAAAACAATCTGAGAGATGACCCAGAAACTCTAGCTTTTAGGTGGCAAAAATTACTCTAGTCAGTCATAGAGCTTCACTACCATTTTCCTTTAGTAAAAGGAGCATTAGTCTCAAAGACAGACAGACTTGGGTTGAATCTGGACTCTACGGTTTCCTAGATTTAACATGATGGTCTAACAAGAAATACTCTAGATGAAGTTAATAGACAAATAGCAGACTCTGTAAAGATATTTACCACATCTAAAAGCCACAGAGCATCATTATTAGGTAGACACGTGGAATTCCTATAAGCCAATACAAATAAGACTGAAAAAAGTGGGAAAATATTAATAGGCAATTCATGGAAGAGGAAGCTTGAATTCCTGAATAGGATGTAAAGAAATATTTGAGGTGGCCAGGCACAGTGGCTCACAACTATAATCTCAGTGCTTTGGGAGGCCAAGGAAGGAGGATTGTTTGAGGCCAAGAATTCAAACACAGCCTGGGCAACTTAGCAAGACCTTGGATCATAGTTCTGCAGGCTGAACAAGAAGCATAGTGCCAGCATCTGCTCCTGGTGAGGCCTCAGGAAACTTACAATCATGACGGAAGGCGAAGGGGGAGCTGGCATATCACATGGTGAGATAGGGAAAAAAAGAGAGGAGAGGAAGTTCCAGGCTTTCTTAAACAAGCAGATCTCCTGTGAACCAATACAGCGAGATGTCAATCATTACAGTGAGAATGGCATAAAGCCATTCATGAGGGATCAGTCCCCATGAAGAAATACACCTCCCACCAAGTCCAACCTCCAACACTGGAGATTACATTTCAACATGAGATTTGGAGGGGACAAATATCCAAATGTATCAGCTGTGTTCCCAGTTCTAGGTTTATATTTCAGAGTATATTCTTTATCACTTTTTGGTGGTGGTGTTGCAGGGAGAAGTAGGCAGCAACCCAGATACCTATCACTAGGTCAATGGAAAAGACAAAAGTAGTATATTCACATCATGGAGGGCTGGTACAGTGGCTCACACCTTTAATCTCAGCACTTTGGGAGGCTGAGGTGAGAGGATCACTGGAGCCAGGAGTTCAAGATCAGCCTGGGTAACAAAATGAGACCTTGTTTCTACAAAGTGAGACTCTGTCTCAAAAAAACCCCCAAAAAACAAAGATGCAAAGCAAAAAGTGTTTATATATTTATTTATTGGGGGAGACAGAGTCTCACTCTGTCACCCAGGCTGGAGTGCAGTGGCACGATCTCGGCTCACTGCAACTTCCGCCTCCGGGTTCAAGCAATTCTCGTGCCTCAGCCTGCCAAGCAGCTGGAACTACAGGCACACGCCACCATGCCTGGCTAATTTTTTGTATTTTTAGTAGAGACGGAGTTTCACCATGTTGGTCAGGCTGGTCTCGAACTCCTCACCTCAGGTGGTCCGCCCGTCTTGGCCTCCCAAAGTGCTGGGATTACAGGCATGAGCCACTGTGCCCAGCCAGCTTTCAAGATTTATTTTCTTTGGCCAGGCACGGTGGCTCACGCCTGTAATCCCAGCACTTTGGGAGGCCAAGGTGGGCAGATCACAAGGTCAGGAGATTGAGACCATCCTGGTTAACACAGTGAAACCCTATCTCTACTAAAAATATGAAAAAATTAGCCGGGCGTGGTGGTGGGCACCTGTAGTCCGAGCTACTCGAGAGGCTGAGGCAGGAGAATGGCGTGAACCCGGGAGGCGGAGCTTGCAGTGAGCCGAGATCGCGCCACTGCACTCCAGCCTGGGTGACAAAGCAAGACTCCGTCTCAAAAAAAAAAAAAAAAAAAGATTTATTTTCTTTATCTTTGGTTTTCAACTGTTGGACTATCATGTGGCTAGGTATGGCTGTCTTTATTTTTGCCTTTTTAGATTTTTTACCATTTATGAAATTTGTTGAACTTCTTACAGCTATTCTTTTATCAGAATATATTTTGTTGCCTTGATTTCCTCAGATTTGGCCTGTCAGAGGCTCTGCAAGCTGGCTCCTGTGTCCTTGTAATGTCATCTGTTTTTATCAAATATGGAGAACTTTTGATCTTTTTTTCTTTTTTTTTGGAGATGGATGGAGTCTCACTCTGTGGCCCAGGCTGGAGTGCAATGGCATGATCTCGGTTCACTGCGACCTCTGCCTCCTGAATAGCTGGGATTACAAGCAACTGCCACCACACCTGGCTAATTTTTGTATTTTTGGTAGAAATGGGGTTTCACCATTTTGTCCAGGCTGGTCTCAAACTCCTGACCTCAGGTGATCCACCTGCCTCAGCCTCCCAAAGTGCTGGGGTTACAAGTGTGAGCCACTGCGCCCGGCTGCATTATTTCTTCAAATAGTTTTTTCTGATCCAATTGCACCCTCTTTTCTTTCTGGGACTCCAATTACATATGTATTAGGTCATTTGATATTGCTCTAAAAGTCCGAGGCCACTTTTGTTTTTAAATTTGTATAAATTTTAGGGGTGTCTGTTCATTTTTCTATAATTTCTTAACATTCTGTTCTTCAGAATGAAAACTTTCTATTGACCTATTAAGCCAAATATAATCTGCTGTAAATCCCATCCAGTTAATTTTTTATTCCGGCCATTGTAATTTTCAGTTCTAGAACTTCCATTTGGTTCTTTTTTATGGTTTCTATTTCTGTTAACTCATTAAGATTACACTTTTCTTTCTTTCCATAAATATATTTTCCTTTAATTTTTGAACTTATTTTTGATAGCTCCTTTAAATTCTTTTTCTATTTTTTTTTTTTTTTTTTTGAGACAGAGTCTCGTCCTGTTGCCCAGACTGGAGTGCAATGGTGCGATCTTGGCTCACGGCAACCTCTGCCTTGCAGGTTCAAGCAATTCTCCTGCCTTGGCCTCCTGAGTAGCTGGGAATACAGGCACGCAACACCATGCCCGGCTAATGTTTTTTTTTTTTTTGTATCTTTAATAGAGACAGGGTTTCACCATGTTGGTCAGGCTGGTCTCGAACTCCTGACCTCATGATCCGCCCTCCTGGGCCTCCCAAATTGCTGGAATTACAGATATGAGGCACCGTGCCCGGCTTTTTTGTGTGTGTATGTGAGACAGTCTTGCTCTGTCACCCAATGGCAATGGCACTGTCTCGGCTCACTGCAACTTCTGCCTCCTAGGTTCAAGCGATTCTCCTGCCTCAGCCTCCCGAGTAGCTGGGACTACAGGTGTGTGCCATCACACCTGGCTAATTTTTGTATTTTTAGTAGAGACAGGGTCTCACAATGTTGGCCAGGCTGGTCTCGAGCTCCTGATTCTCCTAATTCCTGACCTCAGGTGATCCACCCACCTCGGCCTCCCAAAGTGCTAGGATTACAGGCGTGAGCCACTGCTCCCGGCCTAAACTCTTTTTTGGTAAGTTTCACATCTGGGCCATCTTGGGTTTAATTTGTATAGACTGCTTTTTCCCCCACCTTGACTATGGATTTTATTTTCCTCATTCTTTGTATGTCTAGGCCAATTTTTTGTTTGCTTGTTTTTGTTTTGAGACAGAGTCTCACTCTGTTACCCAGGCTGGAGTGCAATGGCACTATCTTGGCTCACTGTAACCTCCGCTTCCCGGGTTCAAGTGATTCTCCTGCCTGCTTTAGCCTCCTGAGTGGCTGGGATTACAGGCACCCACCCCCCTGCCCAGCTAAATTTTTTGTATTTTTAGTAGAGACGGGGTTTCATCAGGTTGGCCAGGCTGGTCTTGAACTTCTGACTTCAGGTGATCCACCTGCTTCGGCCTCCCAAAGTACTGGGATTACAGGTGTGAGCCACTGAGCCTGTCCGGAACAACTCTCTTGGGCAATTGGACAGACAATGAATAGACTCCCTTAGGTCAATCAGATGTGTCAAAGGTGACAGAGTCCTATAGTTATAGAACAAGATGACCTAAGATGGGTCTGTGGGAGTGGAAGATGCTTGCTCCAATGCTCCAATACTGGGAATACGAAGTAAAGCAACTTGGCCTGATCTTAGGTATACCAAATAAGAATAAGCCTGGGGTTTGACACTGATGGCAATAATTGCCAGGATCAGTCATTCAGATTTATTTGAGTAGGCTAGTAGTTCTTTCTGTAATCTCCTCTGTACTATTATTAAATGATATCCATAGATAATACAGTCAAACTAACTACACACTTCTATTTAAGAAAATCAATATTGTGCGCTAACTGTAATATAAAGAAGAAATAAAAAGAAGGTTATTTATGGTAACATATTTCAATATATAATTGCATGGTGGCTCATGCCTATAATCCCAGCACTTTGGAAGGCCAAGGCAAGCAGATCACTTGAGCTCAGGAGTTCAAGACCAGCCTGGGCAACATGGCGAAACACTATCTCTGCAAAAAATACAAAAATTCGCCAGGTGTGGCGGCATGCACCTGTAGTCCCAGCAACTCAGGAAGCTGAGATGGGAGGATGGCTTGAGCCCAGGAGGCAGAGGTTGCAGTGAGCCGAGATTGCGCCACTGCACTCCAGCCTAGGCTACAGAGCGAGACTCTGTCTCAATAAATAAATAAATAAATAAATGAATAAATAAATAAATAAATAAAGTAGTAGTCAGTTGCTAGCAACTATACGTAGCAAAATCATGCATGTTACAGCTGCAAATTCTGATTGATACATGCATGTTGTGCAGGTGACTCAAATACCACCAACACCATTGCCATCAATAATGTAATTTTCTGAAATGGTATAACCAACCCCTAGCACGGTGTCTGGTACTCAGTTAAAATGCAGCGGGTTTTTTTTGAAATAAAAAAAATCTGAAAGCCAATGAGACCCATTAAAGGTTTTAAAAAGAGAAGTATCTGGATCAGTCTTTAGGAAGATTTAAGACTCTCAAAAAATGATGAGCTTCAGGATCTGGGTTATTTTCATCTTTGGCTCATCTCCCATTCCTACCCCATGCTTATAAGTAGTAGGCACTCAATACATGATTTTAAATTGAATTGATTTGAATCAAATAATTTCTGCAGCAAAGTGTTCACAGGACCCTTTGGTATAACATTATCTTAGGGCATAGCTCCAGAAAAGCAGCATTAATGGAAGAGAATTACTTGTCACAGTGCCCAAAGTCAGTCCTATCTCTATTTCACACGTGCAGGACCCTAGAGTCTAGAATGGAATGTTCTGGGTCCAGCTCTGTTGCAAAGAAATCTACATTCTATTAGATCATCCCAAGATTGACTAGCAACAAGAACAAAGGCCCACAATAATAGAAGTCTTTAACAAAAACACACTCTATGTAGCTGGCACAAAACATGTTCCAAATTTTGGCTGGCTGTTTGAAGGACATCTTCAGGACCTTACTATAGTGCCTGGCACGTAAAAGCCCCTTAACAAATATGTGTTGAATGGAAGAATGAACAGCAGCAGTTGAAAATGGTGCCTAAGCGAAAACAATGAAATAGCAAAATTCTGCTGTGTGTTATACCAGAACCAGATCTGGGACTCTTAGATTAGTTTTCAGTTTGAAGAACTGTCAAGCCCACTGACTCAAAAGCAAGCACTCAGACCACACATCCAAAATAAAACAACAAAAAAGTAAGAAGTAATATATGCACATGGTTACAAAGAAGTGCATAAGAACTTTCAGATGAAAAGGAATAGCTTCTTGACCTTTTTCTTCTCCCTCTTATCCTCAGTCCCATTGCCCAAGACAAAAAATCTACGACAGGCCAGGCGTGGTGGCTTACATTTGTAATCCCAGCATTTTGGGAGGCAGAGGTGGGCGGATTACAAGGTCAGGAGTTCGAGACCGGCCTGACCAACACAGTGAAACCCCGTCTCTACTAAAAATACAAAAATTAGCTGGGCGTGGTGGCAGACGCCTGTAATCCCAGCTACTCGGGAGGCTGAGGCAGGGGAATCGCTTGAACCTGGCAGGCGGAGGTTGTAGTGAGCCAAGATCGTGCCACTGCACTCCAGCCTGGGCAACACAGCTAGACTCCATCTCAAAACAAAAAATAAAAAACAAAAAAAATCTGTGACATTACATTCATTTCCACCATTATCCATTATTTTGTTTTCTTTTGTTTTGTTTTCTCCATTTAATCACTGATCTGATTAAAAAAGACTTACACATTGAGGCCAGGCACAGTGGCTCACGCCTGTAATCTCAGCACTTTGGTAGGCTGAAGTGGGCGGATCACTTGAGGTCAGGGGTTCGAGACCAGCCTGGCCAACATGGCAAAACCCCATCTCTACTAAAAATACAAAAATTAATTGGGTGTGGTGGCAGGCACCTGTAATCCCAGCTATTTGGGAGGCTGAGGTGAGAGCATCACTTGAACCCAGGAGGCAGAGCTTGCAGTGAGCCCACACCGCACCACTGCACTTCAGCCTGGGCGACAGAGTGAGACACTATCTCAAAACAAAACAAAACAAAAACAAAAACTTCTTCTTGTGAACAAAATGTAGGAAAAGAAGCAAAAGTAATTGTGGTTTCTGGTTTAGCGACTGTAATTGAGTGTGTTCCCCCCACCATCCCGAGAAAATTCTATAATATACTTGTTTTTTGTCTAAAAAAGAAACCTGAACAAAATTGATTAAGCATTATTATTATTATTATTTTTGAGATGAAGTTTCGCTCTTGTTGCCCAGGCTGGAGTGTAATGGCGCGATCTCGGCTCACTGCAACCTCTGCCTCCCGAGTTCAAGCGATTCTCCTGCCTCAGCCTCCCAAGTAGCTGGGATTACAGGCGTGAGCCACTGTGTCCAGCCTAATTAAGCACTATTATACAAAAATGAGTTCTGGCTTCAGTAGTGTGGAAGTGGGAAGAAACTAGAGAAAGAGATAAACTACTGAGTCCTGGTACCACCAAGCAAGTTTCAGGGACCTTTGGAAAGTTCCCTCTGCAAAACTCCCATCCTGTTAGAACTTGTGAACCCCGAAAATCTGAGATAGGTCTCAGTTAATTTAAAAAGTTTATTTTGCCAAGGTTGAGGATACGTGCCCTGAGGACCTCCTTGAGGACATGTGCCCAAGGTGGTCAGAGCACAGTTTGGTTTTCTACATTTTAGGGAGACATGAGACATCAATCGACATATATAAGATCAACACGGGTTTGGTCTGGAAATGGGGGCTTTCCAGGTCATAGGTAGATAGGAGACAAATGGTTGCATTCTTTTGAGCTTCCCTCCCTCTCTCTCTCTCTTTCTTTCTTCATATGGAGTTTCCCTCTTTCGCCCAGGCTGGGGAGAAGTGGCCCAATTTCGGCTCACTGCAACCTCTGCTCCCGGGTTCAAGCGATTCTCCTGCCTCAGCCTCCCAAGCAGCTGGGATTACAGGCGCCCGCCACCACGCCCAGCTAATTTATATATTTTTAGTAGAGATAGGGGTTTCTCCATGTTCACCAGGCTGATCTCGAACTCCTGACTTCAGGTGATCCACCCGCCTTGGCCTCCCAAAGTGTTAGGATTACAGGCGTGAGCCACCGTGCCCAGCCTGGATTCTTTTTTTTTTTTAATCTTATTTTTTGAGAGGGAGTCTGGCTCTGTTGCTCAGGCTGGAGCGTAGTGGCTGAGCTCGGCTCACTGCAACCTCCGCCTCCCGAGTTCAAGCGATTCTCCTGCCTCAGCCTCCCGAGTAGCTGGAATTACAGGCGCCCACCAGCATGCCCGGCTAATTTTTGTATTTTTAGTAGAGACGGGATTTCGTTATGTTGGCCAGGCTGGTCTGGAACTCCTAACCTCAAGTGATCCGCCCGCCTCTCCTTCCCAAAGTGCTGGGATTACAGGTGTGAGCCACCGCACCCAGCCTCCAAAAGAGGCAATCAGATAACGCATTTATGTTAGTGAGCAGAGGGGTAACTTTGAATAGAATGGGAGACAGGTTTTCCCTACGCAGTTCCCAGCTTGACTTTTCCCTTTAGCTTAGTGATATGGGGGCCCCAAGATATTTTCCTTTGACGAATTCATCTCGGAAACCAAGATTTATTTTCTTTTGGAATTTTAAAAGTTTTGCTCTTGCATTTAAAAAAAACAGTGCGTGTGTGTTTCGCTTTAATTATTATTTGCTGCATTTTGGAACTGAGTCAGGCAAATCATTTTTGTTCCTAGGCAAGTGCCTTTGATCTTCAAAATCTACCCAGTCTTTGGGGCACTGCTGTCTCCTTTCACAAGGTCCTAATTCCCACTGAAACCAGTCTGTAGTATTTGTGGCTTGGGGCCACTTCAAGATTTCAAATTTCAGCCTCAGACTCCAATCCCCGGGCGGGATCCGGGAGACCCAGCCCCGTGCGGCCCCCGCCGAGCTGGCGGGGATTGCAACGTCGGGATCGTGGCGACGCGCGGGGCCCTGGAGCCCAGGCGCGCGGCCCCAGGCGCGTCAGCCCCTCCCCGCCGGCGTCGCTCGCCGTCGCCTGCGGTGACTCAGCTCTTCCGGTCACCGCCGTCACTGGTGGTTCCCGACTGCAGTGAAGGTGCGGACGCCAAGTCACTGCTCAGTAATGCTGGAGCCGCCGGCGTCCCGGGCCTTCTCCAAATGCGCTGCATTCCTGCCCCCACCATGACTCAGCGGCTTCCGCTCCGGCGTCAGCGGCGCTCCGGCCTCCGCCCGCGAGGCCCTGCTGCCTTCCCACTGCCCCACGGGGGCCACAACGCGCCCGCTTCCGCCCTTAGGTGTCCTTCCAAGCCCCTGAAAAGGTTTGGCAGCTTGATAAAGGATCCCTGAACTCCAGTGTTTAGGCCCTGCAAGGCTCTTCTCTGTACATTGAGGAGCTGAGGCCTCCGCACGGGAAAGTATTCCCCACCCCCCAGCGCAAGGAGGAAGTTAGCCTAAGACTAATTGAGGCAACTGAGGCCTCGGACAGCCGCGGGTCCTGAGAGCCCGATGGACCTACTTTGGAAGTTCAACGTTACCGTTTGCAGATGTGTGACACTCCCCTACTCCTACCCCCACTCCTACCCCCACCCACTTAACAGACATGAGGATTATTCCATGCCACCTTGTTGTTGGCATTGCGTAGCACATGGTAGGAACTCAGCAAATCTCAGCTTTTGTTTGTATTTTCTCTTTCTTTCCTTTTTTTTTTTTTTTTTTTTTTTGAGACGGAGTCTCCCTCTGTCACGAGGCTGGCGCGATCTCGGCTCACCGCAACCTCCCCCTCCTGGGTTCCTCCTGGGTTCAAGCGATTCTCCTGCCTCAGCCTCCTGAGTAGCTGGGACTACAGACGCACGACACCACGCCCAGCTGATTTTTGTATTTTTAGTAGAGACAGGATTTCACAATATTGGCTAGGATGGTCTCGATCTCTTGACCTCGTGATCCGCCTGCCTTGGCCTCCCAAAGTGCTGGGATTACAGGCGACAGCCACCGTGCCTGGCCTGTATTTTCTTTGAAATGCCTTTTAGATGTAGTTCTTCCTCTCCATGGACAGAGTCACCTCAGCAACTTCCTAACTGGTTTTGCCACATTCCCATCCAACTTCACACAATGACCGGGTGCATTTTTATGGCACACTGTATTCTGCAAGTCATTCCTCTGTGCAAGAAAATTTAATACTCTGTTGAATTTTGGTTTGAGTGGAAAGTCCTTTCCCTGGTATTTAAAGCGATCCATCATAGTCCGGCTCCCATCCTTCCCATAAATATTTTAGGCCTGCTCTGCATCCTGTATTGTGGTACTCGGATTCCTGCCCTCCAGAGCTCTGGTGAGGGGAGATAAATACATAATCACGTCGTCATTATACTGTGTAATAAGTGCTCTGATCGAAGTGTGAACAGGACAGAGAGCAACTCAGTGTAATAGAGGGGGAAGAAGAAAGGCTTCACAGAGGAATAAATATATGGGGGAGGGAGATGGCTTGATGGTTGTGAGGCATTTACCAGCACTCTGATAGATATTGTATATAGCAGAGTGTCCTTGTTGCTGCAGGTTTTCGAAGGCATCATTGTGCTCTGCTCTGTTGCTGTTACAGAAGGCTTGAAACATCTAGCCCCATCCTTTAATCTTGGATCCAGAAGTATTGTGGGAAATAAAATTTGATTTAAAAATGATTATCACCTGATGAAATACAGCTTGCAGAAAGAAATAATGGATTCCTTACAGGAAAAATTCTGTACCAAGGATACCCTTATAAGGAGTAGAATTGGCCACAGGGCCTAAGTGCTAGAGAAGACAGTGTTTGTGAAGATTCTATAAGGCTGTACTTGAACCTGCCCCAGCTCAACCCTCTGGGGCATGCTTATCAGTCCTGGGAAGGAGAAGGCTGTGTACTAAAATGGAAACAACCGAATCACCAGGGGCCCAGGTCCTCTTCTGTGTGGCATGCTGAAAGAATTGAATTATTGAGAACCCAGCACACACTCTGTGGGATTCTCGGTTTTTAAAGAGCTGAATGTAAGAAAGGCATTTACCTACTGGCCAGAGAGAGATGGGCAGTGGAGCTCTGCAAGTTGTCAGTGACAGATTCTAGGTGGCAGTAGCAGGGAGAGCTGAGGCTCCAAGGGGGCCTCCAGGTCAAGGACAACTCAGGGACAGAGCAGATGGCCTAAGTAGCATTGATATGGGTACTTACAGGCAGAGAGGACAGGGATCACAGAGGTGGTGAGAGCTGCAGTTCAAATAGTGTCTGCGATTACAGTAGATTTTAATTTCTTTTTATTTTTCTGAATTAAATTTGTCCATGGTGAACATGGTTTTTTTTTCTGGTGGGCGGGGGGGAGGGATGGAGTTTCACTCTTATTGCCCAGGCTGGAGTACAATGGCCCGACGTTGGCTCACTGCAACCTCCGCCTCCCGGGTTCAAGCAATTCTCCTGCCTCAGCCTCCCGAGTAGTTGGGATTACAGGTGTGCGCTGCCACCATGCCTGGCTAATTTTTGTATTTTTAGTAGAGATGGGGTTTCACCATGTTAGTCAGGCTGGTCTCGAACTCCTGATCTCAGGTGATCCACCCACCTCGGCCTCCCAAAGTGCTGGGATTACAGGCGTGAGTGAGCCACCATGCCTGGCAACATGTTTTTAATGTCAGAAAAAAAATTTTTTATTACCCAGTGTTAGTGCAGATGAAGTAAAATTGGCCTTCCTATTCAATAGAGTTTTACAAGAAATGAATCACAGTACACTTCCTGACTCATCTGTGAAAATTACACATATTAATCATGATGTAAATGCTTATTATTGATGTGAACCAAAATTATGATTTAACTGCTTTGGGAGGCTGGGGAAGGAGAAATGGTGGTGGGTATGTGGTGTATTTGTAAGAGTGCTACAACCTCATCTACCACAACAGGAAAGCAATAGATTGTGTTTAAAACAGATACATCAAGAAATAGCATAAGCACATTATTTTGATATATGGAGGTAAATACCCAAAATAACAGTGAAAAAAGTGGAAATTGGTTGCCTTTGGGCTATGAAGAGGAATGAGGCGAAGGCTACTTTTTTTCACTACACATTTCTTGGTGCTATCAAAATATTTTTTAACTTCTTGCATTTTTAAAGACAGATAAAAGTAAAAGCGTACAAACCTGTTGTTCCAGTAATTTCATTTCTATATTGGTATCCTAAGGCAATAACAGCAGATGTGGGTAAAGATATATGTATGCTAGTCACTGCAGTATTTTTTTAATTCTAAATATCCCATTTTTATTTATTTTTAATTCATTTATTTTCAATTTATGTGGGTACATGGTGGGTTATATAATACTGTTTAATTAGGCCAGGCGCGGTGGCTCACAGCCGTAATCCCAGCGCTTTGGGAGGCCAAGGTGGGCGGATCACGAGGTCAGGAGTTCGAGACCAGCCTGACCAACATGGTGAAACCCTGTCTGTACTAAAAATACAAAAATTAGGTGGGCGTGGTGGCACGTGCCTGTACTCTGAGCTACTCAGGAGGCTGAGGGAGGAGAATTGCTTGAACCTGGGAGGCAGAGGTTGCAGTGAGCCGAGATTGCGCCATTGCCCTCCAGCCTGGGCAACAGAGCAAGACTCCCTCACAAAAAAAAAAAAAAAAAAAAAAGATTGTTTAGTTAGAAATTAAAAACTGGGAACAATGTAATAAATTTTTTAAATTATGGTACATTTATATAATGATTTTTAAAATCACGTTTTTGAGCATTATTTAATTTCCTTGTTGAAATGCTAATTTTAAAAGTAGTCAAAATACTTGAGGTCAGGAATTCGAGACCAGCCTGACCAATACGGAGAAACCCCGTCTCTACTAAAAATACAAAAATTAGCCAGGCGTGGTGGCGGGCAACTGTAATTCCAGCTACTCAGGAGGCTGAGGCAGGAGAATCGCTTGAACTCAGGAGGCGGAGGTTGCGGTGAGCCAAGATGGCATCATTGCACTCCAGCCTGGGCAACAAGAGCCAAACTCAGTCTCAAAAAAAATAAAAAATTAAAAAATTAAAAAATACTAATAATAAAATAAAATAAACCATGTTACCTTAAAGTTTCAGTTTTGCAAGATGGAAAGAGTTCTGGAGACTGGTTTTACAACATTGTCAATGCACATAACACTACTGAGCTGTATACTTTAAAATGGTCAACATGGCAAATTTTGTGTTATGTGTATTTAACCACAGTAAAAATGTTGTTGTTGTTGTTGTTGTTGTTGTTGTTTTGGGATGAAGTCTCTGTTGCCCAGGCTGGAGTGCAGTGGCACAATCTCAGATCACTGCAACCTCTGCGTCCCGGATTCAAGCAATTCTCCTGCCTCAGCCTCCCTAATAGATGGGATTACAGGTGCCCGCCACCAAGCCCGGCTAATTTTTGTATTTTTAGTAGAGATGGGGTTTCTCCATGTTGGCCAGTCTGGTCTCGAACTCCTAACTACAAGTGATCCACCTGCCTCGGCCTCTTAAAGTGCTTGGATTACCAGTGTGAGCCACCGTGGCTGGCCTAAAATTTTTGTTTAAATGTATGTGCCCTATGACCTAATGATTATACTTCTGGGTATGTACCCCAAATAAACTCTCACCCATGTGTACAAAGAAACAAGTGTGAGGATGTCCTCCGTAGCATTGTTTGTAATCACAAAAAGTAAAAGCAGCCTAAATTTTCATCAAAAGGAAATGGATAAAAGTGTAATATATTCATACATCAGCCTGAATTGGTCTCAAAAACAACTTTGGGTGATAAAAGCAAGATGCAAAATTATACGTACATGATGGTATCATTAATGTAAGTTTTAAAATACAGTGTCACAATCCATTGGTGATGAATACGTATATATGTACATATGTGTGTGTGTGTGTGTGTATATATATATATGTATTCATCCATGTAAAAGTACAGGGAGTGGAATGGAAGGTTACACACCAGACTCATGGTAGTTGCGCCTGTAACTTGAGAGGGGAGATGGGACTGAGTGGGAGGTTGTGTGGTTAAAGGGGACTTTAATTTTATCTATAACATTTCACTTCTTTTAAAAATATGGAAGTAGGCCGGGTGCAGTGGCTCACACCTGTAATCTCAGCACTTTGGGAGGCCAAGGCAGGTGGATCACCTGAGGTCAGGTGTTCAAGACCAGCATGGCCAACATGGTGAAACCCCGTCTCTACTAAAAATACAAAAATTGGCCGGCGCAGTGGCTCACGCCTGTAATCCCAGCACTTTGAGAGGCCGAGGTGAGTGGATCACAAGGTCAGGAGTTTGAGACCAGTCTGACCAACATGGTGAAACACCGTCTGTACTTAAAAAAAAAAAAAAAAGGCTGGGTGCGGTGGCTCAAGCCTGTAATCCCAGCACTTTGGGAGGCTGAGGCGGGCGGCTCACCAGGTCAGGAGATCGAGACTATCCTGGCTAACACGGTGAAACCCCGACTCTACTAAAAATACAAAAAATTAGCCGGGCGTGGTGGTGGGCGCCTGTAGTCCAGCTACTCGGGAGGCTGAGGCAGGAGAATGGCGTGAACCTGGGAGGCGGAGCTTGCAGTGAGCCGAGATCGTGCCACTGCACTCCAGCCTGGGTGACAGAGCAAGACTCCGTCTCAAAAAATAAAAAAAAAGAAAACAAAAATTAGCTGGGCGTGATGGCGGGCACCTGTAATCACAGCTACTTGGGAGGCTGAGGCAGGAGAATCGCTTGAACCCAGGAAGCGGAGGTTGCAGTGAGCTGAGATTGTGCCATTGCACTCCAACTGGGGCAACAAGAGCGAAACTCGGTCTCAAGAAAAAACAAACTGTGTGTGTGTGTGTGTGTGTATATATATATTCTATATATGTGTGTGTATATGTATATTCTATATATATGTGTGTATATATATTCTATATATATGTGTGTGTATATATATTCTATGTGTGTGTATATATATTCTATGTGTGTGTATATATATTCTATATATGTGTGTATATATTCTATATATATGTGTATATACATGTATATTTCATATATATATGGAAGTAAATATGAAACAGTGTTAAAAGTTGGTGATTCTGGGTGGTGGGAATATGGGTGGTTGGTATTTTATTCATTACATTGTTTTAAATTTTGATAAAAAAATAAACAATGACAGACTTAAAAAAAAAAAGCCAATGATCCATGCGTGAATAAATTGTTTGAAATGTTTATTCCTCGGTGTCATAAAGGAATAGCAATTGAACATAAATTTAATTTCCTCAACAAGGCCATTTTTACTTTCTGCAGAAAGGGTACACTTGTCAGCAGTTTTGCCATGAGAGTACACCGAACAAAGGAGACAGGGTCATTTATAACCTGACACATCCACCTTACTGCTGTGTCCAGTTTCCATTGGCTGAAACGGGACCTCACATTATGTCTTTGTCCTGATTGGCTAGGGACTTAGAACTTTTTTAAAAGAGACAAAGGCAGAGGAGAACAAAGGAAGGAGGAAGTAACTTGTGGAATGCTGAGAAAGGTAAAAACTCCTTTAAATAAGGAAGGCTATGACTTAATGCTTGCTTGGACCAGTATAAGCATGCCAGGGCAAATATTTAGGCTAAATTATGGGAGCTAAGAACATAAAATACATTGATTTCTTTTCTTTTTTTTTTTTTGAGACAGAGTCTGGCTCTGTCCCCCAGTCTGGAGTGCAGTGGCACCATCTCGGCTCACTGCAAGCTCCACCTCCAGGGTTCATGCCATTCTCCTGCCTCACGCCATTCTCCTGCCTCAGCCTCCTGAGTAGCTGGGACTACAGGCGCCCGCCACCATGCCCTGCTAATTTTTTTGTATTTTTAGTAGAGACAGGGTTTCACCATGTTGGCCAGGATGGTCTAGATCTCCTGACCTCATGATCCGCCCACCGTGGCCTCCCAAAGTGCTAGGATTACAGGCTTGATCCACCGCGCCCGGCCAATACATTGATTTCTTTATTATGGCTAGCAGATATTTAAGAATGTAAGCACAGGTCTTTGAATAAATTTTGCTTCTAAGAGAAGTAACTATTCCTAATTAGATGGGTAGGAGAGTTTTTGAAGAGGAACCTCTACTTTTTACAAAAGGTACAGGTAAAGTTCTATAGGAGTTCAGAATGGAGAGACATTATCAAAGGCAGTGTGGGAGAGAAAGGTGGGATAAGGAAAGGTGTCTGAATTGAGCCTTCAGGGACCCAGAAGATTAAGACAGCTGAGAAGAGTACTGTGAAGTGGTATTCTAGGCAGAATGAGCAACATGAAAGATCCATGAAGACAGAAAAGCAAGGGACTCTTGAGTAGTTCAGCTTGGCTGGACCTGAAGATACCTGATGACAAATAAGCAGGAAATGAGATCCGAAAGGTGATTGCTACGTCATCTGGAAAGCCAAAGAATTTTAGTCTGTTCTGTAGATAGTGGTTTGTCATTAAGGGTTTTGGGGTTGGGATAACAGGATCAGAACAGGAAGATTAATCTAGACATGAAATAGAAAATGATGGCCGGGAGCAGTGGCTCACGCCTGTAATCCCAGCACTTTTAGGAGGCTGAGGCAGATGGATCACCTGAGGTCAGGAGTTCGAGACCAGCCTGGCCACCATGGTGAAACCCCATCTCTACTAAAAATACAAAAATTAGCCGGGCATGGTGGCTCACACCACTAATCCCAGCTACTTGGGAGGCTGAGGCAAGAGAATTGCTTGAACCCGAGAAGCAGAGGTTGCGGTGAGCCGAGATCGCGCCATTGCACTCCAGTCTGGGTGACGGAGGTGGACTCTGTCTCAAATAAAATAAAATTATTTGAAACGGAGAGGGACTGGAGACAGGGAATACAGCGAGGAAAAAATGATTATAGGGGACCAAGTGAGCGATGAATACAAGTGCCCCCTCCCTCCTTTTTTAAAAACAGCTTTACTGATCCAGGTGTCCTTTTTGTTTTTGTTTTTGTTTTTGTTTTGAGACAGAGTTTCCCTCTTGATGCCCAGGCTGGAGTACAATGGCACGATCTCGGCTCACCACAACCTCCGCCTCCTGGGTTCAAGTGATTCTCCTGCCTCAGCCTCCCGAGTAGCTGGGATTATAGGCGTGCACCACCAGGCCCAGCTAATTTTGTATTTTTAGTAGAGACGGGGTTTCTCCATGTTGGTCAGGCTGGTCTCGAACTCCCGACCTCAGGTGATCCACCCACCTCAGTCTCCCAAAGTGCTGGGATTACAGGCGTAAGCCACTGCTCCAGGCCCCAGGTGTCCTTTTGACCACACACAATAGTCTCTAAAACAGTCTTCCTGCCTCTGGGCTGATGTTTCCCAACCATTTTTCATGTTCCAACACACAGATGAGGGTTCTAACACATTCTCATCAGTTACAATGGTTCACTGAGGCAGGATTTTAGGGACAGCTGATGAAAGTGTGCAGTCTGAACGAAGACCCAGGTGATTTTCTTTCTTTCCCTTCCCCTTCCCTCCTTCCTTCCTTCCTTCCTTGCTTCCTTCCTTCCTTCCTTCTCTCTTTCTCCCTTTCTTTCTACTCTGGCCATATTGATATACCCAGTAATGCCTGTAGACACAGCTGTGCATTTTCTTTTTTTAAAACAATTGTTTTTCTGGGATGCTGTTTCTCCCACTTTCTGCTTATCAAAAATCCTGGGCCTTGCTGGTTGTGGTGGAGTGTGCCTATAATCCCAGCTACTCAGGAGGCTGAGGCATGAGAATCACTTGAACTCGGGAAGTGGAGGTTGCAGTGAGCTGAAATCACATCACTGCACTCCTGCCTGGGTGACAGAGTGAGACTGTATCTCAAAAAAAAAAAAAAAAATTCTGGGGAGATTGCTTGAGACCAGGAGTTTGTGACCAGCCTGGGCAACATAGAGAAACCCTGTATCTTAAAAAAAAAAAAAAAAAAATTAGCCAGGCATGGTGGTAGATGCCTGTAGTCCCAGCTACTCAGGAGGCTGAGGTGGGCTTGAGCCTGGGAGGTCAAGCCTGCAGTGAGCTGTGATCGCACCACTGCACTCCAGAGCCTAGGTAACAGAGCTAGACTCTATCTCAAACAAACAAACAAAAAATCTGTTCATCTTCTAGGGCCCAGATTTCACTTCTTCCATGAAACCTTTTATGAATAGCTGAAAGGGAATTATTTTCTTCTTCTCAGCTGCCAAGGCCTGTGCCAGTCATATCACTGCTTGCACTGCTTTTCTCTCCCAGTTTAACATCTGTGTCTTCTCTTTTAATCTAGTATTTTAACTGCCAGAGATAGGACTCAAGTTTTTTTTTTTTTTTTTTTTTTTTTTAAGGCGGAGTCTCACTCTGTCGCCCAGGCTGGAGTGAAGTGGCACGATCTCGGCTCACTGCAAGCTCCGCCTCCCGGGTTCACGCCATTCTCCTGCCTCAGCCTCCTGACTAGCTGGGACTACAGGCGCCCACCACCACGCCCGGCTTATTTTTTGCGTTTTTAGTAAAGACAGGGTTTCACCGTGTTAGCCAAGATGGTCTACATCTCCTGACCTCGTGATCCTCCCGCCTCGGCCTCCCAAAGTGCTGGGATTACAGGCGTGAGCCACTGTGCCCGGCCGCTTTGTTGTGTTTTTTAAATTCCTCTTGAATACACTAGCCCAAAGTCCTTGCAGATCAAAGTATTTGAGAATTAAAATAATTACCATTCATTGACTTTGTTTTTTTTTTTTGGCAGGGTCTTGCTCTCTCACCCAGGCTGGAGTGCAGTGGTGTGATCATGGCTCACTGCAGCCTCAACCTCCCCAGGCTCAAATGACCCTCACACCTCAGCCTCCCAAGTAGTGGGGGACTACAGGCATAAGCCAGCATGCCCGGATACTTTTTGTATTTTTTTTGTAGAGAGGGGTTTTTGCCATGTTGCTGAGGCTAACTACGATTTATTGAAAGGCTTTTAGTTACAGGCACCATATACATTATATCTACTCCTCCTAATACCCCTAAGAGGTAGGTAGTTATCCTCCTTGTACAAAAGAGGAAACAGAGGTTCCAAATATTAATTAACATATTCAGTGTACATAGCCAGAAAATAGGGGATTTAAGATTTGAGTAGGGCTCTGGTAGGCTCCAAATCTTGTGTTGCTTTCACTGCACTGTGTTGCTCTTTTTTTTTTTTCCGAGACAGAGTCTTGCTTTGTCGCCTAGGCTAGAGTGTAGTGGTGTGATCTCGGCTCACTGCAACCTCCACCTTCTGGGTTCAAGGTTTAAGCAATTCTCCTGCCTCAGCCTCCCGAGTAGCTGGGATTACAGGCATGCACCACCACGCCTGGCTAATTTTTTTTTTTTTTTTTTGAGATGGAATCTCCCTCTGTCACCAGGCTGGAGTGCAATGGCGCAATCTTGGCTCACTGCAACCTCCGCCTCCCGGGTTCAAGCGATTCTTCTGCCTCAGCCTCCCGAGTAGCTGGGACTACAGGCATGTGCCACCATGTCCAGCTAATTTTTTGTATTTTTAGTAGAGATGAGGTTTTACTATGTTAGCCAGGATGGTCTCAGTTGCCTGACCTCATGATCTGCCTGCCTCAGCCTCCCAAATTGCTGGGATTAGAGGCATGAGCCACTGTGCCCGGCCTAATTTTTGTATTCTTAGTAGAGATGGGGTTTGACCATGTTGGCCAGGCTGGTCTCAAACTCTTGACCTCGTGATCTGCCCTCCTCAGCCTCCGAAAGTGCTGAGATTACAGGCGTGAGCCACCACATCCGGCCCTGTGTTGCAATTCTTAAGTGATGGTTGAATGAAAAAATTTTTTTTTTCATTTTTAAGCACTTTTTTTTTTTTTTTTTTTTTTTGTGAGACAGAGTTTTGCTCTTGTTGCCCAGGCTGGAGTGCCATGGTGAGATCTTGGCTCACTACAACCTCCACCTCCTGGGTTCAAGTGATTCTCCTGCCTCAGCCTCCTGAGTAGCTGGGATTATAGGCATGTGCCACCATGCCCCGCTAATTTTTGTATTTTCAGTAGAGATGGGGTTTCACCATGTTGAACAGGCTGATCTCGAACTCCTGTCCTTGGGTGATCCACCCAACTCAGCCTCCAAAAGTTCTGGGATAACAGGTGTGAGCCACCGCGCCAGGCTGAGCAAATTTTTTTTTTTTTTTTTGAGACAGAGTTTTGCTCTTGTTGCCCAGGCTGGAGTGCAATGGCCCAATCTCGGCTCACCACAACCTCTGCCTCCCAGGTTCAAGTGATTCTCCTGCTTCAGCCTCCGGAGTAGCCGGGATTACAGGCATGCGCCACCACGCCCAGCTAATTTTTGTATTTTTAGTAGAGACGGGGTTTTTCCATGTTAGTCAGCCTGGTCTCAAACTCCCGACCTCAGGTGATCAGCCTGTTTCAGCCTCCCAAAGTGCTGGGATTACAGGCGTGAGCCACCACTCCGGCCTTTTTTTTTTTTTGAGAAGAAGTCTAGCTCTCCCACGCTGGAGCGCAGTGGCACAATCTCGGCTCCCTACTACCTCCGCCTCCTGGGTCAAGCAATTCTCTTGCCTCAGCCCCTCGAGTAGCTGGGATTACAGGCACCTGCCACCACACCCAGCTAATTTTTGTGTTTTTAGTAGAGAAGGGGTTTCACCATCTTGGCTAGGGTGGTCTTGAACTCCTGACCTCATGATCTACCCGCCTTGGCCTCCCAAAGTGCTGGGATTACAGGCATGAGCCACTGTGCCCAGCTGCACTTTTTTTTTTAACTTGCTTTTCTTTGCTGTATTTCCTCCCCAGAGGCTTACCCAGCTGGTAAAGCAGAAGGGAATACTTGCCAGCTGTATTAGTTGCAAGTAATGGTACTCCAACTCATTCTGAATTACACAATAAAAGTAAATATGTTTTTTTTTTTTTTTTTTGAGACAAAGTCTCACTCTGTCGCCCAGGCTGGAGTACAGTGGGCCGATCTCGGCTCACTGCAAGCCCCGCCTCCCGGGTTCACGCCATTCTCCTGCCTCAGCCTCCTGAGTAGCTGGGACTACAGGTGCCCGCCACCACTCCCGGCTAATTTTTTGTATTTTTGGTAGAGAAGGGGTTTCACCGTGTTAGCCAGGATGGTCTTGATCTCCTGACCTCGTGATCCTCCCGCCTCGGCCTCCCAAAGTGCTGGGATTACAGGCCTGAGCCACCGCGCCCAGCCGTAAATATGTTGATTAATGAGCCAAGGAGTCCACTAGTAGATTGCCAAGCTTTAGGACTAGAGGACTAGATCAGGGTTGCAACATTGCCTCCATCTTTCAGTTTTGCTTTCCTCTAAGTTGACTTTATTCCCAGGCAGGCTCTGTTTATGTGGTAACAAAGATGGTCACCAGCAGCTCCAGCTTACATTCTACCAACCTAGTAACCCCAGCAGAAACCACCTCTTTTCCAAGAGTGCCAATAAAATTCCCAGGTAAGACTGTCATTGGCCCAGCTTGAGTCATATACACATGCCTGAAACAGTCACTATGTTCAAGGGGTGCTGTGTTGCTCTGATTAGTCAGAATTAAGGCTATGAACTCTACGGATTGAAATGAGGAAGGCAAATTATGGTATCTGACCAGAAGAAGTGATGCTGGATGGGCAAAATGGATATTCATTACATACACTTTCACTGAATGAGAATCCAGTACTCAATAGTCTCTGATCCAGGTTGACACTTTCTGGGTGGATACTACAATTAACTCCATGATCTGTTGCTCTTGAATACCATTCTCAAAGGCCCTATCACATAGGGTATGCTTTTCTTGGTTTGGTCTCAAGAGTGATACTGTTCCTTAGAGTAGTTATATAATAAAACATTCCACTCATGGGAAATGGTCCATCCCTGGCTTGAGTCCTGTGGTGGTCAACTGAGAGGAAGACACTAGAATGTGGTTCCACAAGGGGACACAGGGTCAGCTGCAGTAGTACCAGACAGGCCAAATCTGCCACTAGGAGGGCACAGTGACAAATGGCAAGCAGTCGTGTAGATAAGCAGTTGGCATCTGGGGCCAAGCAGAGAATGACATGTTGTCTTAATGGGAGACAGAGAATTCTGAGACAGGAGATGCTCATCAGGATTTCAGACAGATAAGTCTGATAATCAAGTAGTAGAACTCTAGCCACTTGGCTAAAGTTCAAAGGCATTCCAGTCCCAGGGAATGGGGAATTGAAAGGAGCAGGAAAGACGTTCATTTGGCCGGGCGCAGTGGCTCTTATCTGTAATCCTAGCTTTTTGGGAGGCTGAGGTGGGCAGATCACCAGAGGTCAGGAATTCGAGACCAGCCTGGCCCACATGGCGAAACCTTGTCTCTACTAAAAATACACAAATTAGCCGGGTGTGGTGGCACACGCCTGTAATATCAGCTACTCGGGAGGCTGAGGCAGGAGAATTCCTTGAACCCGGGAGACAGAGGTTGCAGTGAGCCAAGATCTCGCCACCACACTCCAACCTGGGCAACAGAGCGAGTGAGACTCTGTCTCAAAAAAAAAAAAAAAAAAAGAAAGAAAGAAAGGAGCAGGAAGTCCTCAGTGGTAGGGAAATCAGGACACTGGAAAGGGTAACAGGATTGGATCTAAGGCATTAGCCTGAAATCCATGCATTGGGTCTGGAGTCCAAGGTGAAGCTAGATCTCAAGAATGAGACTGGAGGTCAGTTTTTGAATAAAACTGGGACTTGAGGCCGGGCGAGGTGGCTCACGCCTGTAATCCCAGCACTTTGGGAGGCCGAGGTGAGTGAATCATGCGGTCAGGAGTTCAAGACCAGCCTTGCCAACATGGTGAAACCCGGTGTCTACTAAAAATACAAAAATTAGCTGGGCATGGTGGCACACGCCTGTAATCCCAGCTACTCAAGAGGCTGAGGCGGGAGAATTGCTTGAACCCAGGAGGTGGAGGTTGCAGTGAGCTGAGATCGCATCACTGCATTCCAGCCTGGGTGACAGAGCAAGACTGCATCTCGGCAAAAAGAAAAAAAATTAGTCAGGCATGGTGGCACACGCCTGTAATCCCAGCTACGCAGGAGGCTGAGGCAGGAGAATCGCTTGGTCCTGGGAGGCAGTGGTTGCAGTGAGCCAAAATCATGCCACTGCACTCCAGCCTGGGCGACAGAGCGAGACTCTGTCTTAAAAACAAAAACAAAAACAAAAACAAAAACTGGCACTTGAGTTCAGCCTAGCAACAGCCTTCATAGAAAACCTCAGAGTGGCCGGATGTGCTGGCTCACGCCTGTAATCCCAATACTTTGGGAGGCCAAGGCAGGCAGATCACGAGGTCAGGAGTTCGAGACCAGCCTGGCCAATATGGTGAAATCCCATCTCTACTAAAAATACAAATATTAGCCAGGTGTGGTGGCCCGCACCTGTAGTCCCAGCTACTAGGGAGGTTGAGGTAGAAGTATTGCTTGAACGCAGAAGGCAGAGGTTGCAGTGAGCTGAGATCAAGCCACTGCACTCCAGCCTGGGCAACAGAGCAAGACTCCATCTAAAAAAAAAAAAAAGAAAAGAAAAGAAAATCTCGGAGTGGGGAACTGAAGTGCTACAAATTCCTCCTGCCTCTGGGCAGATTTTGTAGTGACTAGATCAAGACTGAGCCTGCAGGTGGTATTGAGTGCCTCCAGCTAAGGGGAAGGAAGGAGACAGAGGCTGCTCCCAAAAGAAGGTCTAACAAACTCTAAAGGAGGTGTGTGCACCAGGCATGGTGGCTCACACCTGTAATCATAGCATTTTGGGAGGTCGAGGCGGGCAGATTGCCTGAGCTCAGGAGTTCGAGACCAGCCTGGGCAACACGGTGAAACCCGGTCTCTACTAAAAAAAAAAAAATACAAAAAATTAGCTGGGAGTGGTGGCATGTGCCTGTAGTCCCAGCTATTCGGGAGGTTGAGGCAGGAGAATGGCTTGAACTCGGGAGGCGGAGGTTGCAGTGAGCCGAGATCGTGCCACTGCACTCCAGCTTAGGCGACAGAGCGAGACTCTGTCTCCAAAAAATAATAATAATAATAATAAAAAGGAGATGTGTGCCCATATGCCCTGCAACTGCTGTAACTCTGCCACTCTTTGCATGCATGCAAATACTCATTATTGGACAGGGAAAATGATTAATCCTAGTTGTCTTGGAGGACTTGGAGCCACTGTCTGTTGGACTTACTTCACCCATACCGGTATGTCTGTTGGGGGTGGAGTTCAAGATCAGGCAAGAGAAAAACACGTAAAGGAAGTAGTCTCCCAACTGACCTGAGTCATAGCACCCCTAGCCCCTACAAAGGACTAGATCTCAAAACTACATGAAACCCTCCGTACCCATACTCACCTGGTAAGCCTATTTAATACCACTCTCACTGGGCTCCATGAGGTCTTGGCCCAAAACCCTACTAACTGTTGGATGTGCCTCCCCCTGCACTTCAGGCCATACATTTCAATCCCTGTACCTGAATGATGGAACAACTTCAGCACAGAAATAAACACCACTTCCATTTTAGTAGGACCTCTTGTTTCCAATCTGGAAATAACCCATACCTCAAACCTCACCTGCATAAAATTTAGCAATACTATAGACACAACCAACTCCCAGTGCATCAGGTGGGTAACTCCTCCCACACGAATAGTCTGCCTACCCTCAGGAATATTTTTTGACTGTGGTATCTCAGCCTATCGTTGTTTGAATGGCTCTTCAGAATCTATGTGCTTCCTCTCATTCTTAGTGCCCCCATGACCATCTACACTGAACAAAATTTATACAATCATGTTGTACCTAAGCCCTGCAACAAAAGAGTACCCATTCTTCCTTTTGTTATTGGAGCAGGAGTGCTAGGCGAACTAGGTACTGGCATTGGCGGTATCACAACCTCTACTCAGTTCTACTACAAACTATTTAAAGAACCAAATGGTGACATGGAACGGGTCGCCAACTCCCTGGTCATCTTGCAAGATCAACTTAACTCCCTAGCAGCAGTAATCCTTCAAAATCGGAGAGCTTTAGACTTGCTAACCGCCAAAAGAGGGGGAACCTGTTTATTTTTAGGGGAAGAATGCTGTTATTATGTTAATCAATCCAGAATCGTCACTGAGAAAGTTAAAGAAAGTTGAGATCAAATACAACGTAGAGCAGAGGAGCTTCAAAACACCGGATGCTGGGGCCCCCTCAGCCAATGGATGCCCTGGATTCTCCCCTTCATAGGACCTCTAGCAGCTATAATATTGTTACTCCTCTTTGGACCCTGTATCTTTAACCTCCTTGTTAAGTTTGTCTTTTCCAGAATCAAAGCTGTAAAGCTACCAATGATTCTTCAAATGGAGCCCCAGATGCAGTCCATGACTAAGATCTACCGTGGACCCCTGGACCGGCGTGCTAGCCCATGCTCCAATGTTAATGACATTGAAGGCACCCCTCCCAAGGAAATCTCAACTTCACAACCCCTACTACGCCCCAGTTCAGCAGGAAGCAGTTACAGCGGTTGTCGGCCAACCTCCCCAACAGCACTTGGGTTTTCCTGTTGAGAGGGGGATCTAAAAGACAGGACTAGCTGGATTACCTAGGCTGACTAAGAATACTTAAGCCTAGCTGGGAAAGTGACCACATCCACCTTTAAACACAGGGCTTGCAACTTAGCTCACACCCGACCAATCAGGTAGTAAAGAGAGTTCACTAAAATGCTAATTAGGCAAAAAACGGGAGGTAAAGAAATACCCAATCATCTATTGCCTGAGAGCACAGCGGGAGGGACAATGATCGGGATATAAACCCAGGCATTGGAGCTGGCAACAGCTAACCTCTTTGGGTTCCCTCCCTTTGCATGGGAGCTCTGTTTTCACTCTATTAAATCTTGCACCTGAAAAAAAAAAAAAAAAAAGGAGGTGTGTGTTCTCTCACTGGAACGCATAACCTAATAAAAATTAAATTTAAAAACCTCAGCTGGAATGCATTAAGAAACAAAGAGAACTGGGAAAGAATAAATGCAGTTGAGTTGGGATGTTAAATTACATTTTCCTATTTTCTTAGTTTTGGAGCTTAGAACAATAGGTGGCAAGTACCCCTATATAAAGAGATATGTCAGATCATTTATGCAGGACTTGCTCAAGGGGTAGCCTCCAAATTGGTTCTGAAACCTGTAGCCCATTACCCACTTTTGGCCTGAGAAAAGAAAATCAAGGAGAGGAAGTTTGAAAAGTGAAGATTTCTTTGAAGAGAACTGTCAAGAGTGCTGTGGTTTTCTTGCTCTCAAGTCAAGGGCAAGCAAGGAGTGAGTGGGAAAGATTAGCATCTCATGGTGACATGTGCTGAGTGGAAGAAACGCTCTGTGGCTACTGGCAACTAGAGCAGAATGTGGTGAGAAGATTTCTTGGGACAGTGTGACATGAGTGCCTTGAGTTGTGAGGTAGAGAGACTCATCTGTTATCTCACCTGAGAGCTAGGTGAGAGGCTTATTGGAAGACAGAAAAGACAATAGGGTAAAGGGCTAGGGAAGCGGGGGTTGCAGTGAGTTTGAAAGGTAGTAGTAAGAAAGACTAAAATCATTCCTTCCTTTGGACAAAAGATAAGAAGCCTGAATTCTTTTTTTAGCTCTATTACAAATGAGTTGTGCTAGTATGGAAAAACTACTAGAACCCTCTAGGTTTGTTTTCTCTTCTATAAAAGGAAGAATTGAGGCTGGACACAGTGGCTCATGCCTGTAATTTCAGCACTTTGGGAGGCCAGGGGAGGATTACTTGAGGCCAGGAGTTAGAGACCAGCCTGGGCAACATAGTGAGAATCCATCTCTACAAAAAAAAAAAAATTATTTTAATTAGCCAGATATGGTAGTATGTCCCTGTAGTCTCAGCTACTCAGGAGGCTGAAGTGGGAGGATCACTTGTGCCCAGGAGTTGGAAGTTATGGTGAGCTTTTTTTTGTTGTTGTTCCCATCCATGCTGGAGTGTAGTGGCACGATCTCAGCTCACTGCAACCTCTGCCTCCCGGGTTCAAGCGATTCTCGTGCCTCAGGCTCATGCCACCACACCCAGCTAATCTTTATATTTTTAGAAGAGACTGGGTTTTGCCATGTTGGCCAGGCTGGTCTCGAACACCTGACCTCAGGCGATCCGCCTGACTGGGCCTCCCAAAGTGCTGGGATTACAAGCATGAGCCACCATGCCCAGTGACAATGAGCTTTGAGTGTGCCACTGTACTCCAGCCTGGACATCAGAGCAAGACCCTGTCTCTCAAAAAAAAAAAAAAAAAAAACAGGGCCGGGCACGGTGGCTCACTCTTGTAATTCCAGCAATTTGGGAGGCCGAGGTGGGCGGATCACCTGAGGTCGGGAGTTCGAGACCAGCCTGACCAACATAGAGAAACATCGTCTCTACTAAAAATACAAAATTAGCAGGACGTGGTGGCACATGCCTGTAATCCCAGCTACTCGGGAGGCTGAGGCAAGAGACTTGCTTGAACCTGGGAGGCGGAGGTTGCGGTGAGCTGAGATCGTGCTATTGCACTCCAGCCTGGGCAATAAGAGCGAAACTCTGTCTCAAAAAAAAAAAAAAAGAGATGGCCAGGTGCAGTGGCTCATGCCTGTAATCCCAGCACTTTGGGAGGCCGAGAGGGGAGATCATGAGGTCAGGAGATTGAGACCATCCTGGCCAACATGGTGAAACCCCATCTCTACTAAAATACAAAAAATTAGCTGAGTGTGGCGGCACCTGCCTGTAGTCCCAGCTACTCGGGAGGCTGAAGCAGGGGAATCGCTTGAACCCGGAGGCAGAGGTTGCAGTGAGCCAAGATCACGCCACTGCACTCCAGCCTGGTGACAGAGCAAGACTCCTTCTTAAAAAAAATAGAAAGGAAAAATTGGACTAGACTGTCTTTAAGGTAGGGACCTTTTATGACTCTCTAGTTCTACAGGTGTATTCTGATGAGCTCCATGGTGACTCATGGACTGGGATGAATTATTATGGTATACAGATGGTCTCTGACTTATGATGGTTCAACTTAGGATTTTTGACTTCAGGAGGTACCCATACAATCATTCTGTTTTCACTTTCAGAACAGTGTTCAATCAAGTACATGAGATACTTAAGACTTCATTATAAAGTAGGCTTTGTGTTAGATGACTTTGCCCAACTATAGGCTAATGTAAGTGTTCTGAGCACATTTAAGGTAGACTAGGCTAAGCTCCGAAGTTTGGTTTAGGTTAGGTGTACTAAATGCACTTTTTTTTTTTTTTTTTGAGACAGAGGAGTCTCACTCTGTTGCCCAGGCTGGAGTGCAGCGGCACGATCTCGGTTCACTGCAAGCTCCGCCTCTCAGGTTCATACCATTCTCCTGCCTCAGCCTCCTGAGTAGCTGGGAGTACAGGCACCCGCCACCACTCCTGGCTTATTTTTTTGTATTTTTAGTAGAGTCGGGGTGTCACCGTGTTAGCCAGGATGGTCTCGATCTCCTGACCTCGTGATCCGCCTGCCTTGGCCTCCCAAAGTGCTGGGATTACAGGCGCGAGCCACCATGCCCAGCCTAAATGCACTTTTTTTCTTTTTTTGAGACGGAGTTTTGCTTTTGTCGCCCAGGCTGGAGTGCAGTGGCACAGTCTTGGCTCACTGCAACCTCTACCTCCCGGGTTCAAGCAATTCTCCTGCCTCAGCCTCCTGAGTAGCTGGGATTACTCGTGCCTGCCACCATGCCTGGCTAATTTTTCTATTTTTTTTTTTTTTTTTTTTTAGTAAAGACAGGGTTTCACCATGTTGGCCAGGCTGGTCTTGAACTCCTGACCTTAGGTGATCCACCTGCCTCGGCCTAAATGCACTTTTGACTTACTAGATTTTCAATTTACAATGGGTTTATCAGTACATAACCCCATCATAAGTTGCGGAGCATCTATAAATACATTCCATAATATTAGGCCCTAGAAATTCAGGTCTCAAGGGGACAGTATTCTCCCCTCCCTAACCGCTCTTCTCTTAACATTATTTAAAAGATGAATTAATTTTAAAATTTCCAAAAATAGAGTTATCCATAATACCACTACCTGACACATTACTAATTATATTTCAGTGGGTGCTTTTCTAGACCTTGACCATCTCTCCTTGTAGTTGCTGCAGTTGCAATCAGTAGCACACACTTTTTGTGGTCTTACAGCACACTAGTTCAGTAAACTGTGCATAACCAATGGGAGTGAAGTTTAAGGTGCTTCCAATCATTGCACAATAAATGCAGGCAAGGAATAACTTGGCCTTTAATAAAACAGTCTTTAGGGGCACAGAACTACTCTGCTGTGGCCTCTCTTACTCCTTAAGCCCCTTCCTCCTCCCCACCCTTACTTCCTGATCCCTTCAGCAACAGCAGCAACTTAAGAGGCCCAGTAAATCTAAGCCGCAGCAGCCTCTGACCTACATGACACTCACTCTGAGGCGGCTTCTGGTTTAGAAATGCCAGGTAATCCATTTAGCAGACATTGCAGCACACAGAGAAAATAGATATCAAAGGGATGTGGATATGCGCTGCTGATTCTGCTATTGTTAAGGCAGGTTTCAAGAGATGTTGACAGACAATCAGCAAGGTGATGACACTCACCCACTTACTTCCAACTCATGTGTCTCAATTCTTATGACCTCAATCCTACCGACAGGAACACACGTGAATCCAGCCCCAGCAAAGTCAAGCTTTTCGGAAGTCTTTGTACATCCTCATCTAGACATAGACAGAAATGGTTTAGACTGGGCTTTGAGGGGCAATGCCTTAAAGCTTAGTCTAATATTATGGAAGTTTAAAGAGCAGGTGAGAGGTAGAGAGCAATGGGTTAGAGAAGCAGGTAGGTAGGGATTGGAACATGGAGTCCTTGAAGATTACAGGGGATAAAAAGCCTCAGATAATTTGCAATAAGGATGTGACACACTCAGATCTATGTTTTAGAAAGATCACTCTGGTAACAGTGTGAGGAATGATTTGAATAGGGCAAGACTGGAGGCAGAGACCAGAGGTTATTATAATAGGGTTGGCTGGGCACGATGGCTCACGCCTGTAATCCTGGCACTTTGGGAGGTGGAGGCAGGTGGATCACCTGAGGTCAGGAGTTCCCAACCACCCTGACCAACATGGTGAAACCCCGTCTCTACTAAAAATACAAAAAATTACCCGGGCAGGGTGGCAGGCGCCTGTAATCCCAGCTACTTGGGAGGCTGAGGCAAGAGAATTGCTTGAACCCAGGAGGCGGAGGTTGCAGGGAGCCGAGATTGCACCATTGCACTCCAGCCTGGGTAACAAGGGAAACTCTATTTCAAAAAAAAAAAAAGTTAGGGTTTCTTCTTGTTTTGTTTTTTTTTTGAGACGGAGTCTCACTCTGTCACCCAGGCTGGAGTTCAGTGGCACGATCTTGGCTCACCAAAACCTCCATCTCCCGGGTTCAAGTGATTCTCCTGCCTCAGCCTCCCGAGTAGCTGGGATTACAGGCACCCGCCACCATGCCTGGCTAATTTTTGTATGTTTAGTAGAGACGGGGTTTCAGCATTTTGGCCAGGCTGGTCTTGAACTCCTGACCTCGTGATCTACCCACCTCAGCCTCCCAAAGTGCTGGGATTACAGGCGTGAGCCACCGTGCCCAGCCTGTTTTTTTTTGTTGTTGTTTTGTTTTGAGACAGGGTCTTGCTCTTGCTCTGTTGCCCAAGCTGGAGTGCAGTGGAATCAGTGGAATGATCATAGCTCACTGCAGCCTTGAACTCATAGGCTCAAGCCACCCTGCTGCCTCAGCCTCCCGAGTAGCTGAGACCACAGGCATGCGCCACCACACCTGGCTAATTTATATTTATTTATTTATTTATTTTATTGATATGGAGTCTAACTCTGACACCCAGGCTGGAGTGAAGTGGTGCAATCTCAGCTCACTGCAACCTCTGCCTCCCAGGTTCAAGCAATCCTTCTCCTCAGCCTCCCAAGTAGCTGGGACTACAGGCATGCACCACCACGCCCGGCTAATTTTTGTATTTTTGGTGGAGACAGGGTGTCACCATGTTGACCAGGCTGCTGACCTCAGGTGATCTGCCTGCCGCAGCCTCCCAAAATACTGGGATTACAGGAATGAGCCACCGAACTCAGCCCTATTTTGTATGTTTTGTAGAGACAGGGTCTTGTTATATTGATCAGGCTGGCCTTGAACTCGTGGCCTCAAGCAGTCCTTCCTCCTCAGCCTCCCAAAGTGCTGGCATTACAGGCATGAGCCACCATACCCAGCTGTAGTTCAGTTTAAGACATTAAAATTTCTAGGAAAGCATGGAATTTCACCATTAGAAGAGGAAAAAGGACAAAATGCACTAGAAGAGGAAATCTTACCCCTTGGAGAGCTTCATAGATAAAATAACTTTTGTGGTGTTGCCTTTTTTTTTTTTTTTTTTTTTTTGGCGTTGATCGTTTTAAAGATACAAATGTTTATATCTATTTTTCTGATTACAAAAGCATTTATACTCATAAAAACTTCAAACAATTCAGAATTCTTTAACTTAGGAAGTAAAAGTCCTGCACAATCCTGCCTACAAGAAGCAGAATAACTTTCTCACAGTGGGAAATTCTGCCTTACCAGACAAAGGACTTGAAATGCCTCATTCTCAAAAAGTAATGCAATGTTTAGGTTCCCTAATGAGTAAATGATGAAAGATTATTCAGAGGAGGAAAAAGGCAAGAATAACTGGATGAAAAAGGTCAAAAGCTAAAAGAGCTGACTAATTCTCAATTATATTTTCTGCTGAGGTGTTTATTTGCCAGAAGCTATCTAGGGTGCTTGACTAAGTGGGTGTCTAGTGGTTAGTTCTGCAGAATAAATAAGCTCTAGAAGTTTATTATTGGTGAACTGTTCATATGTTCCAGTTTTCTTTTGAAAAGAAGAGTGTTGATACAAAAATTAGCCGGGTGTGGCAGGGCACAGTGGCTCACGCCTATAATCCCAGCACTTTGGGAGGCCGAGGCGGGCAAATCATGAGGTCAGGAGTTCAGGACCAGTCTGGCCAACATAGTGAAAACCCGTCTCTACTAAAAATACAAAAAATTAGCTGGGTGTGGTGGTGGGTGCCTGTAATCCCAGCTATTCAGGAGGCTAAGGCAGGAGAATCGCTTGAACCAGGAGGTGGAGGTTGCAGTGAGCTGAGATCGTGCCACTGCACTCCAACCAAGGTGACAGTGCAAGACTCCATCTCAACAACAACAACAAAAATTAGCCGGGCGAGGTGGCAGGCGCCTGTAATCCCAGCTACTTGGGAGGCTGAGGCAGGAGAATCGCTTGAACCCAGGAGGCGGAGGTTGCAGTGAGCTGAGATTGAGCCACTGCACTCCAGCCTGGGTGACAGAGTGAGACTCCATCTCAAAAAAAAATACTAATAATAGGGCCGGGCATGGTGTCTCATGCCTGTAATCCCAGCACTTTGGGAGGCTGAGGTGGGAGGATCACGTGAGGTCAGGAGTTTGAGACCAGCCTGGCCAACATGGTGAAACCCTGTCTCTACTAAAATTACAAAAATTAGCTGGGCATGGTGGTGCACACCTATAGTTCCAGCTACTTGGGAGGCTGAGGCAGGAGAATTGCTTGCACCTGGGAGGCAAAGTTTGCAGTGAGCCGAGATCGCACTACTGCACTCCAGCTTGGGTGACAGAGGAAGACTCCATCTTAAAAAATAATAATAATAATAATAATAATAATAATAAAGGAAGAGTGTTGTTGGGAGACTGGAAAGGGTTTTTTATTCCTAGCAGACCTCTGAACACAATGGAGAATGACAGAAAATAATTCAGTATCTGTATGCCCATTTGTACATATCAGATTGGGATAATAATACCCGTCTGCCTTCCCAGGGTGGTGCTAAGTTAATTGAAAGAGTTCTTCTTGGTCATTTGCTTTGAAAACATAGAAAAAATTTCGGCCAGGCACAGTGGCTCATGCCTGTAATCCCAGGATTTTGGGAAGCCGAGGTGGGTGGATCACTTGAGTTCAGGAGTTTGAGACCAGCTTGGCCAACATGGTGAAGATTGGTCAGTGGTTTAAGTCTGTTGCCAAAAGTAAAGGGATATACTCAAAAAAAAACAGACGTTTCATTTTGGGATCATCCATCATAATGATGTTCAATCCGTTTTACTTCAGAAAGATTTTATTTTTTTTGGCTGTTTATTTTTATTTACGGTTTTATTATTTTATTATTTTTTATTAGGTTTTTTGGTTTGATTTTTGTTTTCTGTTTTTTTTTTTTTAGATGAAGTCTTACTCTGTTGCCCAGGCTGGAGTGCAATGGTGTGATTTTGGCTCACCGCAACCTCTGCCTCCCAGGTTCAAGCAATTCTCCTGCCTCAGCCTCCCAAGTAGCTGGGAGTAGTGCCTGTCACCGCGCCTGTCTAATTTTTGCACTTTTTAGTGGAGACCAGATTTCACTGTGTTAGCTAGGCTGGTCTTGAACTCCTAACCTCAAGTGATCTGCCTGCCTTGGCCTCCCAGATTGCTGGGATTACAGGTATAAACCACTGCACCCGGCCAGTTTTTTATTAATTTTTAAAATGAGATTGGGTCTCATGAGATTCCACCCTGGCTGGAGTGCTGTGGCTCAATTACAGCTCACTGCAGCCTTAACCTCCCGGGCTCAAGCCTCAGTCTCCCAAGTAACTGGGACTACAGGCTCGTGCCATCACGCCTAGCTAATTAAAAAAAAAATTATTATTAATATATATTTTTTGAGACAGAGTTTCGTTCTTGTTGCCCAGGCTGGAGTGCAATGGCGTAATCTGGGCTCACTGCAACCTCCGCCTGCAGGATTCAAGCAATTCTCCTGTCTCAATCTGGGCTCACTCCAACCTCCGCCTGCAGGATTCAAGCAATTCTCCTGTCTCAGCCTCCCAAGTAGCTGGGATTACAGGCATGCGCCACTGCACCCGGCTAATTTTGTATTTTTATTAGAGATGGGGTTTCTCCATGTTGGTCAGGCTAGTCTTAAACTCTCAACCTCAGGTGATTTGCCCGCCCTGGCCTCCCAAAGTGCTGGGATTACAGATGTGAGCCACCAAGTCTGGCCCTAAAAATTATTATTATCTGTAGAGACAAGTTCTTACTATGTTAGCCAGGCTAGTCTCAAACTCCTGGGCTCAAGCCATCCTCACACCTTGGCCTCCCAAACTGTTGTGATTACAGGCATGAGCCACCGCACCTGGCCTGCTGTTTATTTTTTATTTATTTATTTATTTTTCTGAGACAGAGTCTCGCTCTGTCAACCAGGCTACAGTGTAGTGGCGCAATCTTGGCTCAGTACAACCTCCGCCTCCCAGGTTGAAGCAATTCTCCTGCCTCAGCCTCCCGAGTAGATGGGATTACAGGCATCTGCCACTACGCCCGGCTAATTTTTTGTGTTTTAGTGCTGGGATTACAGGCATGATCAACTGTGCCCGGCTGCTGTTTGTTTTTAATTTATTTAGCAGAAACCATAAATGAGCTACCTGTTTTAATATCTTTAATTATATTTGCTCTGTCTGCCAGAATTAATAAAATTAAATCCAAAAGAAGGATAAGAGTTGCCAGGCGCAGTGGCTCACGCCTGTAATCCCAGCACCTTGGGAGGCTGAGGCAGGCAGATCACAAGGTCAGGAGTTTGAGACCAGACTGGCCAACATTGTGAAATCCTATCTCTACTAAAAGTACAAAAATTAGCTGGGAGTGGTGGCATGCGCCTGTAATCCCAGCTACTTGGGCAGCTTGAACCCGGGAGGTGGAGTTTGCAGTGAGCCGAGACTGAGCCACTGCACTCCAGCCTGGACAACAGAGCGACACTCCTTTTGAAAAAAAAAAAAAAAAAAAAAAAAAAGGCCAAAAGCATTGTGTTATACTACATGTTGAAGCATAGAAACATACGTGGCCTAGCTGGGCTCTGTGGCTCATGTCTGTAATCCCAGCACGTTGGGAGGCCGAGGCAGGTGGATCACAAAATCAGGAGTTTGAGACCAGCCTGGCCAATATGGTGAAACCCTGTCTCTACTAAAAATACAAGAATTAGCCGGACATGGTGGCACATGTCTGTAGTCCCAGCTACTAAGGAGGCTGAGGCAGAAGAATTGCTTGAACCCAGGAGGTGTAGGTTGCATTGAGCCAAGATCATGCCACTGCACTCCAGCCTGGGTGACAGAGAAAGACTCTTCTGTCTCAAAAAAAGAAAAAAAAAAAAAAAGAAAGAAACATATGTGGCCCACGAAGTCTCAGATTAATAAATCTCATGATTAAACAGAACATACATGAAACTAACACATGAACATGCATTTTGACATAGAATTCTAAAATTCAACATTATAGATATTTTCTTTACGAGGAAATTCAGTATTATTATTATTCATATTTTAAGAGACAGGGTCTTGCCCTGCTGTTCAGGCTGGAGTGCAGTGGTGCAATCTTAGCGCCCTGCAGCCTGGAACTCCTTGGCTCAAGAGATCCTCCTGCCTCAGCCTCCTCAGTAGCTGGAACTACAGGTGTAAGACATCACACCTGGCTAATTTTTAAAAAGTTTTGCAAAGACGGGGTCTAGATATGTTGTCCAGGCTAGTCTTAAACTCCTGCCCTCAAGTGACCTTCCCACTTCAGCCTTCCAAAGTGCTGGGATTACAGGCGTGAGCCACCGGGCCCAGCCCGCACATTCATTTCTTTGGGCTCCCATAGCACCACTAGGACAAGTATTACAATCTGACTTTAGTTACTGCTAGTTATGTATTTTTCTTTCTGTCCTGGTAGAGTGTGATTTTTCTTGAGGGAAGGACCTTTCAACACAGTTCATTGCAACAATTCAGGTAATCAATAATATTTGTCGAACTGAATCATAAAAGGAACTGAAAAAACTGCAGAAATCTCTGGCAAGAGACAATGTAGTTTAAGAATAACACCTTTAGGGCCAGGCACGGTGGCTCACGCCTGTAATCCCAGCACTTTGGGAGGCTGAGGTGGGCAGATCACTTGAGGTTAGGAGTTTGAGACCAGCCTGGCCAACATGGTGAAACCCTGTGTGTACTAAAAATACAAAAAATTAGCTGGGCCTGGTGGTACTCACCTGTAATCCCAGCTAGCCAGGAGGCTGAAACAGAGAATCAGTTGAACCAGGGAGTTGGAGGTTGCAGTGAGCCAAGATATTGCCACTGCACTCCAGCCTGGGCAAGAGAGCCACTTGACCCTGTCTCAGAAAAAATGAAATGAAATAAAATAAAATCTCTCAGGATATGAATTCCGATAAATCTTAGCTTATTCAAAGCAGACATTTTAAAGGTAAGGACCGCTTGTGTTGTAGAATAAAGGCCAAATTCACTCACCTACCAAGAAGAGTTAAGAGGGCATCAGCTCGGTCTGCTTACTATTGCTGTCTCTCTAACCCCATTTTTTAACAGCAAATAATTTACATCAGAAAGCAGTCTCCCAAAGTATTTGGGAGTGGCACAATCTCTGCTTACTGCAACCTCTACCTCCCAGGTTCAAGTGATTCTTCTGCCTTAACCTCCTGAGTAGCTAGGATTACAGATATAAGCCACAACACCTGTCTAATTTTTGTATTTTTAGTAGAGACGAGATTTCTCCATTTTGGCCATACTGGTCTCAAACTCACAGCCTCAAGTGATCTGCCCACCTGGGCCTCCCAAAGTACTGGGATTACAGGTGTGACCCACCACATCTGGCCGAGATTTTATTCTTTAAGCAAGCAGAAGAGAGAGCTCTCAACTGACACATTATATGGTCTTGACATGTGGTGGGCCCCAAACATATGGGTAACTGGCTTACTAAGAAATCTCAGGACAGGCATAGTCAGGTTGGTCTCAAACTCCTGGCCTCAAGTGATCCGCCTGCCTCGGCCTCCCAAAGTGCTGGGATTACATGCGTGAGCCACTGTGCCTGGTCAGTAATTACTAAATGTTATCATTTTTAATTAACGCTTTCAACAATGTTGTGGTAAATCCGCCTCTCTTGTACCTTATGAAACCTGGGGCACATCCTATGACTTGATTACTAAATTTCAGCTTTGTCTGTTTAAAACATCAATCTCATTATTGGTTTAAAGCTCTCTGCCTCTCTAACCCAAGCTACACTTATGGCAAGAGGAGATTGGTTGACATTTTCTTTTTTTTTTTTGAGACGGAGTCTGGCTCTGTCGCCCAGGCTGGAGTGCAGTGGCGCAATCTCAGCTCACTGCAAGCTCCGCCTCCCGAGTTCACGCCATTCTCCTGCCTCAGCCTCCGGAGTAGCTGGGACTACAGGCGCCCGCCACTACGCCGGGCTAATTTTTTGTATTTTTAGTAGAGACGGGGTTTCACCGTGTTAGCCAGGGTGGTCTTGATCTCCTGACCTCGTGATCCACCCGCCTCGGCGACCCAAAGTGCTAGGATTACAGGCGTGAGCCACCGTGCCCGGCCAAGTTGACATTTTCAATCCTTCTCCCACTCTGGTGCCCTGGAAGGCAGGTGGAGGCCAGGCCATGCCCTGGCATACCTTGTCCCCTTCCCTGTTCTGGGCAAGAGGTCAGGGAGAGAGATGAGACAGTCAGGGTTCTTCCCCCATAGCTAGTCACCTATTGTTTGGGAGGCATGCCTGGTGTCTACCACTCTGGTTCAGTTTTGTTCTCGCCTCTGTCGCCAGGGTGGAGTGCAGTGGCGCCATTTCGGCTCACCGCAACCACCATCTCCTGGGTTCAAGCAATTCTCCTGCCTCAGCCTCCCGAGTAGCTGGGATTACAGACATGTGCCACCACGCCCAGCTCATTTTGTATTTTTAGTAGAGACAGAGTTTCACCTCGGCCTCTCAAAGTGCTGGGGTTACAGGCATGAGCTGGGAAATCAAGTTTTCTATTAATATATTTTTATTTTTGAGACAGTCTCACTCTGTCACCCAGGCTGGAGTGCAGTGGTGCGATCTCATCTCATTGCAACCTCCGCCTCCCGGGTTCAAGGGATTCTCATGCCTCAGCCTCCTGACTAGCTGGGATTACAGATGTGCACCACCACACCTGGCTAATTTTTTCTATTTTTAGTAGAGATAGGTTTCACTCTGTTGGCCAGGCTAGTCTCGAACTCCTGGCCTCAAGTGATCCACCCATCTCAGCCTCCCAAAGCGCGGGGATTACAGGCATGAGCCACCACATCTGGCCAACTTTTCTATTAATTTTTATTTTTAGCCGGGCGCGATGTCTCACGCCTGTAATCCCTGCACTTTGGGAGGCCGAGGTGGGCGTCACAAGGTCAGGAGATCAAGACCATCCTGGCTAACACAGTGAAATCCCGTCTCTACTAAAAATACAAAAAAAAAAAAAAAAAAAAAAAAAATTAGCCGGGCGTGGTGGTGGGTGCCTGTAGTCCCAGTTACTTGGAGGCTGAGGCAGGAGAATGGCTTGAACCCGGGAGGCGGAGCTTACAGTGAGCCGAGATCGTGCCACTGCACTACAGCCTGGGCGACAGAGTGAGACTGTCTAAAAAAAAATTTTTTTTTTAATTTTTATTTCAATTTTGTTTATTTATTTGGAGACGGAGTTTTGCTCTTGTCCCCCAGGCTGGAGTGCAATGGTGAGATCTCAGCTCACTGCAACCTCTGCCTCCCAGGTTCAAGCGATTCTTCCATCTCAGCCTCCTGAGTAGCTGGGATTACAGACACCCGCCACCATGCCCGGCTAGTTTTTGTATTTTTAGTAGAGATGGAGTTTCACCATCTTGGCCAGGCTGTTCTCAAATTCCTGACCTCGTGATCTGCCCCCGTCAGCCTCCCAAGTGCTGGGATTACAGGCGTGAGCCACTGCTCCCGGCCTATTATTAATTTTTAATTGTTTGTTTTGGAGAGAAGACTAAATTAGCAAAACCACAAGTCTAGTAGTTTTTTTTTTTTTTTTGAGAGGGAGTCTCGCTCTGTTGCCCAGGCTGGAGTGCAGTAGCGCGATCTCGGCTCACTACAAGCTCCGCCTCCTGGGTTCACGCCATTCTCCTGCCTCAGCCTCCCGAGTAGCTGGGACTGCAGGCGCCCGCCACCACGCCCAGCTAATTTTTTGTATTTTTAGTAGAGACGGGGTTTCACCGTGTTAGCCAGCATGGTCTCTAACTCCTGACCTCGTGATCCGCCCTCCTCGGCCTCCCAAAGTGCTAGGATTACAGGCGTGAGCCACCGCGCCCGGCCTGTTTTGTTTTGTTTTTGATAGGCCTCACTCTGTTGCCCAGGCTGGAGTGCAGTGGCATGATGTTGGCTCACTGCAACCTCCACCTCCTGGGTTCAAGTGAATCTTCTGCCTCAGCCTCCCGAGTAGCTGGGATTACAGGTGGGCGCCACCACACCTGGCTAATTTTTGAATTTTTAGTAGAGACGGGGTTTCACCATATTAGCCAGGCTGGTCTCGAACTCCTGACCTCATGATCTGCCTGCCTCAGCCCCCCGATGTGCTGGGATTACAGGCCTGAGCCACCATGCCCGGCCAGAAATCTAATTCTATAGTAGTAATAATGATAATAATAATAATAATGTTTTATATCGTTAATTAAATTCTGGAAAAATAGCCAGATGTGGTGGCTTGCCCCTGTAATTCTAGCACTTTAGGAGGCCAAGGTGGGCGGATCACTTGAGGTCAGGAGTACCAGACCAGGTTGGCTAACATGGTGAAACACCGTCTCTATTAAAAATACAAAAATTAGCTGGGCATGGTGGTATGTGCCTGTAATCCCAGCTACTCAGGAGGCTGAGGCAAGAGAATTCCTTGAACCCGGGAGGTGGAGGTTGCAGTGAGCCAAGGTCGCACCATTGCACTCTAGCCTAGGGGACAAGAGGGAAACTCCATCTCAAAAAAAAAAAAAAGAAAAAAAATTCTGGGAAAATAAAGTAAAAAGTCTTTGGTTATAAGTGACAGAAGCCCAGATCAAACTAGTGTAAGCTCCAGAGGGGTAATTTGTTTTTTTGTTTGTTTGTTTGTTTTTTGTTTTTGTTTTTGTTTTGAGACACAGTTTCGCTCTTCTTACCCCAGGCTGGAGTGCAATGGCGCTATCCCAGCTGACTGCAATCTCCGCCTCCCTAGTTCAAGCGATTCTCCTTGCTCAGCCTCCCGAGTAGCTGGGATTATAGGCGCCCGCCACCATGCCTGGCTAGTTTTTGTATTTTTAGTAGAGACGAGGTTTCACCGTGTTGGCCAGGCTGGTCTCGAACTCACTCAGGTGATCCGCCCGCCTCCGCCTCCCAAAGTGCTGGGATTACAGGTGTGAGCACTGCACCTGGCCAGAGGGGTAATTTGTTGGTTCATATAAACAAACCCTGAGAAAGGGAGAAGTGAAGCTTACCCTAGGACTTCACAGCCTGTGGAATCTCTCACTATTTTTTCAGACTAATTTCAAAAATCCACGGGAAGGACTTGGATTGGCTCATCCCGTGTCACATGCCAACATTTGGACCAGCACTTATATTCAACCAGTGTGCCCAGGTACCACCGTCTATCTAGTGTCTACTCTGATTGGTAACAACCTTTGACCTGCCGACTATTAAATGCTTTGAGTTATCACCATTGCCTTGGATCACTTACTGTGGCCAGGTAAAGAGGTCCCTTGATTGGGAGGAGGCAATGTGATAGGTCTGTAATCATAGGAAGGAGGAAAAGGATACTAAGTATATAAAAACTGTAGGCCTTAAGCATAATATGCAAATATATATATATGTATGTGTATATATATAATTTCCCAACTTTTTATTTAAAAAATTTTCAAACGTGAAGAAAAGTTGCAAGAATGGTATAATGACCACCCGTATGCTCTTCGTCTAGATTGCCTAACTGCTAACATTTTTCCCATATTTGCTTTCCCTCTCTCTCTCTCCCTGCACACACATACACACACACACACACACACACACACACACACTCACTCACACTCTCACTTTTCTTGGCCGAACCAGTTGAGAGTAAGTTGCAGTCATCATTAACATTTTACCCCCAAACTCGTCAAGATGTAGCTCTTCAGAACAAAGATGTTCTCATATATAACTACAGAATAATTATCATACTAAAGAAACTTAATATTGAATCAATGCTTTTTTTTTTTTTTGAGACAGTCTTGCTCTGTTGTCCAGGGGCACGGTCACAACTCATTGCAGCCTCGATCTCCCTGGCTCAAGCAATCCTCCCACCTCAGCCTCCCAAGTAGCTGTGACCACAGGCACACACCACCACACCCAGCTAATTTTGTATTTTTAGTAGAGGGGTTGTTTCTCCATGTTGGTCAGGCTGGTCTCAAACTCCCGACCTCAGGTGATCCACCAGCCTCAGCCTCCCAAAATGCTGGGGTTACTGGTGTAAGCCACCACACCCGGTCTTTGTTTATTTCTAATACAGGATTGAATACTGTATGGCAAATGGTTGTCACATTTCTCTTGTCTTCTTGAAGAAGAAAACAAAGCTGAATCGGAGCCTAAAAGTGTACCAGTCCTGGCCCGGTGCGGTGGCTCACGCCTGTAATCCTAGCACTTTGGGAGGCCGAGGCGGGTGGATCACGAGGTCAGGAGATCAAGACCATCCTGGCTAACGTGGTGAAACCCCGTCTCTACTAAAAATACAAAATATTAGCCGGGCGTAGTGGCAGGCGCCTGTAGTCCCAGCTACTCAGGAAGCTGAGGCAGGAGAATTGCTTGAACCCGGGAGGTGGAGGTTGCAGTGAGCTGAGATTGCGCCACTGCACCTCAGCCTGGGTGACAGAGCGAGACTCCGTCTCAAAAAAAAAAAAAAAAAAAGTATGCCAGTCCTGCTAATAAGTTTTACTCTCATGAAGGTAAATTCTAGGAAATTTGATTTTGTTTTGTTGCTTTAATAAAGTTATTAACTATCAAGGATTCCACCTAAGTCACTCTTCTATGCTTAGTATATCACTTTATTGATAATTAAATGTATTCTGATGTAAAATAGAAAATAACCACTTTGGGCTGGGCACAGTGGCTCACACCTATAATCCCTGCACTTTTGGAGGCCGAGGCGGGCAGATCACCTGAGGTCAGGAGTTTGAGATCAGCCCAACCAACATGGAGAAACCCCGTCTCTACTAAAAATACAAAATTAGCTGGACGTGGTGGCACATGCTTGTAATCCCAGCTACTTGGGAAGCTGACGCAGGAGAATCCCTTGAACCTGGGAGGCAGAGGTTGAGGTGAGCTGAGATCGTGCCATTGCACTCCAGCCTGGGCAACAAGAGCGAAAATCCATCTCAAAAGAAAGAAAGAAAGAAAGAAAGAAAAGAACCACTTTGCCTTGTATATTTGTGCTTCTCAACAGAAATCCTATAGTAGACTTTCTTACATTTGAGGCAAACAGCTTTTGCCAATCTTTCAAAGCAATAAAAATAGTTTTCATATGATTATGTCTTTGGAAGTCTGGTGCAAAATGTGATTTCACTTAGTGATTGTGGTGTGACAGCTGTAAATTGCTACATTCCAGGTTGGTGCTTCAACATTGTATTTTCAGTGTGACTGAGTTGCTCACATCCGGCTTTGACTGCCTTTTCCACAGAGAAGCTAGCTCTCAGACGAAGCCCCCCAAAAGGAGCGAATCAACACCCTCACAAAGAGATGTTGACAAATCACTGTCTCTTAGAGGTTCTAACTGGGCAATGTCCCATCCAGACATGCTGGACATGAGTATGAGTGTCCGTGTCTTCCGGCCTGGTCAGTAGCCAAGAGGCAGAGAGATCCCCTTGGGGTAGGAGTTCTGCCCTGAGGCCACATGCTTTGGTAGGAAGGCATTGGGCCAGTTTAATAGGGCAGGGAGCCTTATTCAAGGAAGTCAGAAGTAGTGTAGCAGGTTGCAGTATCAAATTCCTCTTGACAGTATATGATTGGGTAATTGTGTAAGTGCTCAATAAATAAATGGTAGAGTGTTCCGGCATACTTCTGGGTACTTGGGGTGCATAAATGAATGGCTAACTCAAGGAGCTCACCGTAACTTGTTTGGGGAGATAGCCTACAGCTGCCAACCCTTCTTGCTAACCATGCCACCCCAACCTCAAAACTGCTTACAACTCATTCAGTGAATTTTCAAATCGTTTTTATTAAGTACTTTGATGTATGCCAGGCACTGTTCTCTGCTTAGGATATACAGAAGTAAACAAGACAGATTGTTCTAGGATTAATGTTGCACACAGAAATGTTATAGTGGCTATTTTAGGGAAGTGGAATTAGATAAAGATATGGATAGGGACTCTTAATTTTTCCTTTTTTTTTTTTTTTGAGACAGTCTTGCTCTGTCATTCAGGCTGGAGTACGGTGGTGCAATCTTGGCTCACTGCAACCTCCGATTCCTGGGTTCAAGTGATTCTCCTGCCTCAGCCTCCCAAATAGCTAGGATTATAGGCACCTGCCACCATGCCCGGCTAATTTTTGTATTTTTAGGAGAGACGGGGTTTCACCATGTTGGCCAGGCTGGTCTCGAACTCCTGACCTCATGATCCTCCCGCCTTGGCCTCCCAAAGTGCTGGGATTGCAGGTGTGAGGCACTGTGCCCAGCCAACTTTTACTTTTTGAACTTTACTATTTGACCTTTTGTTAACAATTTTTTTTTTTTGGCAACAAACTCATCAAAGATCTTCTGAACAATAATGTGCCAGGGATTCTCCTAAGCTTTGAAAAGACAGCAGTGAAGGAAGCAGAAAAAGTCCCCTGACCTCATGGAGCTTAGATTCCAGCTAGGGAGGGACCATAAAACAAATAAATCCAAGCAAATATGCCATGTAATATAATGATGATTGATGATATGTTCTATGAAAAAAATAAATAGAAAATAAAGCTGTTCTTTTTAAAAGGTAATAATATTCCGTTTTGTTCAGATAATTTAGACTATTTAGATACTAGAATTATTTACTGGCCTGGGCAGATAGCATCAAGTGAAATGGGGCAGAGGGCCAAGCCTCAAAGCCTGAACCACCTGGACTCCTGTCCAGCACTCTCTCCACCCAGTACAAATGAAAGGCCAGCTGAGGCCAAGTGCAGTGGTTCACACCTGTAATCCCAGCATTTTGGGAGGCCTAGATGGGAGGATCACTTGAGCTTAAGAGTTTGAGACCAGCCTAGGCAACATGGCAAAATCCTGTCTCTACAAAAAAAAATACAAAAAAGTTTAGCTGGGCGTGGTGTTGCACGCCTGTAGTCCCAGCCACTTGGGAGGCTGAGGTGGGAGGATCGTTAGAGCCCAGGAGGCGGAGATTGCAGTGAGCCGAGATCGTGCCACTGCACTCCAGCCTGAGTGAGTGAGACCTTGTCTCAAAATAAGTAAATGAAAGTCCAGCTGAGCATCCTCCATTCTTTTGAAACTTGAGTGATGTCAATCCAGGGAGGTTGGCCTGGATGATTGCCCTTGACAGGAGCCTAGGCCTTTCCCCAAACAGTTTGGGGACAGAACTCACTGCTGCCCCAGTATTGGAAGGTGCAGACCCTGGCTACCCTGCAACCATAGTCGGCTTCTTCTTTCCAGCTTCACCAGCTGGTTTCCAGGGACCTGATCCTATTGGCTTTTGGTCTGCCTTGTCTGACAGCTTCCTGAATAGTAAGACTTGAAGATTAGTTCAGAATGCCTGACTCCAGCCACCACATTCTAATCTATTTTTAGGACAACATCCTCCTTCTCTGGCTCTCTGAGAAACTGCTCTTCTTTTTCTGTTTCTAAACTATTTCCATTCCCACCTTAGCCTGAGGTCTCCTCATCTGACAAAGCAAAGCTTAGGGGTTCCATTTCCTGCCCACAGCCCAGGGAGAAGATGCTGTTTTCACTAAATTCCTCTAGTCAAGGAAGAGGTAAGAAGACTTCACATTATATTAAATTATTATTATATATATACATATACATATATATATTTTTTGAGATGGAGTCTGCTCTGTCGCCCAGGCTGGAGTGCAGTGGCACGATCTCGGCTCACTGCAACCTCCGCCTCCCAGTTTCAAGCAATTCTCCTGTCTCAGCCTCCTGAGTTGCTGGGATTACAGGTGCACGTCACCACATCCGACTAATTTTTTTGTATTTTTAGTAGAGATGGGGTTTCACCATATCTGTCAGGCTAGTCTCAAACTCCTGACCTCCTGATCCACCCACCTTGGCCTCCCAAAGTGCTGGGATTACAGGCGTGAGCCACTGTGCCCACATGATATTAAATTAAAGAAGCATAGCAAAAATTGTATGCCCACTAACATTACAAGCATTTAAAATCTTTTTGCTTTAATTGCTTTATTCTAATTATTAAGGTAACACAAACCAATTGCAAAAACTTCAGAAAATACAATATAGGCGGGGCGTGGCAGCTCACGCCTGTAATCCCAGCACTTTAGGAGGCCATGGTGGGTGGATCACCTGAGGTCAGGGGTTCGAGACCAGCCTTTACAACCTGGTGAGCCCCATCTTTACTAAAAATGCAAAAATTAGTTGGGCGCGATGGCAGGCACCTGTAATCCCAGCTACTCAGGAGGCTGAGGCAGGAGAATTGTATGAACCCAGGAGGCGGAGGTTACAGTGAACCGAGATCACGCCATTGCACTCCAGCCTGGGCGACAAGAGCGAACCTCCATCTCAAAAAAAAAAAAAAAAAAGATTGCTTTGGCTATTGGGGGTCCCCTGGATTTCATATGAATTTTAGGATCAGCTTGTCAAATTCTGCAAACAATCTAGCTAGGATTTTTTTTTTTTTTTTTTTTTCGAGACGGAGTCTCACCCTGTTGCCCAGGCTGGAGTGCAGTGGACCGATCTTGTCTCACCACAATCTCTGCTTCCTGGGTTCAAGTGATTCGCCCGCCTTAGCCTACCAAGTAGCTGGGATTATAGGCATGCACCATGATGCCCAGCTTTTTTTTTTTTTTTTTTTTTTGAGACGGAGTCTTGCAGTGTTGCCCAGGCTGGAGTGCAGTGGCACAATCTCAGCTCACTGCAAGCTCCGCCTCCTGGGTTCATGCCATTCTCCTACCTCAGCCTCCTGAGTAGCCGGGACTACAGGCGCCCGCCACCATGCCCAACTAATTTTGTTTTGTATTTTTAGTAAGATGGGGTTTCACTGTGTTAGCCAGGATGGTCTCGATCTCCTGACCTCATGATCCGCCTGCCTCTGCCTCCCAAAGTGCTGGGATTACAGGTGTGAGCCACAGTGCCTGGCCTTTTTTTTGTATTTTTAGTAGAAACGGGGTTTCAACATATTGGCCAGCCTGGTCTTAAACTCCCGACCTCGGATGATCCACCCACCTCGGCCTCCCAAATTGCTGAGATTACAGGCGTGAGTCACTGCACCTGGCCTGGAATTTGTTTTGTTTTTGTTTTTGTTTTGAGACGAAGTCTTCCTTTGTCACCCAGTCTGGAGTGCAGTGGCACGATCTTGGCTCACTGCAACCTCTGACTGCCAGGTTCAAGTGATTCTCTTGCCTCAGACTCCTGAGTAGCTGGGATTACAGGTGTGTGCCACCACATCTGGCTAATATTTGTATTTTTAGTAGAGTTGGGGATTAGCCATGTTGACCAGGCTGGTCTGGAACTCCTGACCTCAGGTGAGATCTGCCTGCCTCTGTCTCCCACCGTGCTGGGATTACAGGCATGAGCCACGGTGCCTAGCCATACATGTATGTCTTCTTCTGAGAAGTGTCTATTCAATTCCTTTGCCCATCTTTTTCCTTTTTTTTCTATTGCTACTGCACAAATTAACCTTGGTCCATTATTTAATGGGTTTCCTTGGGTTTTGCTTGTTGATTTAAGTTTCTTATTGATTCTGAATATTACACTTTTGTCAGAAGCATAGTTTGCAAATAGTTTCTCCCATTTTGTAGCTTCTCTGTTTACTCTGTTGATAATTGATTTTTCTGTGCAGCTCTTTAGTTTAATTAGGTCCTACTTGTCAATTTTTGTTTTTGTTGCAATTGCTTTTGGAGTCGACATCATGGAGTCTTTGCCTGGGCCCACAACCAGAATGGTATTTCCTAGGTTTTCTTCTGAGTTTTTATAGTTTTGGGGTTTTACATTTCAGTCTTTAATCTATCTTGAGTTTATTTTTGTATATGGTGTAAGGAGGGGGTATACTTTCAACTTCTGTCTGTGTCTAGCTAGTTATATCAGTGCCATTTATGGAATAGGGAGTCCTTTCCCCATTGCTTGTTACTGTTGGCTTTGTTGAAGATCAGATGGTTGTATGTGTGTGGCTTTATTTTTGGGTTTTCTAATCTATTCCATTGGTCTACGTGTCTAATCTATTCCATTGGTCTATGGTACCAGTACCATGCTGTTTTGGTTACTGTAACCTTGTAGTTTGGTTTGAAGTTGTTTTGGCTTTGGATTGTTTTGGCTATTTGGGCTCTTTTTTGGTTACAAATGAATTTTAGAATGTCTTTTTTTTTTTTTTTTGAGATGGAGTCTCGCTGTGTTGCCCCAGGCTGGAGTGTAGTGGCATAATCTCGGCTCACTGCAACCTCCACCTCCTGGGTTCAAGCAGTTCTCCTGCCTCAGCCTCTCCAGTAGCTGGGATTATAGGCACCCACTACCACGCCTGGCTAATTGTTTTGTATTTTTAGTAGATATGGGGTTTCACCATGTTGGCCAGGCTGGTTTCGAACTGTTGACCTCAAGCGATCTGCCCACTTCGGCCTCCCAAATTGCTGGGATTACAGGCATGAGCCACCGTGCCTGGCTGTATATTTCTAATTCTGTGAAAATTAGAATTTTTGAACTCTTGACCTTAAGTGATCGGTTGGCTTCAGCCTCCTTTGGGAGGCAGGTGGATCACTTAAGGTCAGGAGTTCAAGACCAGTCTGGCCAACCTGGCGAAACCTTGTCTCTACTACAAATACAAAAATTAGCCGGGCACGGTGGCAGGTGCCTGTAATCCTAGCTACTCGGGAGGCTGAGGCAGGAGAAACTCTTGAGCCTGAGAGGCAGAGGTTGCAGTGAGCTAAGGTTGGGCCACTGCACTCCAGCCTGGACGACAGAGTGAGATTATGTCCCTCGCCACCGAAAAAAAAAAAAAGAAAGAAAGAAAAAGAAAAATGTCAATAGTAGTTTGATAGAGATAGCATTGAATCTGTATTGAATCTGTAAATTGCTTGGACAGTTTGGCCATTTTAACAATATTGATTCTTCCTATCCATGATCATGAGCATGGAAGATTTTTCAATTTGTTTGTATTGTTTCTAATTTCTTTCAGCAGTGTTTTGTAATTCTCATTGTAGAGATCTTTCACCTCCCTCCCCGGTTAGCTGTATTCCTAGGTATTTTATTCTTTTTTTTTTTTTGAGATGGGAGTCTCGCTCTGTCACCAGGCTGGAGTGCAGTGTCAAGATCTTAGCTCACTGCAACCTCCACCTCCTGAGTTTAAGCAATTCTTCTGCCTCAGCCTCCAGAGTAGTGTGCACCACCATGCCCGGCTAATTTTTGTATTTTTTTTTTTGAGACAGAGTCTCGCTCTGTTGCCCAGGCTGGAGTGCAGTGACGCGATCTCGGCTCACTGCAACCTCCACCTCCCGGGTTCAAGCGATTCTCCTAACTCAGCCTCCCGAGTAGCTGGGACTACAGGCACCCACTACCACACCTGGCTAATTTTTTTGTATTTTCAGTAGAGACAGGGTTTCTCCACGTTGGCCAGGCTAGTCCTGAACTCTGTACCTCAGGTGATCCGCCCGCCTCAGCCTCCCAAATGCTGGGATTACAGGCGTGAGCCACTGCACCCAGCCAATTTTTGTATTTTTAGTAGAGACGTGGTTTCACCATGTTGACCAAGCTGGTCTCGAACTCCTGACCTCAGGTGATCTGCCCGCCTCAGGCTCCCAAAGGGCTGGGATTACAGGCATGAGCCACCATGCCCGGCCAATTTTTGTGTTTTTAGTAGAGACATGGTTTCACCATGTTGGCCAGGATGGTCTCGATCTCTTGACTTCCTGATCTGCCCGCCTCGGCCTCCTAAAATGCTGGGATTACAGGCGTGAGCCACCGTGCCCGGCCTAATTTTTGTGTTATTAGTAGAGACAGGGTTTCACCATGTTGGCCAGGCTGGTCTCGAACTCCTGACCACAGATGATCCACCCGCCTTGGCCTTCCAAAGTGCTGGGATTACAGGCATGAGCCACCAGGCCTGGCCATGTAAGTGTTTTCAACATCAGACTTTGTTTTAATCTCTGCTGAGCAACAGACTCATATTTAATGCTGTAGTGTTTATAGGCATTTGGAAAGCTTTCATGTATTTCAAAGGCCTTCATTGTACAAAAACATGTTGAGAAAGGCACTGTCCTGAATCACCAAAGGGCGCTTATAGTTTGGTGGCAGATAAGAAGTCATTAAAATATAATTAGATAATTACAAAAATAGTGGCAATCCAGGAGAGAATGTACCTATCAGGACAAGAGTTGTGGCAATCCAGGAGAGAATGTACCTATCAGGACAAGAGTTGACCTTAAGTCAACTCTTCAAAGATAAGCAGTAGTTGATCTTAGGAAACACTAAGCAGAAAACATTAAAGGCAGGCTGGGTGCGGTGGCTCACACCTGTAATCCCAGCACTTTCGGAGGCTGAGGTGGGCAGATCACGAGGTTAGAAGATCGAGACCATCCTGGCTAACACGGTGAAACCCCGTCTCTACTAAAAGTACAAAAAATTAGCTGGGCGTGGTGGCAGGCACCTGTAGTCCCAGCTACTCAGGAGGCTGAGGGAGGAGAATGGTGTGAACCTGGGAGGCAGAGCTTGCAGTGCGCTGAGATCGCACCACTGCACTCCAGCCTGGGCGACAGTGCAAGACTCTGTCTCAAAAAAAAAAAAAGACATTAAAGGCAAAGAGTTAACTCCTGCAAGGACACAGAAACACAAATGAGTATGACATGTTCAGGGTACTTACTACATGTGGTTCAAAATTGTTTCACTCATTCATTCATTTGTTCATTCATGTTGGATTCAAAGTCAGCTGGATCATTTGAGGTTATGTCAGATCATGAAGGGCTTCAAGATTATTATTATTATTATTATTATTATTATTATTATTATTATTTTCTTTTTTGAGACAGAGTCTTGCTGTTGCCTAGGCTGGAGTGCAGTGGCATGATCTCGGCTCACTGCAACCTTCTCCTCCTGGGCTCAAGCAATTCTCCCGCCTCAGCCTCCTGAGTAGCTGGGATTACAGGTATGTGCCATCACAACCAGCTAATTTTTGTATTTTTGTAGAGATGGCGTTTCACCCTGTTGGCCAGTCTGGTCTTGAAGTCCTGACTTCAGGCAATCCACCCGCCTTGGCCTCCCAAAGTGCTGGGATTACAGGTGTGAGCCACTGCACCCGGCCCAAGATTATTTCTTGGAGACCGCTCTAGCAACAATATGGAAAACTGATTAGAGGTGAATAAGAAGAGAAATCATGATATCTAAATAAAGAAAGAGTAAGGAGGCTGGGCACTGTGGCTCACACCTGTAATTCCAGCACTTTGGGAGGCTGAGGCGGGTGGATCACCTGAGGTCAGGAGTTTGAGATCAGCCTGGCCAACTGGTGAAACCCCGTCTCTACTAAAAATACAAAAAATTAGCCGGGCGTGGTGGCGGGCGCCTGTAATCCCAGCTACTTGGGAGGCTGAGGCAGGCAGGAGAATTGCTTGAACCCGGGAGGTAGAGGTTGCAGTGAGCCGAGATCATGCCACTGCACTCCAGCCTGGGGGACAGAGTGAGACTCTGTAAATAAACAAACAAACAAACAAATAAAGAGTAAGGAGTTGGAGACCTGCCTGGACCTGGCATTTGAATGGATGGGGGTGTGAATATGTCGACCTAAAAGGAAGAGGCTGAGGCACAAAATATAAAGAGTTTACTTGAGCCCAAGTGAGGACAGCTGCCCAGAAGACTCAGACACAAGTAACCTTGGAGATGAGCTCCATCCAGGCTTTGTTACAAGTAGGGTTTTGTTTAAGGTAAAAGAGGGGGACAGGGAGCAGTCTGATGCAAAATTGTTTGTCAGGAATTCTCATTGGTTTACACACATAACATTGATTAGTGATTGGCTATACATTGTTAAACTACAGTGTGCGGATTATTTGTGTCCAGTGCATCATTTTTAGGTTACTTTATAGCTACTTGTGGCAATTGCAGGCAGTTTCAGGAGAAGAATACATAGCTTGTAAGGGAGGAGTAGGACATGATTGGGGTCTCATTTGAATGTCTTTCTGGGCCTGACAGTTTAAAGGACTTGCATTTCTCAGATAAAAGTTTTTCTTTTCTCAAAGGACAAGAAGGAATTCATTCATTCATTTCACAAGTTGAATTTAACAAATGTTAAATGAGAATTCTTAGATTTGCCTGAGCAAAAGGGGAGCTCGTGGTGTCATCTGCAACGTCTGTGAATACAGGGAGTGGATAAAGTTTGAGAGGTAATATATTCATTTCAGATTTGGATATGCTGAATTTGAGATGTTCGTGGTACACCCTGGCGTAAATGTGTATTAAGTTCTATGTATATCATTCTGGCATTTAAGATAAACATTTGTCATCTGTGTATAATACGCGGTTGTTGAAGTCATGACCTAGATGTTGCCTAGAAAGAGTCATAGGTGAGGCCGGGCGTGGTGGCTCACGCCTGTAATCCCAGCGCTTTGGGAGGCTGAGGCGGGCGGATCATGAGGTCAGGAGTTCGAGACCAGCCTGGCCAACATAGTGAAACCCCATCGCTACTAAAAATACAGAAATTAGCCAGGCGTGGTGGCACGGGTCTGTAGTCCCAGCTACTTGGGAGGCTGAGACGGGAGAACTGCTTGAAACCGGGAAGCAGTGGTTGCAGTGAGCCAAGATGGTGCCAACATACTCCAGCCTGGGCCACAGAACGAGACTCTGCCTCAAAAATAATAATAATAAAATAACCAAAAGCAGTGGACATGGTGGCGCACGCCTGTAGTCCCAGCTACTCTGGGAGGCTGAGGTGGGAGAATCGCTTGAACCCGGAAGTTCAAGTGAGCTGAGATCGCCCCACTGCACTCCAGCCTCGGCGACAGAGTGAGACTCTGTCTCAAAAAAAAAAAAAAAAAAAGAAAGAAAGAGTCATAGGCTCTTTTTTTTCTTTTCTTTTTCTTTTTTCTTTTTTTTTTTGGATGGAGTTTAGCTCTTATTTCCCAGGCTGGAGTGCAATGGTGCGATCTGGGCTCACCACAATCTCTGCCTCCCAGGTTCAAGCGATTCTCCTGCTTCAGCCTCCCGAGTAGCTGGGATTACAGTCGTGCACCACTACACCCAGCTAATTTTTTATTTTTAGTAGAGACAGGGCTTCACCATGTTGGCCAGGCTGGTCTTGAACTCCTGACCTCAAGCAATCCACCCGCCTCGGCCTCCCAAAGTGCTGGGATTACAGGCGTGAGCCACTAAGCCTTGCAATGAGAGTCATTGACTCTTATCGCATGGCAGAGTGGATACCCTGGGGGAAATATTGGCCTTTAAGCAGTAGGGAAAAGAAGAGTTTCCTTCAAGTGTTTAGAGAACTATCATGGAAACCATGAAGGATGGAACAGTTAATGGATTAAGCAATGCAGAGGAGAAATAACTAGAAACTAACTGAAGGCAACAAAAATAAGCTCATTGGTTACCATAATAAGAGAAGTTTTAGCTGAGAAAAGGTGGCAGGAGTCAGGAAGTAAGAATAGAAAGTATCCGAGAGGCCAGGTGTGGTATTGGCTCATCCCTGTAATCCCAGCTACTTGGGAGGCTGAGGCGGAAAAATTGCTGAGTCCAGGAGTTCAAGACCATCACAACAAAATTTAACAACTTTTCCTTTAATCCAACTCCTCTTCCTGTGGTCTCTTACCGCCGTTATTCCTAGTGAGACAGGAATAATACAGGCTGGTGGCAGAAGAATAGAAAATGTTGGCTGGGCTGGGCGTGGTGGCTCACGCCTGTAATCCCAGAATTTTGGGAGGCCGAGGCGGGCAGATCACTTGAGGTCAGGAGTTCGAGACCAACCTGGCCAACATGGTGAAACCTCATCTCTACTAAAAACACAAAAATTAGCCAGGTGTGGTGGCATTCACCTATTGTCCCAGCTACTTGGGAGGTTGAGGCAGGAGAATCGCTTGAGCCCGGGAGGCAGAGGGTGCAGTGAGCTGAGATCGCACCACTGTACTCCAGCCTGGGCAACAAAGCAAGACTCTGTCAAGAAAAAAAAAAACCCACAACAAAAACAATAAAACATAATCACACACCCACCAACCCCCTGACGGTTCCAGGAACAAATTTGGTATAAAAATGGGTGGCACCACATTTCTGAAAAATCCAGGAATTTTTCCAGGAATCTTCATGAATATCCCACCCTTTGGTTAAAGAAACCCAGAAAGGTAGAAATCCCAAACTCTATTGGGCGACTACTCTTTGAGTACACCTGCGCTCCCCTTTCTTCAGTGTGTACTTTTCACCTTGCAATAAGTCTCCGTACTTTCACTATTTTCTGACTCATCCTTGAATTCCTTCCTGCAATATCTAGAGCCTACACACTGGCTGGGGTTGTGGTCCCACTGGTATCACATTCAACCTCCTAAACCAGAAACTCTCCAAACACCTAGTGCCTCCCCTCTGACTAACATCTTTGTCTAAGGATATTAAGTGACACTAAATCCTCTAGATTCTACTTCTTTAACATTTTTTAATATCCCAGGAGGATAAATCCCAATATTACAATTATCTATGGATGGTGGTATTGTTACAGAAGGTAGCTAATCAGACATGAGAGGGCAGGAGAGGGCCTCTCCACTTCACCAGGAATGTCAGGTGACCATCAGTTGTTGGTCAGGTGGCCATTAAACTGCCTTCCTAAAACAATAATTGGTCGCAGCTGGCACCAGGGAAAGGCAGTCTCCCAACAAATAGAAAAAACCCTGAAACTGATGATTGGCAGCTTCTCGGTAACATCTCCGGCTCAAGTATGCACACTAAGAAGCAAAATGGCAGAATTTAAGTTGTGTATGACCTTCCTCTAGGAACACTGGACTGGTAAAGGAAAAACTGCCTCATGTGAGCATGTGTGCTATGGGGAAAAGAGAGATCAGATTGTTACTGTGTCTGCGTAGAAAGAAGTAGACATAAGAGACTCCATTTTGTTCTGTACTAAGAAAAATTCTTCTGCCTTGAGATGCTGTTAATCTGTAACCCTACCCCCAACCCTGTGCTCCCTAAGACATGTGCTGTGTCAACTCAGGGTTTAGTGGATCAAGGGCTGTGCAGGGTGTGCTTTGTTAAACAAATGCTTGAAGGCAGCATGCTTGTTAAGAGTCATCACCACTCCCTAATCTCAAGTACCCAGAGACACAATACCTCTGCCTAGGAAAACCAGATATTGTCCAAGGTTTCTCCCCATGTGATAGTCTGAAATACGGCCTCATGGGAAGGGAAAGACCTGATCGTCCCCCAGCCCGACACCCGTAAAGGGTCTGTGCTGAGGAGGATTAGTAAAAGAGGAAGGAACGCCTCTTTGCAGTTGAGATAAGAGGAAGGCTTCTGTCTCCTGCTGGTCCCTGGGCAATGGAATGTCTCGGTGTAAAGCCGATTGTATATTCCATCTACTGAGATAGGGGAAAACCACCTTAGGGCTGGAGTCGGGACATGCTGGCAGCAATACTGCTCCTTAAGGCATTGAAATGTTTATGTATATGCACATCAAAAGCACAGCACTTTTTTCTTTAGCTTGTTTATGATGCAGAGACATTTGTTCACGTGTTTACCTTCTGACCTTCTCTCCACTATTATCCTATTATCCTGCCACACCCGATAATGATCAATAAATACTAAGGGAACTCAGAGGCTGGTGCCGGCGTGGATCCTCCACATGCTGAACGCCAGTCCCCTGGGCCCCTTTTTCTTTCTCTATACTTGGTCTCTGTGTCTCTTTCTTTTCCAAGTCTCTCGTTCCACCTAATGAGAAATGCCCACAGGTGTGGAGGGGCAACCCACCCCTTCATGTGCAACTTCAGTAAAGACATTGTGCATGTAACCCCTCCCAAGTGCTGGCAGGCCACTGCACATGTGGACAGCCCATCCCAAGGGAAGAATCAGGGGAGAAATAACCCTGGGCCAATGTATAAGACCCCAAGTAAAGGTCAAACCGTGCACTTGATCTCTTAAGTCACCTGTTGGTCCTCTTCCAAGTGTACTTTGCTTCTTTTTATTCCTTCTCTAAAGCTTTTTAATAAACTTTCACTCCTCTAAGACTTGCCTTGGTTTCTCACTCTGCCTTATGCCCTTCGGTCGAATTCTTCTGAGGAAGCAAGAATTGAGGTTGCTACAGACCCGTACGGATTTGCTGCTGCTAACATATTAGACATGATTTTAATGTTTTTGTTTTTTCGAGGCAGGGTCTGGCTCTGTCACCCAGGCTACAGTGCGATGGCATGATCTTGGCCCACTGCAACCTCCACCTCCTGGGCTCAAGCCATTCTCCCACCTCAGCCTCCTGAGTAGGTGGGATTGCAGGCACCTGCCACCATGCCCGGCTTTTTTGTATTGTTTGTAGAGACAGGGTTTCACCATGTTGCTTAGGCTGGTCTCAAACCCCTGAGCCCAATCAATCCGCCCTCCTCAGCCTCCGAAAGTGCTGGGATCACAGGCATGACCCACCCTGCCTGGACTTAATGTTTTTCTGTCTGATAATTTGCTTTTTCAATATTTGTCTGGAGGCTGGGGCGTGGTGGCTCACGGCTGTAATCCCAGCACTGGGAGGCCGAGGTGGGCAGATCACCTGAGGTCGGGAGTTCGAGACCAGCCTGATCAACATGGAGAAACCCCCCTCTACTAAAAATACAAAATTAGCCGGGCGTGGTAGCACATGTCTGTAATCCCAGCTACTTGGGAGGCTGAGGCAGGAAAATCGCTTGAACTGGGAGGCGGAGGTTTCCGCGAGCCAAGATCATGCCATTGCACTCCAGCGTGGCAATAAGAGTGAAACTCCATCTCAAAAAAAAAAAAAATTTTGTCTGGAATGACTATGTATATATTCATGTAATTAAAGTAATAAAAGTTTAGAGATAGTTCTTCTCATACATAATCTTATATCTGGTATCTTCTTTTTGTCTCCAGTACACTATGCTAGGTCAGGCCAGGATTATTGCAGTAATCTCCTAACTTCTCTTTCTGCTGTTGATTTGGCACACTTCCATAAGGCGGTCAGAATAAGCTTTGAAAATTCAAATCTTTTTTTTGAGACGGAGTTTCACACTTGTTGCCCTGGCTGGAGTGCAATGGCACGATCCCAGCTCACTGGAACCTCTACCTCCCTGGTTCAAGCGATTCTCCTACCTCAGCCTCCCGGGTAGCTGGGATTACAGGCGCCCGCTGCCACGCCCAGCTTTTTTTTTTTTTTTTTTTTTTTTTTTTTTTTTTTTGAGATGGAGTCCTGCTCTGTCACCCAGGCTGGAGTGCAGTGTCGCGATCTCGGCTCAGTGCAAGCTCTGCCTCCTGGGTTCACACCATTCTCCTGCCTCAGCCTCCTGAGTAGCTGGGATTACAGGCGCCTGCCACCACGCCCGGATAATTCTTTGTATTTTTAGTAGAGACGGGGTTTCACCATATTAGCCAGGATGGTCTTGATCTCCCCACCTCGTGATCCGCCCACCTCGGCCTCCCAAAGTGCTGGGATTACAGGCGTGAGCCACCACACCCGGCCACACCCAGCTAATTTTTTGTACTTTTAGTAGAGACGGGTTTTCAAACTGGTCTTGAACTCCTGACCTCAGGTGATCCAACCATCTCAGCCTCCCAAAGTGCTGGGATTACAGGGGTGAGCCAATGTGCCCGGCCAAAAATACAAATCTTACTAAGTCCCTCTCTGGTTAAATATCTTTGAGGATTAAGTTCAAACTTTTAGCAGTTTGTGATAAGGTCCTGGTCTCATATCTTTCGTAGCATTTCTTTCCATTCTCCCACCCTTTGCTTGAAGCTTTTTTTCTAATATAAGCAGTAGCTTCTAGCCTTTGCAAAAGCTATTTTCTCTGCTTTCAACTTTGTTAATTCCTATTCATCCTCTAAAAATCAGTTTTAATCCTGCTTCCTGGGAGACTTTACAGCCCCACTGTAATTTAGATATTCCTCTCTTCTGCTATTGCAATCTGCGCACCCCTCAGTCACTCTTATCACACTGCACTGAGGTTGTTCATCTTTTCCTAATTTTTTGGAATTTCCTAAGTTTTGGAGTTGGCTTTCCCACTGCGCACTCAGATGTCTTAAGCACATTTAATTTTTTCTTCTGTGTGTTGATAATTCATATTCTTTGCCCATTTTTCTGTTGAGTTGTGCTTTCCTTACTGATTTGTAGTAATTCTTATGTGTCAAATACTTCTCAGTGTTTGTTTTTAGTTTTTGTTGTACTTCAATTTTTAATGTTTGCATAGTAAAATATATAAAATGTTTTCTTTTTTTTTTTTTTGACTTGAACTCCCGACCTCAAGGTGATCCGCCCACCTTGGTCTCCCAAAGTGCTGAAATTACAGGTGTAAGCCATGGCACCTGGCCCATAAATATAATTTCCTAAGATTGAAAATTTATTCGGCTGGGCACCATCTCAAAAAAAAAAATTATTCAACAAATTCATTGAATGGCCACTTAGGTATTGGCACTCTGTCAGCTACCGGGGATACAATGGTGATCAAAAAGACAAAGCCCAGCTGGGAGCCATAGCATGGAGCCTGTAGTCCCAGCTACTCAGAGGGCTGATGCTTGAGGATCCCTTGAGTCCAGAAGTTCAGATCCAGCCTGGACAATATAGTGAGATTCCCATCACTTAAAAAAACAAAAAACAAAAAGACAAAGCCCCTGCCTTAAAGCTTATATTCTAAAGGTGGAGGCAGACAATAAACAAGTAAACAAATAGTTCACAGAATTAATTGCTTTTAATGACTATGAAGGAAATAAAATGGGAGCCAGAAGTAGGCAAAGGATGTGTACATAAAACAGTTCAATTGAATGGGTTTCCCATAATTTACTTAACCATTTTTATTTAGTGTTGGATTTTTATATTGCTTTTAGTTTTTCACTGTTATACTAATACAGAGGAATTATTTATGTTTATTTTCATGGAATAATTTCCTACAAATGTAATTACTGAATAGAAACAATCAGGATTTTTTTTTTTTTTTTTTGGGACGGAGTCTTGCTTTGTGGTCTATGCTGGAGTGCAGCGGTGCAATTTCTCACCGCAACCTCAGCCTCCGGGGTTCAAGCGATTCTCCTGACTCACACTCTCGAGTAGCTGGGATTACAAGCCATCATGTCCAGCTCATTTTTGTATTTTTAGCAGAGACGGGGTCTCATCTCACCATTTTGGCCAGTCTGGCCTCACACTCCTGGTCTCAAATGATCCGCCCGCCTTGGCCTCCCAAAGTGTTGGGATTACAGGCTTGAGCCACCGCGACCGGCCTCTAAGTTGCTTTCAAGAGGTAACCACGGTGAGTAAGCTGAATGTGCTCTGAGGGGTAGAAGCAGAAAAAGTTACCTGTGGAAAAGGCATGTTTCCGCTTAGCTTAGGGATAAGCTAAATGTAGAGCTGACTTGGGTTTAGTAGTAAGGGGCAGCAGCTAATGCAAAACCGTTAGCTTTGGGAACAGGACAACCTGGATTCTAAGCCCATTTTTGCCATCCTGTGATCTTCACAGGTTGTACGTAGCCCTCTCTGAGCCTTAGTTTCCTGAAATTCAGGTAGGTTTTGCTCAACCTTTGTATTTCCCACCATCTTTTAGATCAAGCACTCTCTGGCGCCTCCAAATTGAAGACAGCAGCTGCGGAATTGATGTAATGGGCTGAATCAGCCTCAGCCGCGAAATGCCGACTAATCACAGGCACCTCCGGCGGCCTGGACAAAAGGTTTGAAGTCCCTGGGACCGCACTTCCGGGTAATTAAGGCTACGCTTTAGACGCCAGGGCCAGCGAGTCGCAGCCGGGTGACTCGAGTGCCGCGACTGCGCATGCTCTCGCCCCAGCGCCCGGCGGCCACCTCTTTCCCGCGGGCGGGCCGGGGCGGGGCACTGAAGGGGGCGGTCCAGGACCCTGACTTGTCTCGCGGTTACTGGGCCGGCGCGAGCACGCGAGGCTCGGGGGCGGCACGGGGCGGGGTTTAGCCTGTGGTGGGCGCTGCGGGTGTTTGCAGGAGGTTGCAGTACTCGCTGGGCTGAGGTCGTCTCGGGTGAGGAGGTCGCGCCGGAAGTGGCTCTAGCCGTGGCGCTTCGGCGTAGTAAGGAGCCTGCAACAGAGTTTTGTTGTTTAGGGGGCGCGGCACCGCACCGCTCCCTTCACCTTGCAGCAGCCATGGCGAAAGGCAGAGTCGCCGAACGATCGCAGTTGGGCGCTCACCACACGACCCCCGTGGGGGACGGGGCAGCGGGGACGCGGGGTCTCGCGGCGCCTGGCAGCAGAGACCACCAGAAGGGTGAGTGGGCCCGGGGAGCAGAGCTGGGGGTGGCCCGAGGCTTCTGTGTGTCGGGTGGGGAAAAGGACCCCCGCTATTCTCGGAGAGTCGCGGGGAAAGAGGGGGGCCTGCTGGCGCCGCGGCGGGAGCAGAGACCGTGGGGGAGTTGGGCTTGGGCGCTCGCGCAGCACAAGGCCGGACGCCGAGTAGGTGCGTTGTAAATGCTGTTTGAGTAGAATTCATTTAAAAGAAGGGATGACACTGGCTTGTTGACGCTCAGGTAGATTGTAAGGTTGATGATAACGACGCTAGGCAGAGCTGGAAGGAGCTGTACTGTGGCATTCGCTGCGTTGTTTTTACAGATGAAGAAACTGAGGCCCAGTGTGGGTATATGACTTATAAAGTCATAAAGCCAGATCAGTGAAGTAGTAGTTAGGAGCGAGGACTTAATACTTCCAGGTGGCAGTACACCTGGGCTTGAGTCCCTGCCCTACTGTTTACTTGGAACCTTGGACTTGGTAACTTTCAAAAAAAGCTCAGTGTCTGAACTGTGAAATGGGGATAATAATAATATCTACTTAATAGGTGGTGCGTGGGTTAAACGAAATAATTCACGTAAAAGATTTAGAGCAATGCTTGGATATGAAGTGGGGGCTAAATAAATATTAGCAATTACTTAGTTACAGCTAAGGTCACTCATTCTAAAGTTTATTTCCCCACTACATCATCCTGACATTTCTCACGGCTTTATTTTTGGTTTTTGTTTTCTCTTTATTCCTACTGCCTCTATAATTGCAGAATCTCACGGCTTTAAATATTGTTTTAAGGAAAAAACTGTACGTAGAAACTAAATACTTTGATTCCGTGTTGGCCTGGAATCGTTCTTTAAATGATTTTAAAGCTCATAAACTTAAAGTGATCCTAACAAGTTTGTCTGTAGCTCACATAGGTGTGTTCCACCACCAGTGATGGCTAGGAGAACTTCTAAGAGTATGTAGTAGAAAATGTTAATGTATTTTCAAATAATTTAAAATGTCTCCAACAGTCTAATTTGGCTCTGTCAGCCTTATGTTTTTGGGTATTTTTCCAGCTTATATACACTGGATCCAGGTGACTTCATATAATTTCAAAAACTGAGAAATGAATCGTTGTTAATGTATAAATCAGCTCTGAATAAAAGAAAGATTGTTTTGAAGACTCTACTACTGAGGGTGACAATATTCCAAGGTCTGGGTTTCCTGAAAAAGTGTTCCAGATAGGGCATCCCTAAAAATTGACATCTCATTTGAGGTAGCAGCCAGTTGTATTCATGATTTTTACCTAAAGCTATTCAAAAAATAAAACCTTGAAACTTCCAAAGTGCTCTTACTTTTTAATCTTATTTTATCATTACAACAAAACATTCAACACAATTATTCTTTTTTTTTTTTTTTTTTTTGAGACGGAGTCTCGGTCTGTCACCCAGGCTGGAGTGCAGTGGCGCAATCTTGGCTCACTGCAAGCTCCGCCTCCTGGGTTCACGCCATTCTCCTGCCTCAGCCTCCCGAGTAGCTGGGACTACAGGCGCCCACCACCACGCCGGGCTAATTTTTGTATTTTTAGTAGAGATGGGGTTTCACCTTGTTAGCCAGGATGGTCTCGATCTCCTGACCTGTTGATCCGCCCGCCTCGGCCTCCCAAAGTGCTGGGATTACAGGCGTGAGCCACCACGCCTGGCCTACAATTATTCTTATGATGCTGTCCCATGACATCTATAGATCACAAATCTATAGGAAGACAGGGAAGAGATGTGAAGGCGTGCCTTCACTTCATGATGAAGTAAGGCCTGTTTTTAGTGACTTGAGACAAGGCCTCGCTGTGTCACCTATGCTGGAGTGCAGTGGCATGATCATAGCTTGCTGCAGCCTCAGCTACCTGGGCTCATGCGATCTTCCCACCTCAGCCCCCTCAAATAGCTGACTACAGGTGTGTGCCACCATGCTCAGCTAATTATTTGTTTTTTGTAGAGAAGGGGCCAGGGTGTCTTGAAGTCCTGGGCTCAAGCGTCTTCCTGCCTTGGCCTCCCCAAATGCTGGAATTACAGGCATGAGCCATTGTGCTTTGCCAGATAAGTAAGGTTTGGATAAGTAAAGAGAAGGGAAGGGTATTCCAGGCTAGGAGAAAGAGAGTAGTAGGGTTGAAGGTTAGTGTGAAACTTTTATGTGTGTGGGTAGGGAGATTAATTTGTCAGGAGCAGAGGGTTTCTGTTGGGTGGTAGTAGGCGATGAGGTTGGCCTGTTCAGGATGTGTCAGAATGTTCCTGTAAATTCCATGATACTTGGAAATGAATTTGTATTCTATTAAGTGACACATATATAACTTTGACAAATAAGTAGTTATCATCATATGTATGTTTGAACTGTTTTACATGCTATCTGCAATGTTTGGTACATTTAGTGGATTCCTTGCCATTACTCTGGCCTCTAGTCTCAGAGCTAAGCCTAGTAGACTGTGGACCACTTTGACTACTTGAGTAAGGCAGAGGTAACACGGAAAGTCTAATTTTTGCATGATGAAGATGAGAGAGCAGACAGGAGGTGAAACTAGTTAAGAAGCTCTTGAGAATGCATCAAGCCCAGGCAGCAGTGGAAAGGCTGGAGGACACACCTAAACATGTGGAATCCCAGTGCCAGGCAGCCAGGGCCAAATCCATATCCACCCAACATTGGGTGCCCTGGAGGTTCCAATCCTGCCCACTCACCACCTATCAACCCACCCTTTCCCCCAGGCCCCTGTCCTCCTCCCCCAGGAGCTCCGCAAGGCAATTCAGCTTTCCCCCCAGGTTGGCCCCCTCATCCTGTGCCACAGCCAGGGTATCCAGGATGCCAATCCTCGGGTCCCTACCCTCCTCCATACCCACCGTCTGCTCCTGGAATGCCTCCTGTGAGTCCCTTGGCTCCTGGCATGGTTGGACCAGCAGTGATAGTGGGCAAGAAGATACAGAAGAAAATGAAGAAAGCTCATAAAAAGATGCACAAGCATAGCAAGCATTCCTCCTCCTCTTCCAGCAGTGATTCTGACTGAATACAGGCCCTGGGTCCTTCCCTCAAGTCTCACCAGTTCTGCTCTCCTATCAAGCTTCAGATGCCATGTTGTATTGGGGGAAAGTAGCCCTTGTGCTCCCCACACCCTACCCCCGCCTGAGCTTCACCCTGCTGTTGAGCCCTGAGTGGCTAGGGAAAATGGGAAGAGAATTGGCATGGCCTGGCCATCTTGTTGTTGCTTGGATAGATCATATAGCTAATGAGTTTAGCAGGGGAGCTGTTTTTTGAAGATGATGAACTAAATGTTGAAGACAAGTTTGAGATCTGTAAAATGTGATTTTTTACTTCTGCTTATAATACTCATGATTGGGGAGGATTGTGGAAATTTAATTATGATGAAAAACCTCTATCTTTTTTGTAATGTTGGCATACTTGGGGAATTTAGTGGAAAATACATTCCCCAGCAGGCCTTTTGTTGGTTGCACTAACTGCAAGGTTGCTGGGAAGTAGAGTCTGTTTGGTCGATGAGCTTTGACTGCCATTTTGGAACCTTACCTCTCCTCCTTAGCCCAGTATGCTATCTCAGGTCCTATTCTTGTTCTCCAGCTCTCAGTCCAAATAAAGTTATTTCTCCTGGTTAAAAAAAAAAAAAAAAAAAAAAAAGGGCTCTTAACCTAATCGGTTTGAAGGTGACTGGACTAGAGTACATAACTTTTTTGGTGGTGTTTGCCCCGACCTATGTATTTACTAGCAAGTTCTCCATTTTAACTTAAGAGAGCTGGACTATGTTTTTCAATATATAAGTCATGACCCTTGTGAGGGGTGTGAAATCAATTTGATGGATAATCAATAATAAGCATTTTTTTAAAAAAAATGGAATAGAAGAGAAAATATCAGTGCTTTGGGATTAAATGCTGGTTTTTTTTTGTTTAATCTTTCCTTGAGTTATATAGATTTTGTGTATACCGGGTCATGTACATTACTTAGGCTGACATGGTGGCTCATGCCTGTAATCCCAGCACTTTGGGAGGCCGAGGCGGGCGGAACATGAGGTCAGGAGTTCAAGACCAGCCTGACTAACATGAAGAAGCCCTGTCTCTACTAAAAATACAAAAATTAGCTGGGCATGGTGGTGCACACCTGTAATCCCAGCTACTTGGGAGGCTGAGGCAGGAGAATCACTTGAACCCAGGAGGTGGAGTTTGCAGTGAGCCAAGATAGCGCCACTGCACTCCAGTCTGGGTGATAGAGTGAGACTCCATCTCAAAAAAAAATAATAATAATAATAATACATTACTTGGAACACAATCAAAAAAGATTGAAAAACACTGTCTCAAAGTTGATTTTATTGCTTCTAGAAAACAATATTTTTTTTTGTTCTTTTGTTTTTTTTTTTGAGATGGAGTCTTGCTCTGTCACCCAGGCTGGAGTGCAGTGGTGCGATCTTGGCTCACTTGCAACCTCCCCTTCCCGGGTTCACGCCATTCTCCTGCCTCAGCCTCCCAAGTAGCTGGGACTACAGGCACCCACCACCACGCCTGGCTAATTTTTTGTATTTTTAGTAGAGATGGGGTTTCACCATGTTAGCCAGGATGGTCTCGATCTCCTGACCTTGTGATCTGCCTGCCTCAGCCTCCCAAAGTGCTGGGATTACAGGTGTAAGCCACTGCGCCTGGCTGACAATATTGTTCTGACTTGGATAATCCAGATCCCTGGTCTAGATCCTGCCTTGCTATTTGTTTAACAAATACTCCTCAGGTGTCTACTATGAGCAAAGTACTGGCTTACAGAAAGAAGGAAGCTCTGATTACTGTAGATGAAATCTAAGACTAGACTTGGCAGCTGAATATCAACCAAAGCATTAGTATGGTTTGCTGATGTCAGTCTCAACCCAGGTATTATGTATCAGAATTTTTTTGGTCTACGACAGAAAACCCACTGGAACCCTTGCTGAAAGGGAGCTTATTGGTCCATGTAAGTAAATCAAGTAATGAGTAGGATTTGGTGGCATCAGGCTGGAGCCAGTTGCTCAGCATCTTCAGGATCAGATTTTTCTTTCTTTCTTTTTTTTTGAAATGGAGTTTCACTCTTTTTGCCCAGGCTGGAGTGCAATGGTGCGATCTTGGCTCACCACAACCTCCACCTCCCAGATTCAAGCGATTCTCCGCCTCAGCCTCCCCAGTAGCCGGGATTACAGGCACACGTCACCACGCCCAGCTAATTTTGTATTTTTAGTAGAGACGGGTTATCTCTGTGTTGGCCAGGCTGGTCTTGAACTCCTGACCTCCAGTAATTCACCCGCCTTGGCCTCCCAAAGTGCTGGGATTATAGGTGTTAGCCCCACGCCCGGCCAGGATCAGATTTTTCATATCTTGATTTGCTTATTTGATGTCAGCTTAACCTTAAGTTTGGTTCCCCTTGAAGCTTCAGGTAAGCTAAATGCTTCCATGTTAATTTTGAGAATCTTTGTCCTAGTATTACGGATGAAGTCTTGCTATTCACTGATTAGATTGCCTCAGATCAGATGCTTTTTCCTGAACCTATCATTATTGTCAGTAGGTCATCAGAGTAACCTGATTGGCTCAGCCTGATTCATATTCTACATGTAGAAGAAAGAGTAGGAATAGAGCTAAATCAGTTTTCCCAATGACATGGATTTCTGTGATGGATCACTCAGTGATTTTTCTGTATTTGTGCTAAACCATTGTGATGTAGGAAGGAAGAAAGTGAATTTGTAGTGCTGATTTTTGGTTAGGTGGCTATAAGGAAAGAATAAGGATTTCAGTCAAAGGTGCTAGTTCAGATGATACTTCTTGGAGTCCAGGCTGGCATGGAAGGAAGAGAATGAAGAGTCCAACAGAAGGGAGAAAATGGAAGAAGTAAGCTCATGGAAGAAAAAGGCAAGGAATGGAATATTTTATTTAGCAAGTTCTCCATCTTAATGATTTATTGATTTAAAATGTCCAAGGTTGGCCAGGTGCGGTGTCTTGCTCTGTTGCCCAGGCTGGAGTGCAGTGGCGTGATCTCAGCTCACTGCAACCCCCATCTCCCAGGTTCAAGTGATTCTCATGCCTCAGCCTCCCCAGTAGCTGGGATTACAGGCGCATACCACCACGCCCAACTAATTTTTGTATTTTTAGTAGAGGGTTTTACCATGTTGGCCAGTGTGGTCTGGAACTCCTGACTTCAAGTGATGTGTCCACCTCAGCCTCCCAAAGTGCTGGGATTACATGTGTGAGCCACTGTGTCTCGCCTCTGTTGTGTTTTTAAAAAATGATTTTAAGGCTGGGCGCGGTGGCTCACGCCTGTAATCCCAGCACTTTGGGAGGCCGAGGTGGGCGGATCACGAGGTCAGGAGATCCAGACCACGGTGAAACCCCGTCTCTACTAAAAATACAAAAAATTAGCCGGGAGAGGTGGCGGGTGGTGCCTGTAGTCCCAGCTACTTGGGAGGCTGAGGCAGGAGAATGGCGTGAACCTGGGAGGCGGAGCTTGCAGCGAGCCGAGATTGCGCCACTGCACTCCAGCCTGGGTGACAGAGCAAGACTCGAAATAAAATTAAAAAAATGATTTTATTGGCTGGGCACAGTGGCTCATGCCTGTAATCCTAGCACTTTGGGAGGCTGAGGCAGGCAGATCACCTGAGGTCGGGAGTCTGAGACCAGCCTGACCAACATGGAGAAACCCCATCTTTACTAAAAATACAAAATTAGCCGGACGTGGTGGCCCACGCCTGTAATCCCAGCTACTTGGGAGGCTAAGGCAGGAGAATTGCTTGAACCTGGGAGACGGAGGTTGTGGTAAGCCAAGATCAAGCCATTGCACTCCAGCTTGGGCAACAAGAGAAACTCGATCTCAAAAAAAAAAAAAGATTTTATTTTATGATACTTCAGCTGTTTAAATTTATACTTGATGTTAATACCATTTTCAATTAATTTTTTTAATAGTTTAAGACCGTTGAAATAAAGTTTATTTCTGACAATATTACAGTGGATTCTTGTGACCTTAAGAGACTTGTTGGCCTGTAAGCTTATGTCCTTAGGATAAATGGATTTTTTTTCCTTCGTTCGTGGTGGGATCAAGTATATCTAGAAAACACTGAATATTGAAAACTAATGGACTAGATGACCAGTGTGAGTCATTCCTAAGATCTCGTAGACATTGGAATATTTTGCTTTGTAAAAGTAGTAGGAGAATTATGGAGCTACTGGAGGGACATTAAGGTTAAATTATTTTTCAGGATGGATTTATGCATATTGGAAGTTAAAGGAAAGGTACTTGTAAGAGGGAAAAATTGAAGATGTTGAGTATATGGAGAAAGAATTCAGAGAGCAAGATATAGAAGGAAGTGTGTTGACATTTAATGATAAGATGAAGGGAAAGGAGCAAGGGAAGATAATTTTGTGAACAAATCTTGAGGGAGAGATTGGGGTGCTCATTAAAGTAGGAGGCAGCATCATTGGTTGCAGTTAAAGGAAGGTAAAATCAAAGGCTTAAAGTGACTTGAAATAGCTCTTTTGGGGACTGCTATAAAAGAATTACTGTTTGCCAGTGATATCCCTAACTGAAGTTAGAAAAACATGTTGAACGTCTTGTAGGCCAAGAGCGTGATTCTGGCTTTCTTTTTTTTTTTGAGACGGAGTCTCGCTCTATCGCCCAGGCTAGAGTGCGGTGGCGCCATCTCAGCTCACTGCAAGCTCCGCCTCCCGGGTTAATGCCGATTTCCTGCCTCAGCATCCTGAGTAGCTGGGACTACAGGCGCCCGCCACTGTGCCCGGCTAATTTTTTTTGTATTTTTTTAGTAGAGACGGGGTTTCACCGTGTTAGCCAGGATGGTCTCGATCTCCTGACCTCATGATCCGACCGCCTCGACCTCCCAAAGTGCTGGGATTACAGGCGTGAGCCGCCATGCCCGGCGAATTCTGGCTTTCTATAACAGTACCTTTGGCCTGGGAGGAGGTTGGAAAAGCACATAATAGGGTAATTCAGACTGGGAATTAGTATGATGGAAGCTTTGGAGGTTACTAAATACAGAGTACTGGCTGGGCGTGGTGGCTCCCGCCTGTAATCCTAGCACTTTGGGAGGTTGAGGTGGGCGGATTACCTGAGGTCAGGGGTTCGAGACCAGCCTGGCCAACATGGTGAAACCCCGTCTCTACTAAAAATACAAAAATTAGCTGGGGGTGGTGGCCCATGCCTGTAATCCCAGTTGCTTGGGAGGCTGAGGCAGGAGAATGGCTTGAACCCAGGAGGTGGAGGTTGCAGTGAGCCGAGATCACACCACTGCACTCCAGCCTGGGTGATAGAGCAGGACTCTGTCTCAAAAAAAAAAAAAAAAAGAAAAGTGCTGGTGTAAGTAGCTGTAAATGCTAAAAGGCACATGTGTGTAATGTGGCCATAAGGCACATTATAAATGTGTATACTATAAATTTAGATGTAGACCTATAAAAACAAGATTTGGTAGACTCTGTCTACCAAAAAGAAAAAAAAATTAGTAATGGTTTTGAAGGTTTTAAAAGATGCTCATAATATGAAATTATTTTTGTTAGTTTTTCTTATACTCTGGACCTGATTCTAGCAGGAAAGTAAGTTAAAACTGGGCTGGGGCAAGTTAATTGGATTTAAAAGTAGCATACTTTTAGATGGATTTAAAAGTAGCATACCTTTAAGAAGTGTATGATGTGAAGTGTGCCTCCAAAACAGTTTAATATCTATAATTCATCTATAATTAATATCTGTTGCCCAGGCTGGAGTGCAATGGCGCAACTTTGGCTCACCACAACCTCCACCTCCCAGGTTCCAGCAATTCTTGTGCCTTAGCCTCCCCAGTGGCTGGGACTACAGGGGTGTGCCACCACGCCTGACTAATTTTTTATATTTTTAGTAGAGACAGGGTTTCACTATGTTGGCTAGGCTGGTCTCGAACCCTTGACCTCAGGCAATCTGCCCACCGTGGCCTTCCAAAGTGCTGCGATTACAGGAGTGAGCCACGACACCTGGCCTATAATTATAAATTATCATAATGGACATCCTGAAAAAATATACACTACTTGCATGTATAATGTGTCTTTGCTTTGATGTCAGCCTACAGAAAACTCAATACTTATATATATATATTACCCTCATTCCTTACCTACTTTATTGAATAGCTTTTTATTGAATAAAAATATATAGAAAAATAACTATTTTAGCCTTGTGAAAACGGTTTGTGTTTAAATAGGTTTTCTAGCCCGGTTCTATGGCTCATACCAGTAATCCCAGCACTTTGGGAGGCTGAGGCAGGAGGACTGCTTGAAGCCAGGAGTTCAAGACCAGCCTGGGCAAAATAGTGAGACCTGGTCTCTAAATACAAAACCAAAAAATTGCTGGGCGTGGTGGCTCACGCCTGTAATTCCAGCACTTTGGTAGGCCAAGGGGGGCAGATCACGAGGTTAAGAGATCAAGACCATCCTGGCCAACATGGTGAAACCCCATCTCTACTAAAAATACAAAAATTATCTGGGCATGGTGGCGTGTGCCTGTAGTCCCAGCTACTTGGGAGATTGAGGCAGGAAAATTGCTTGAACCCAGGAGGCGGAGGTTGTAGTGAGCCAGGATCACGCCACTGCACTCCAGGCTGGTGACAGAGTGAGACTCCATCTCAAAAAAAAAAAATTAATTAATTAATTAAGCAGACATGGTCACAAACACCTGTGGTCCCAGCTAGTCAGGAGGCTGAGGCAGGAGGATTGAAGCTGAAGGCATTCAACTCCCAGGAGTTGAAGGCTGCAGTGAGCTATGATTTCACCACTGCACTCCAGCCTGGGCAACAGAGTGAGACACCGTCTCATAAAAGTAAATAAATAATAAATAAATGGGGTTTATATTTATAAACCAAAACAACGTTTTTTATTCAATTGGATTTAGTACACCCTGATGTTTTTGCTTTTTGCTGATTATGCTTTCTTTTTTTAGAGAATATAACTTCTGAGTGAATATAACTTATTAGGAGGCCTCAAGATACGTATTGAATTAGGTAATAGCCAGAGCATAAATGTAATGACAGTTAGGTATTTGTTATTACAAGATTCTGCAGAGACCTTTTCATGTTTGACCTACCTGAGATGTTTAAAGTGTGTTTTTAATTCTCTGTGTTCCAAAAAAGCATACATATCAATACGTCTGTGGGTTAATGAACTAGAGTATTAAGAGACAGGCATTCTTGGTTTATTGTTCCATCAGAAGGTACCTTTGTACTATATTATTATCCTCTTCCTTCCTGCAGTAAATTTCATAAGTAAGAGTTGAGCAAATCTCCTTTTTGAGATTAAGATGAAATATAACAAAGTTAGAATAACAGGGACTGATTGGAGGCCGGGCGTGGTGGCTCACGCCTGTAATCCTAACACTTTGGGAGGCCAAAGTGGGCGGATCACCTGACGTCAGGAGTTCGAGACCAGCCTGGCCAACAATGTGAAACTCCGTTTCTACTAAAAATACAAAAATTAGTTGATCCTCGTGGCGTGTGCCTGTAATCCCAGCTACTCCAGAGGCTGAGATGGGAGAATGGCTTGAACCTGGGAGGCAGAGGTTGCAGTGAGCTGAGATCCTGTCACTGCACTCCAGACTGGGCGACAGAGGCTGGGCCACAGAGCAAGACTCTGTCTCAAAAAAAAAAAAAAAAAAAAAGAAAAAGAATAATAGGGACTAGTTGGGAAGTTAGATTGTTTAGATTACTGAAAGTAGGAAAAGATAATTTAGTTTTTTATAGAAAACTTGCTAAATTTAATGAATAGGTAAGAATAATTTATATTTAGTATTATCAAAGCACTAACCTAAGCAATTCTTATTTCAACAGAAATTACAGGTAAATTATAAACAGATATTAAAATGCTTTGCAGACTGGGCACACTCATTCACGCCTATAATCCCTGCACTTTGGTAGGCCGAGGTGGGCAGATCACCTGAGGTCAGGAGTTCAAGACCAGCCTGGCTAACATGGTGAAACCCCCATCTCTACTAAAAATATAAAAATTAGCTGGGTGTGGTAGCACACGTCTGTAATCCCGGCTACTTGGGAGGCTGAGGCAAGGGAATCACTTGGACCAGCCTGGCCAATATGGTGAAACCCCGTCTCTACTAAAAATACAAAAAAAATTAGCCAGTGTGGTGGCACATGCCTGTAATCCCAGCTACTTGGGAGGCTGAGGCAGGAGAATTGCTTGAACCTGGGAGGTGGAGGTTGCAGTGAGCCGAGATCGTGCCACTGCAGTCCAGCCTGGGCAACAGAGCGAGACTCCTTCTCAGACAACAACAACAAAATGCTTTGGAAATACACTTCACATTATTTGGTTCCTTTTAGAGATAGGGTCTCACTGTGTTGCCCAGGCCGGAATCAAAGTTCTGTGCTTAAGTGATCCTCCTGACTGAGTTTCTTGAGTAGTTGGGACTATAGGTGTACACCACCACCACTCTGGCTCAGGATTTTTTTTTAAAAAATAGTATACCCTTCTTCTTTGGGCCTCTTACTTGTAAAAGTGGGCCAGATTTTAGCTTTTCAAACTTTAATGTGCATGAAGATCACGAGTATCATTAAAATGCAGATTTTTGCTTCAGTGGGAATCTGAATTTCCAGCAAGCTTCCTGATAATGCTGATTCATATAGTCTACCAAACATTCTTTGAATAGCAAGGAGCTAGTTGGTTTCTATTTCTCTATGTGTTCAACATAGAATTTAGTAATATCTAGTCAGGGCTCAGTGTTACATGCCTGTAGTGCCAGCTACTTGAGGGGCTGAAGTAGGAGGATTGCTGGAGCCCAGGAGTTCAAGTCCAGCCTCGGCAACATAGGGAGACCCTGTCTCTTGCGGGGGTAAAAAAATCAGCAAAATCTTACTAATGCCAATTGTTGTAGTGAGACAAGGGATAAAAATGAAGCTCATCTTTTATTTAGTCAAGACTTTTTGGTTGAAAGGAATAGACATCAGTTTAAACTAGGAAAAAAGGAAGATTGTTAAAACAAGAGAAAAATAATGCCGGGCGCTATGGCTCACGCCTGTAATCCCAGCACTTTGGGAGGCCGAGGCGGGTGGATCACAAGATCAGGAGATAAGACCATCCTGGCTAACATGGTGAAACCCCATCCCTACTAAAAATACAAAAAAAAATTAGCCGGGCATCGTGGCAGGTGTCTGTAGTTCTAGCTACTCGGGAGGCTGAGGCAGGAGAATGGCGTGAACCCGGGAGGCGGAGGTTGCAGTGAGCTGAGATTGTGCCACTGCACTCCAGCCTGGGCGACTGAGCAGGACTCCGTCTCAAAAAAAAAAAAAAAAACCGAGAAAAATAATATAAGAGAGAATCTCAACTGGCATTTATGAGCAAGAAATAGAGCTAGGCATTGGGGAAGTGGAACGTTAGAAATCAGCAAGTAGCTTAGCTATATTTCCCAATTCTGCTTCTCTGGGTTTCTGTTCCAACCTTTCTTGTTTTCTGATACATGTCTTCGGCGTACCACTTTGGCTTACTGTGTCCTCCACCATTTAACCTTTTAGCTCCAAGTCCCACTATCGCTTGACAACCAGTATCTCTTTTAGTTCAAATTATCAAGAGAAAATCTGGTCAGCCAGTAATGATTTGTTACTACTTGGGTGAGGTGTCCAACCCTGGGCCAGACAGTTTTCTGGGTTTGGGAGGGTAGAATGTTAGAATAGGGGCTACTGAGATTGGCCCCCTTATGGGACAGGGGAAGGGTGTTAATTCAAGAGAAGGGAGATGGGGCAGAGCAGCAATGACAGCTGTCTAATACACATTTGTAAACTTTTATGAAGAAGGATTTGCTAAAGAGAGTATAGGCAGTTCAGTACTTTTAGGATACTTCATAAACGCGTGTTTGAAAGCCACCTGTGCAATAGTTGAATCCATTCTAAGGGAACTAAAAATAATAAATCTGAATTATAGTATACATTTTTTTTAGGCTGGGGTGCAGTGGTGCGATCTTGGCTCACTGCAAGCTCCGCCTCCCAGGTTCATGCCATTCTCCTGCCCCAGCCTCCCAAGTAGCTGGGACTACAGGCGCCCACCACCATGCCCAGCTAATTTTTTGTATTTTTAGTAGAGATGGGGGTTCACCGTGTTAGCCAGGATGGTCTCAATCTCCTGACCTTGTGATCCGCCCACCTCGGCCTCCCAAAGTGCTGGGATTACAGGCGTGGGCCATCATGCCGGGCCATATAGTATACATATTTTTAAATACTCTTGAGTATTATCAGTGTATACAAGGGATAATGGTAAAATAAAAATTGAGTCACCCACTCCTACCTCTTCCCCAGTGAGTGCAATGTAAAGTTGTCCTGGCCTTCGCGCTATTGACCAGTTCCTGGGAAAACAGTCCCGTACTTTCTTCTGCTTACTGCTTCTGGAATCTCATTCCATACTTTTATTGTTAATATAATTTTTTTTTTTTTGAGACGGAATCTTGCTTTGTCGCCCAGGCTGTAGTGCAGTGGTGCGATCTCAGCACACTGCAAGCTCTGCCTCCCGGGTTCACACCATTCTCCTGCCTCAGCCTCCCGAGTAGCTGGGACTACAGGCGCCTGCCACCATGCCCAGCTAATTTTTTGTATTTTTAGTAGAGACGGGGTTTCACCATGTTAGCCAGGATGGTCTCGATCTCCTGACCTCATGATCTGCCCGCTTCGGCCTCCCAAAGTGCTGGGATTACAGGCGTGAGCCACCGCGCCTGGCCTCGTTCATATAATTTTTTAAGCTAATACTGAGATTACCTTTTGAGGGACTATAAATATTCTCCCATTGTTGGAGTTGCAGAGGTACCCAAAACATTTGAGATTCAAGTTTATATTCCGATGCATTTGGTATAAAGAGAAAGTATAACATTTCACCAGTTGCATTTGTGAATATTTATGTTCTTAAAACAGGTGAAGTAATTGCCAAATTACCTCATTTTTCCAAAGGGGCCATTTTGTCTATGCTGTTGGCTCCCAGTATAGAAATATGAAATTGACAGTATGATAAAATTTAGAGCATTTAGAACAATGTTCTTTTTTTCCCCTTTGGCTTATCAATAAACCAATGCTACAGAGTCTGGTGTTCTGCTTTTTCATACTTCTAAAATGGATATATCCCCCCAAAGTAATATATCCAGTTATTAAACTTCAAGTACTGTACAGTGCTTAAATATAATTAATTATTGTTTTTATTTTTTTAGACGAAGTTTTGCTCTTGTTGCCCAGGCTGGAGTGCAATGGCTCTATCTCCACTCACCGCAACCTCTACCTCCCAAATTTAAGTGATTCTCCTGCCTCAGCCTCCCGAATAGCTGGGATTACAGGCATGCACCACCATGCCCAGCTAATTTTGTATTTTTAGTAGAGACGGAGTTTCTCCATGTTGGTGAGGTTGGTCTCGAACTCCCAACCTCAAGTGATCTACCTGCCTCGGCTTCCCAAAGTGCTGGGATTACAGGCGTGAGTCACTGTGCCCGGCCCAGTGCTTAAATTTAATGTCACATCATTTTAGGCAAAAGCACACGCCATTTTCTGGAAGGAAAGCATGTACAGAAATTATTTGCTAGCATGTCTTCCTTTATATTTATCTTAATTATACTTTCTTTTTTCTTCCAGAAAAATCCTGGGTAGAAGCTGGATCAGCAAGAATGTCACTCCTTATATTGGTGTCCATTTTCTTATCTGCAGCTTTTGTTATGTTTTTGGTATATAAAAATTTTCCTCAGCTTAGTGAGTAAGTATACTGAGAGATAAACTGAAAATGTATAGATATTTATAAGATGAAAGTGGATTAAGGCCAAGTGCAGTAGCTGATGCCTGTAATCTCAACACTTTGGGAGGCCGAGGTGGGTGGATTGGTTGAGTCCAGGAGTGCGAGACCAGCCTGGGCAACACGGCAAAACCCATGTGGAAATACATACATCTATATGTGTGTGTGTATATGTATATTTAATATATTTATATACACACACGTGTGTGTGTGTGTGTGTGTATGTATGTATATATACTTTCTTTTTTTTTTTTTTTTTTTTTTTGAGACAGAGTCTTGCCCTGTCACCCAGGCTGGAATGCAGTGGCGTGATCTCAGCTCACTGTATAAGCCCTGCTTCCCAGGTTCAAGCAGTTCTCCTGCCTCAGCCTCTCGAGTAGCTGGGATTATAGGGGTGGGCCACCACACCCAGCTAATTTTTGTATTTTTAGTAGAGACGGGGTTTCACCATGTTGGCCAGGCTGGTCTTGAACTCCTGACCTCAGGTGATCCACCTGCCTCGGCCTCCCAAAGTGCTGGGATTATAGGCTTGAGCCACTGTGCCCAGCCTGGAAATATATTTTAGAAGGGCAAAATATCCCAGAGCTATTAAACCCTAGTAATACCACCCTGGTATAATCATAGATTATATGAAGGACTACTAAGATGTAGTTAGACTTTCAACCAGGGCCAGCCTGATGTGGTAATGGAGAACTGTGAAATGTGATATCAAAGTATCAGGAAGGTCATGTTTTCTCCAAATTGCCTTCCTTCACAATTTTTTTTTTTTTTTCTTCATTTGAGATAGTTTCACTCTATCGCCCAGGCTGGAGTAAGTGGTGTTGATTTTGGCTTACTGTGATCTCTGCCTCCTCTCCTGAGTTGAAGGATTTTTGTGCCTCAGTCCCCTGAGTAGTTGGGATTATAGATGTGTGCCACCACGGCTGGCTAATTTTTGTATTTTTAGTAGAGATGGGGTTTTAAACCTGTTGGCCAGGCTGGTCCCAAACTCCTGGCCTCAAGTGATCTGCCCACCTTGTCCTCCCAAAGTACTAGGATTACAGGCGTGAGCCACTGTGCCCAGCCCACAATTTTTTTTTTTTTTTTTTGAGACTGAGTTTTGAGATAGTTGCCCAGGCTGGAGTGCAATGGTGCCATCTCAGCCCACTGCAACCTCCACCTCCTGGGTTCAAGCGATTCTCCTGCCTCAGTCTCACGAGTAGCTGGAATTACAGGTGTGCACCACCACACCCGGCTAATTTTTGTATTTTTAGTAGAGATGCGGTTTTGCCATGTTGGCCAAGCTGGTCTTGAACTCCTGGCCTCATGTGATCTGCCCACCTTGACCTCCCAAAGTGCTGGGATTACAGGCATGAGCCACTGTGCCCAGCCTAGAGTCTTTTTAGTTTTATAAATTTCATAAGTAGGAACCTTTAGTTTACTGGGTATCTTACTGGACTTGAGAAAGAGGGGCTCACACCTCTTTTTTTTTTTTTTTTTTTTTTGAGGCAGGGTCTTGCTCTGTTACCCAGGCTGAAGTGTAGTGGCACAGTTATGGCTCACTGCAGCCTCAACCTCCTGGGCTGAAATGATCCCCTACCTCAGTTTCCCGAGTAGGTAGGAGTACAGGCATGCACCACTATGCTCTGCTAGTTCTTTAATTTTTTGTAGAGACAGGGTGGGTGCTGGGATTACAGGTGTGAGCCACTGTTCCCAGCCATAGGTCAGTTAAATTTTTTTTGTCATGTAAACAAATGAGGACTCAGGCCTTTAGTCCTAGCACTTTGGGAGGATCACTTGAATCCAGGAGTTTGAGAACAGCCTGGGTCACATAGCGAGACCCCATCTGTATAAAAAACTTTATTTATTTATTTTTTTGAGACAGAGTCTCACTCTGTCGCCCAGGCTGGAGTGCCGTGGTGCAATCTTGGCTTACTGCAGCCCCCACCTCCCAGTTCAAGCGATTCTCCTGCCTCAGGCTCCCAAGTAGTTGGGACTGTAGATGTATGCCACCATGCCCAGCTAATTTTTGTATTTTTAGTAGAGATGGGGTTTCACTGTGCTGCCCAGGCTGATCTTGAACTCCTGACCTCGTGATCCACCCATCTCGGCCTGCCAAAGTGCTGGGATTACAGGCCTAGGCCACTGCGCCCAGCCTATAAAAAATTTTGAAATTAGCAGAGCGGCCTGGCGCGGTGGCTCATGCCTGTAACCCCAGTACTTTGGGAGGCCAAGGTGGGCGGATCACGTGAGGTCAGGAGTTTGAGACCAGACTGGCTAACGTGGAGAAACCCCATCTCTACTAAAAATAAAAAAATTAGCTGGGCGTGGTGGCGGGCGCCCGTAGTCCCAGCTACTTGGGAGGCCGAGGCAGGAGAATGGCGTGAACCTGGGAGGCGGAGCTTGCAGTGGGCCGAGATCACGCCACTGCACTCCAACCTGGGCGACAGAGCAGGACTCTATCTAAAAAAAACAACAACTAGCAGAGCATAGTGGCACGTGCCTGCAGTCCCAGCTACTCAGTAGTCTGAGGTGGGAGGATCACTTGAACCTAGGAGATGGAGGTAATATTGAGCTATGATCGTGCCATTGCACTCCATCCAGCCTGGGTGACAGAGCATGGGAGCCTGCCTATAGAACAAACAAAAAAAAAGAAATGATCATAATATGCATGAAACACAAAGGTGATTATTCGAGGCTTTCCTAAGCAAGAAATCATTCAGTTCCAAACAAAGTGCCAAATATAGAGTAAAAGTACTGGAAAACTTGCAGTTTTTTGTGGACTTTGATCTGTGGTATTCAAGAAAATGTTTGAACTGTGAATTTGTTACATTTTTACTTAATTTTCATTGTAAATTATTATTTAGTTTATCATCAGGATTACCCAAAATGATGTTAAATGTTTTTAATTTACTAACATCAGTGGTTCTTTTTTTCTTTCTTTCTTTTTTTTTTTTTTTTTTTTGAGACGGAGTCTCTGTTGCCCAGGCTGGAGGCTCACTGCAGCCTCTGCCTCCCGGGTTCAAGTGATTGTCCTGCCCCAGCCTCCTGAGTAGCTGGGATTACAGGCATGCACCACCATGCCCAGCTAATTTTTGTATTTTTAGTAGAGACGGGGTTTCAACACGTTTGCCAGGCTGGTCTCGAACTCCTCATGTCAGGCGATCCACCCGCCTCGGCTTCCCAAAGTGCTGGGGTTACAGGCGTGAGCCACCATGTGCCTGGCCAGTGGTTCATTTCTTATATTCAAGTTAAAATTTGTTTCGATGTTGGAACAAATGCCTTTAACCCTTGGTTTGCGTCATCCAGAGCCTTCATATATAAATTACCTGTCTCTGATTCTGCTGAGACATTAAAAAGAAAAAATTGCCTGTCTCATGAAATTATATTAAAGCATTAAAAAATAATTTATAGCCGGGCATGGTGGCTTACTCCTGTAATCCCAGCACGTTGGGAGGCCAAGGCGGGTGGATCACCTAAGGTCAGGAATTTGAGACCAGCCTGGCCAACATGGTGAAACCCCGTCTCTACTAAAAATACAAAAATTAGTCAGGCATGGTGGGACGTGCCTGTAATCCCAGCTACTTGGGAGACTGAGGCAGGAAACTCACCTGAATCCAGGAGGTGGAGGTTGCACTGAGCCGAGATCGCGCCAATGCACTCCAGCCTGGGCAACAGAGTGAGACTGTGTCAAAAAAAATAATAAAAATAAAATGAAATTAATAATAATTTATAGGCCAGGTGCGGTTGCTCACTCCTGTAATCCCAGCACTTTGGGAGGCCGAGGCAGGAGGATCATTTGAGCACAGGAGTTTGAGACCAGCCTGGCAACATGGTGAAACTCCCTCTCTACTAAAAATACAAAAGTTAGCTGGGCATGGTGGTGCACGCCTGTGATCCCAGCTTCTCAGAAGGCTGAGGCAGGAGAATCGTTTGTACCTGGGAGGCAGAGATTGCCGTGAGCTGAGATTCCACCACTGCACTGCAGCCTGGGCAACAGAGCAAGACTCTATGTCTCAAAACAAAAGAAAAATTATAAACTTTTAAACTTAAACATTGCTAATTTAGACTTAATAGATCAAGGCATGAAATCATTTTGGATAAAACTTCATGTTGTGAACTTGACTTTGATATTATCTTGGCAAAATTCTGTTCTAAAATTTTTCACTTTATTTCTTCAGAGAAGAAAGAGTGAATATGAAGGTTCCCAGAGATATGGATGATGCCAAGGCTCTAGGAAAAGTTTTATCCAAATACAAGGACACCTTTTATGTTCAAGTACTTGTAGCTTATTTTGCTACATATATTTTGTATCCTTTTAACTGAAAAAATGTTTTCTAATTTTGTTCAAGAAAAAGTGTAAAAGGTCTGCTCTTCATTTATACATAACTATTTTCCTTTTAAAATTTGTTATTGCAGTGTGACAATATTAAATAATTGAAAAATTAAAATGGAAAAAAATTATCACTTTAATCCTATTTGCTGAACTAATTGTTTTTATGTCTGAATATTTATTAGAAGTTCTTTTGTATTCTGCTTTTTTCACTTACCAAACATTTTCCTTTATTGCATATTATTAAGATGTTTATTTTATGGGTTTGATTTATAATTGTATTCATTAACTGATGATACTAGTTTATATAATTATTTTGAATTAGTAGTCACCATAGTATTTTTATAATTGTTCTGTTAGGTTTGGAGGTATAATTTGTTGTTAATTTTTATAGATATGTATTATGAATCTCCTTTGTTCATGTTTTTTTCTTGCATTGTTTCTTTTGTAAAAATTCTTAAGATACTTATTCAAAGGAATGAATGTTTTTTACAATTTTTGATATATATTTTATAGAAATATATTACATTTTAACTAGTCAGGAAAATAGCTTTATTTCAAACTGCTTAGCTGTGGGTGCTTAATTTTGCATATTGTGGAGTTTAATTTTCATTTCTGATTTGTTAATATCTTTTATTCTTATCCAAACTGTTTTCCAGATCTTCTCAGTTAATGAAAGACGTAATTTACTTCTTGATGTTGTAAAAGTAATCATCCTTTTTAAACCAACTTTTTTTTTTTTTTTTTGAGATGGAGTTTTGCTCTTGTTACACAGGCTGGAGGCACAATCTCTGGTCACTGCAACCTCCACCTCCTAGGTTCAAGCGATTCTCCAGTCTCAGCCTCCCAAGTAGCTGGGATTGCAGGCGCCTGCCGCCATACTTGGTTAATTTTTGTATTTTCAGTAGAGACGGAGTTTCACCATGTTGGCCAGGGTCGTCTGGAACCCCTGACCTCAGGTGATCTGCCCATCTCAGCCTCCCAAAGTGCTGGGATTACAGGTGAGAGCCACTGTGCCCGGCTTTTTTTTTTTTTTTTTTTTTTTTTTTTTTTTTGAGACAGGTTCTCCCCCTGTCACCCAGGCTGGAGTGCAGTGGCATGATCATGGCTCACTGCAGCCTCAGCCTCCTGGGCTCAAGTGATCCTCCCACCTCAGCCTCCCGAGTAGCTGGAACCACAGGCACACCCAGTTAAATTTGGGATTTATTTGTAGATGCCAGGTTTTGCTATGTTGTCTGGGCTGGTGTTGAACTCCTGAGCTCCTCAGCCTCCCAAAGTGCTGGGATTTCAGTCATGAGCCGCCACGCCTGACAACACTGGGATATTATATAGCTATTTAAAAAGAATCAGAAGTAGCCAGGTATGGTGGCTCATGCCTGCAACACCAGCACTTTGGGAGCCCGAGGCGGGTGAATCACGTGAGGTCAGGGGTTCAGACCAGCCTGGCCAACATAGTGAAACGCCATCTTTACTAAAAATACAAAAATTAGCTGGGCGTGGTGATTGCATGCCTGTAATCCCAACTACTCAGGAGGCTGAGGCAGGAGGATCACCTGAACCCAGGAGGTGGAGGTTGCAGTGAGCTGAGATCGTGCCACTGCACTCCAGCCTTGGTGACAGCAAGATTCCATCCCCAAAAAATAAAAATAACAAAAATAAAAAGAATCAGAAGTATCCATATGTTGTTGAGGTATTAACTCACAATATACAGATAAGTGAAAGAACAAAGGGCAAAATAGTACACAAATATGCTGTGTTTTATCTAAGAAGGGGATAATATGAGTACACTCATATACATAAGTATCTTGTTATATTTTTCTTAAAAAACTAATTGGCCGGGTGTAGTGGCTCATTCCTGTAATCCCAGCACTTTGGGAGGCTTCAGCAGGAGGATTGCGTGAGGCCAGTGGTTCGAGACTGGCTTGGGCAATGTAGCTAGACCCAGTTTCTACGAGAAATACAAAAATTAGCTGGATGTCTTGGTACATGCCTGTAGTCCTAGCTACTTGGGAGGCTGAGGTGGGAAGATCACCTGAGCCCAGGGAAGTTGAGGCTACAGCGAAGCATTTAGCCTCTGCACTCCAGCCTAGGTGACAGTGAGACTGTATCTCAAATAAATAAACCAGTAAAAATGTTTACCTGTAGGGAGAGAGATAAAATGGTAGGACTGAAACTTTTCTTAGCGTAGGTTTGACTTGAGAACCAAGTAAATGTTTTACATAATTACAAAATCAAAATGAAAAAAGAGAATAGCAGGAATCTTAAGAATCAAAAGCAACCTCACACTCATTAGGATGGCTATCATGAAAATAACAAGTGTTGGCAAGGATGTGGAGAAATTGGAACTCTTGAGCACTGTTGGTGGGAATGCAAAATGATGCAGCTACTATGGAAAATAGTATGGCAGTTCCTCAAAAATTAAGAATAGTATTATCAGGGCCGGGTGTGGTGGCTCACACCTATAATCCCAGCACTTTGGGAGACCGAGGCAGGCTGATCACCTGAGTTTGGGAGTTCAAGACCAGCCTGACCAACATGAAGAAATCCCGTCTCTTCATGTATTTTTTTGTAGCGATGGGATTTCATCATGTTGCCCAGGCTGGTCTCGAACTGGAACTCTTGGGCTCAAGTGATCCTCCCACCTCAGCCTCCCAAGGTGCTGGGATTACAGGTGTGAGTCACCAGGCCTAGCCAAAAATCTTAAAACTGTTTTTAGTCATCATATTGTTAGTAGTAATAATGTTGTAAAATATTTAAATATGTGGAAACGTTTTAGATTATTAATACTAATGCATAGTATATATTTTATACATTTACTTTATGTTTCATAGTATATAAAGCACAAATAGGCAACTATGTTGGTGTTATCAAGAACCAAGATTTTTCAGTGTAAGAGAAGAGAAATCTAAACAAAGTTAAGCTCAAGTCACATTCCCATTTAAAAGGAAGCATAGTTTTGACTACTAGTATAAGATAAAGGATAGAACATAAACTACCCTAAGTATCCAATAGGCAAAATTCAATAAATGGTAAATTCTACAAATGATCTGGTTTCTTCAGTAAATTGAAAGAAAGAAAAAATAAAGACCCTATGCTTAAGTGATCCTTTGAGCAAATACTTTGTGTGGACTTCTAGATTCTGATCAGACTAGTCTTTAGGACAATAAGGAATTATAGTTAATTTCTTGAAGTCTGACAATGGTATCATATTTATGTTAAAAAGAAAAGGAGGCCAGGCACGGTGGCTAACACCTATAATTCCAGTACTTTGGGAGGCCGAGGCAGGTGGATCACGAGGTCTGGAGTTCAAGACCAACCTGACCAAGATGGTGAAACCCTGTCTCTACTAAAAATACAAAAATTAGCCAGTTATGGTGGCAGGCGTCTGTGATTCCAACTACTTGGGAGGCTGAGGCAGAGAATTGCTTGAACCTGGGATGCGGAGAATGCAGTGAGCTGAGATCACGCCACTGCCCTCCAGCCTGGACGACAGAGCGAGACTCCTACCACAAAAACGAAAGGAAAAAAAAAGGAATTGGCCGGGCGTGGTGGCCACACCTGTAATCCCAGCACTTTGGGAGGCCAAGCGGGGTGGATCACGAGATCGGGAGATGGAGACTATCCTGGCCAACATGGTGAAACCTGTCTGTACTAAAAATAAAAAAAATTAGCTGGGCGCGATGGCACACGCTTGTAATCCAAGCTACTCGGGAGGCTGAGGCAGGAGAATCGCTTGAACCTGGGAGGCAGGGGTTGCAGTGAGCCAAGATCATGCCACTGCACTCCAGCCTGGCGACAGAGCGAGACTCAGTCTCAAAAAAAAATTTATTTTTATTATTATTATAATTTTTTTGAGATGGGAGTCTCACTCTGTTTCCCAGGCTGGAGTGTAGCGACGCGATCTCGGCCCACTGCAACCTCCGCTGCCCGAGTTCAAGCAATTCTCCTGCTTCAGCTTGCCAAGTAGCTGAGATTACAGGCACCTGCCACTGCGCCCGGCTAATTTTTTGTATTCTTTGAACTCCTGACCTCATGATCCACCTGCCTTGGCCTCCCAAAGTGTTGGGATTTACAGGTATGAGCCACCGCGCCCAGCCTTATTTTTATTTTTATTTTTTTTGAGACAGAGTCTCACTCTATTTCCCAGGCCAGAGGTCAGTGGCATGATCTCGGCTCACTACAACGTCTGCCCTCTGGGTTCAAGAGATTCTCGTTTCCCAGCCTCCTGAGTACCTGGCATTACAGGCATGAGCCACTGTGACTGGCCAATTTTTGTATTTTTATTAAAGACAGGGTTTCATCGTGTTGGCCAGGCTGTTCTTCAACTCCTAGTCTCAAGTGATCCACCCTCAGCTGCCTAAAGTATTGGGATTACAGGCGGGAGCCACGGTGCCCAGCCTGAAATATGTTAATATAGGGCATCATAACACTAGTTTCTCTACTTTGTTTTTTTTTCCCCAATTTCAGCTGTAATTTTAGGTTTCCTTTTCAGAGAAGTAGGAATTGCACCAAATTTTGGGAAAGGAAAAAATACAGTTGCGTTAAACAACAAAAACAACAAAACACTTCCTGGGAACTTGTCCTCATTTATTTCTGCTTCTCTCAATTTCCTCAAGGGAAAATTTCCATTTATCTCCTTTCATCCTTTGGAGTCTTGCTTTCTTTTCTTTCTTTTTTTTTTTTATTATTATACTTTAAGTTCTGGGGTACATGTGCACAGCGTGCAGGTTTGTTACATACGTATATGTGTGCCACGTTGGTTTGCTGTACCCATCAACTTGTCATTTACATTGAGTATTTCTACATTTACATATGTGTGAAACTATCCATAATATGATGTTTTGTTTTGTTTTGTTTTTGAGATGGAGTCTTGCTCTGTTGCCAGGCTGGCTTGCAGTGGCGAGATCTCGGCTCACTGCAATCTCCTGCTTCCTGGGTTCAAGCGATTCCCCTGCCTTGGCTTCCCGAGTAGCTGGGACTACAGGTGCCCACCACCACGCCCGGCTAGTTTTTTGTATTTTAGTAGAGACGGTTTCACCATGTTGGCCAGGATGGTCTCGATCTCCTGACTTTGTGATCCGCCTGCCTCAGACTCCCTAAGTGCTGGGATTACAGGCATGAGCCACCCCACCCGGTCCATATAGTACAATCTTAACCCAAAAAGTGTGTGTGTTTGTGTGTGTGTGTGTGTGTGTGTTTTGTTTTTGACAGAGACATGTAGGAGACAGGTGGAAAATTTGAGGCTGATGAACCAAAGAGAATTTCGAGTTTTTAGTACTATATGTGGTTGATACTTGAAGCCATGGAAATTGCCAAATTTATCAAAGAAAAGGGATTGTGTGGCCAACAGAATGTTAGAGAAATTTCAAGAGTTGAGGGCAAAGAGAAAAATCTAGAGAAGAAATTACCTGTAATGTAGAAGAAAAAGTACAGTTCACTGAAGCCATGTTTCATGCAGGATGAAGTCTAATCCTATGCAGGGATCACTGAAAGGTGACTATTGAGAAAAAGTTATTATTGGCTGTGAGGAAGTTTCAATAGCATAGTGGAATAGTAAAGCAGGTCACAGGGAACGAGGAGAGAATCTCCTCTGAGGAAGTGAAGATGAGCGGTAGCTGGATAGGATACCCTGGTTGAGGTTGTTTTTTAAGTTATAGACAACTGAGTAGTTTTGTAGAGGAGGCATCCTGTGAAAGAGAACAGAGTTGAAGGTGAAAAAACCCAGGAGGAAGGAGGAGGAGATTGAAATGAGAACATGAGTAAAATGGGAACTAGAGAAAAAGGAATAGTTAATGAGTGAGGATAGATGGAGAGATGTTGAGGGAATTCACTTTGACTTGTGAGTAAATCATATTAGAGGGGAAAAAGGTTCAGATCCAAACTGGGAACGACAGGAAAGTAAAAAAAAAAAAAAATCTATTTTAAAAACAAGATTTGTGGCCCGGGTGTAGTCGCTCATATCTGTAACCTCAACACTTTGGGAGTCCATTGTGGGAGGATCGTTTGAGCCCAGGAGTTCAAGACTAGCCTGGGCAACTCAGCCAGACCTCATCTCTACAAATAATAAAAATTGGTGTGGTGACACACGTCCGTGATCCCAACTACTTGCAAGGCTGAAGTGGGAGAATTGCTTGAGCTTGGGCATTTGAGGCTGCAGTGAGCCATGAGTGCGCCACTGCGTTCCAGCCTGGGTGACAAAGCAAGACCCCTTCTCAAATAAGATTTGTGACTTTTACTATATTTTGTAATTTCTATTCTTATTTTTCTTATTTTCTTTTATTCTCTTGTAGTTCCTATTCCTTTAAAATGAGTAGTGAATTTAGGTAAACCTTCATAGTTAAATTAGAAATAATTGTATGTACATGATTTCCCTGAAAACATTTGGGAGTAAAATAAAATGTATTAGAGAAGCACTAAAAGATTACGGAAGACCTTTTCTTTTTTCTTTTGTTCCTCCCCCAAAGTGCCCGGTTCCTCTCTATCTAGAACATACGGTTTTTTGTCTTGGAAACCTTTTAGTAGCACACACTTACTAGTATTTATGATACTGTTTAGTAAATGGTCAACTTAGAGGCTAGACCTTTGGATATAATCTCATTGTATGATAATTTTTGTATTTATACTTTTTTCCTGAAATGTTACATTTGTCTTTTAAAATTCTACTTAATTATATTCTAATCCTTAACTTAAAAGTTACCAGCTTGCAAACATTTGCTATTCCAGGCTCTATATTTCTCAGTATACTCTCAGGGTTTCTTTATCCCTTTCCACTAGCCTTATTTCTTGTTTGTTTGGTAAGTATGAAAAAATAAAATTGGGAGACTGAAAAAACAATAGAATGATGAGGATGATGATGATACTTTAACCCTACTAGTCTATGTAAGCATAAACTCATTAATTGAAGAGGAGTTAATGTTAAAGTCCCTCCACAAGGAGGTGTTATAATTTGTTTTTCCCCCAGAACAGACCAATTATAGACTTAGTTGCATTTATAAGCTATGTTTTAGCTTTTCTTTCCTATTGGATTTTGTAACTGCGACAGTCCAAGGAGTGTTGGTGAGCACAATGAGTTAAGTCCCAGAGCCAGAGGTGGTGTTTTCAAGCTTAGGAACTGGGGGGGTCGGGGGTAGGGTCGGGGGGAGGTGGAAATTGGCTCCTGAAATTTTATTCTTAGGCTAAAGCCTAGCATTAATTATTTGGATATAGTCACTAGGTGTAATCACAAGTGCCAGTTTGTTTTAGCTGATCTCATTTGAGGTACATTTTGGTCTGAGAAAGTACTAGATCATCTCTGCACAAGAGATGTCATGCAGAGTACCCTCCCCACCTCTGAAAGAAGTAAATTAATTGAGCTTTTTACTCAGGTGAATAAATCAATGTGAGTAAGACGGAAAAATACAAAACGCTTATGGCTTCTTTTGTTTTCCAGTGTTCTGGACTTGGTGCCTCTTTCTGTTATATGCTTTCCTATTTAGTTGGGAGACCAGTTGTATACAAATACCTAACAGAGAAAGCAGTAAAATGGTCACAGCAGGTAAACATGTATTTTTAAATTATTTGATGTAACTCTTTGTTAATTGGAAGGTCTGTGTTTAGTCCCTACATGAATTAACTACATGTATTAACCCAACATAAATTAATTCCTAAGTTAACTCAAGTAATAAGAATTATCTTCTGACCAAATAAAAATGGGTGGTAGGCAAATATGAATGTTAATAATTTCAAATACAAATGTTTCAGACCTGTGATGGTAATTTTAATTCTTTATCTTAGTAAATTTAATCAGCAGAGAAGTCAGTGTGAATATAAAGGCATCCACATAATTAGATACCTATCTGTTTTATGTTAATGCAGTATTGTGTGCATCTGTTATGGAAACACTTGTATCAGCCAACTCCCAGTGCATTTTTTTCTTTTCTTTTTTTGAGACGGAGTCTTACTCTGTCACCCAGGCTGGAGTGCAGTGGCATGACCTCGGCTCACTGCAACCTCTGCCTCCTCGGTTCAAGCATTTCTCCTGCCTGCCTCAGCCTCCCAAGTAGCTGGGATTATAGGTACATGCCACCACGCCTGGCTAATTTTTTGTATTTTTAGTAGAGACAGGGTTTTACCATGTTGGCCAGGCTGGTCTCGAACTCCAGACCTCAGGTGACCCACCTGCCTCAACCTCCCAAAGTGCTGGGATTATAGGCATGAGTCACCACTGGCCTTTTTTGATGATTTCTTTTCTTTTTTGAGTCAGAGTTTCGCTCTTGTTGCCCAAGCTGAAGTGCAGTGGCGTGATCTTGGCTCATTGCAACCTCTGCCTCCCGGGTTCAAGCGATTCTCCTGCCTCAGCCTCCCAAGTAGCTAGGATTTCAGGCACATGCCACCATGCCCGGCTAATTTTTTGTATTTTTAGTAGAAACGGGTTTCACCATGTTAGCCAGGCTGTTCTCGAACTCCTGACCTCAGGTGATCCGCCTGCCTCAGCCTCCCAAAGTGCTGGGATTACAGGCATGAACCACCTCGCCAGCCTGATCATTTCTATTGGGTATACTCTGAAGTATCAGGAATGAGAATTTGAAATAAGGTGTTTATATTAAGCAACTTATTTTGAAGTTGTCCTCATCTGATGCTAATTCTTTTCTTTCTTATGACAGGTTGAACGTCATAGAGAACATCTCATTAACTACATTATATTTTTGAGAATAACACCATTTCTGCCTAATTGGTTTATTAATATCACATCTCCTGTGATAAACGTGCCATTGAAAGTTTTTTTTATTGGTACTTTTCTAGGTAAGCCCTCTGGTTCTTGCTGTGTATGAGCTCACTGTGTACATATCTAACAGTGTCCAGCTGGGCTAGATTACATGCATGCTCTCTGCAGATTATGCCAGCACCATCTAGAATTCTTGGGCACAAAGCCTGGCTGTATAAATAGATGCTCAGAAGTGTTTGTTGAATTGTGTTGATTTAGGTTATTTTTGTGTCGCCTCTTTAAAGAAGAACACTTTCTACTGTATATCGTTTTAATGATATAGGGTTAAGCAGGACTTCCAGTCCCTCTAAGTGGAGAGGAAAAAAAATCAAATTGCCTTTTTTGAGCAATTTTCTCCTATGTCCCTTCCCCTTCCTCTTCCCTGAGTCTCGATCTGTCGCCCAGGCTGGAGTACAGTGGCATGATCTCGGCTCACTGCAATCTCCGCCTCCCGGGTTCAAGCGATTCTCCTGCCTCAGCCTCCCAAGGAGCTGGTACTGCAGGCACACGCCACCACGTCTGGCTAATTTTTGTATTATTAGTAGAAATGGGGTTTCACCATGTTGGCCAGGCTGGTCTCGAATTCCTGTCCTCATGGTCCACCTACCTCAGCCTCCCAAAGTGCTGGGATTATAGGCGTGAGCCACCGCACCCAGCCCTTTCTTTTTTTTTTTTTTTTTGTAAATGTTGCTTTGGCAAAATAGCTCCTTTGTTTTCTAATCAAGTATTAAAATGTTGAACTTGAATTTTCAGTAGAGAATTGATCCTATTTTTCCTTTTACTGAAACCAGCTTTTATCGCGGATGTTATCAAAAGTATGGAAAAAGCAAGGATCAACAAACTTTCTTGCTTTTAAGGAAATAATACTTGATTTTGAAATTAATCAGTGGACATGAAAATTACTTACATATTTTGTGAATTCTCATGATTCTTTGTAGGAATGTTTTGCTCTTCTTTCCAGTTCGAGTTGAATTGTTTAGAAGTCAAAAATACGAGCAGATTTCTTACATATTGAATACCTATTAAAGCTTAAGTTAATACTTGTGAGAATATGTCTTTTTGAAAAGAATAACCAAAATCAATTATTTATTGCTACTTTAAAAAAAAATTAGCCGGGCGCGGTGGTTCACGCCTATAATCCCAGCACTTTGGTAGGCCAAGGCGGGTGGATCACAAGGTCAAGAGTTCGAGACCAGCCTGGCCAATATGGTAAAACCCTGTCTCTACTAAAAATTCAAAAATTAGCTGAATGTGGTGGCAGGTGCCTGTAGTCTCAGCTACTCAGGAGGCTGAGGCAGGAGAATCACTTGAACCCAGGAGGCAGAGGTTGCAGTGAACCGAGATTGTGCCACTGCACTCCGGCCTGGGCGACAGCAAGACACTGTCTCAAAAAAAAAAAAAAAAGAAAGAAGGAAAGAATGAAAAGAAAAGAAAAAAAAATGGACAAACTTACATCAGCATGGGGAATTTTTAATTTTGTTAAATGTCATATCCATGGAATCTAAAGAGAGAATTTTTGTTTCTATCTCCATTTTATAGGTGAAAGCCAGAGATTTAGTTAATTTCAGCTTTGGCCAAAGTAATTTATTTCCCTTTGTTTTGATTTTTAGTGAAATGTCATCATTCTCTATGTACTTTTGTATACACTGCTCTCTTTACTCACACTTTGAGTATCTTGACCTTGAAATTGCTAGAACAGAGCACGTTTCTTTCTTTTTTTTTCTCTTTTTGAGACAGATTCTCTCTCTGTCGCCCAGGCTGGAGTGCAGTGGCGTGATCTCAGCTCATTGCAACCTCCGCCTCCTGGGTTCAAGTGATTCTTTTGCCTCAGCCTCCCAAGTAGCTGGGATTACAGGTGTGCGCCAACACACCCAGCTAATTTTTGTATTTTTAGTAGAGATGGAGCTTCATCATGTTGGCCAGGCTGGTCTCAAACTCCTGACCTCAGGTGATCTGCCTGCCTTGGCCTCCCAGGGTGCTGGGATTACACGTATGAGCCACTGTGCCGGGCCTGTTTTTTTTTCTTTTAAGGTTTTTGATAGTCTGGGTGTGGTGGCTCACACTTGTAATCCCAGCACTTTGGGAGGCTGAGGCGTGTGAATTGCCTGAGCCTGGGAGTTACAGAGACCAGCCTGGGCAATATGGCAAAACCCCCTCTCTTGACAAAAAATTCAAAAATTTTGCCTGGGTGTGGTGGTACACGCCTGTAGTCCCAGCTGCTCAGAAAGCTGAGGTGGGACAATCACCTGAGCCTCGAGAGACTGAGGCTGCAATGAGTGATGATTGCACCACTGCACTCAAGCCTGTGCGATAGAGTCAAACTCTCGGGGGGAGAAAACAAAAGCATTTTTGATAAATGTAAAACTATTTTCTGGGCCCTTTTCTTGCGTTTTTAAAATTCATTATTCTGGCCAGGTGCAGGGGCTCATGCCTGTAATCCCAGCACTTTGGGAGGCTGAGGTGGGCGGATCATCTGAGGTCGGGAGTTTGAGACCATTCTGACCAACATGGAGAAACCCCATCTCTACTGAAAATACAAAATTAGCCGGGTGTGGTGGCACATGCCTGTAATCCCAGCTACTCGGGAGGCTGAGGCAGGAGAATTGTTTGAACCCGGGAGGCGGAGGTTGCAGTGAGCCAAGATCGCGCCATCGTGTTCCAGCGGGGGCAACAAGAGCGAAACTCCGTCTCAAAAAAAAAAAAAATCATTATCCTTAAGAGGTGATTAGGAAAGATTGAATTCTTTATATGGAAATAAACTTGAGCTTTAAATTCTTAATTTTTTTTCCAAAATGGAAATAGCTGTGTTGTTTTAAGAAACTTTATGCACACAGAACATTTTAATTTTTTAAAAACAATTGCGGTGGTTTTTACTGTATCTTTTTATATTTTATTTCAGGTGTCGCACCTCCTTCTTTTGTAGCCATTAAGGCAGGAACAACACTGTATCAACTTACAACAGCAGGAGAAGCTGTTTCCTGGAACTCAATATTTATTCTGATGATCTTGGCTGTTCTTTCTATTCTGCCAGCCATCTTCCAAAAAAAACTAAAGCAGAAATTTGAGTAAAAATAATCATCTGATTTTTAGTTTTGCTGTCATCACCATCTCAGGATTAACAGGTGCATCCATTTATGTTTTAAAATCACCTCTTCAGTAATTAAACAAGGAATTTGTAAAATAAAATTTCCTATCAGATAGTTAAAGTAATACATTTAAGTGACAAGGGGAGAAGAAAGTAAAAATGGAAATTGGTATACTGTGAAAAGTGCTATCAATAGTTAAGGTAGACATCTTAGACATCTTATAAATTATTATACCAAGGGTAGCTGTAGATAATAGTAGTGTGGTAGGAAATTGTTGATCCAGCTAATTCATTCAATTTAATTGAATATTTTTTATCTTTAATAACTAAAATAGATATTTTTAAATTCTAGATTTTTTAAAGTAGTGTTGCAGGTTTTGTTAATGTTAGGCTTTTTTCAGAGCATAAACTGGAAAACTTAAAAAGAGATTTACATTTTCTTCCTCTTTTTTTTTTTTTTTTTTTTTCTGTTTTGAGACGGAGTCTAGCTCTGCCGCCCAGGCTGGAGTGCAGTGGCGCGATCTCCACTCACTGCAAGCTCCACCTCCTGGGTTCACGCCATTCTCCTGTCTCAGCCTCCTGAGTAGCTGGGACTACAGGCGCCCGCCACCATGCCCAGCTAATTTTTTTGTATTTTTAGTAGAGACGGGGTTTCACCGTGTTAGCCAGGATGGTCTCGATCTCCTGACCTCGTGATCTGCCCGCCTTGGCCTCCCAAAGTGCTGGGATTACAGGCGTGAGCCACCGCGCCTGGCCCATTTTCTTCCTCTTTTGAGGTAATGGATTTGTTTGGAGATGGCATGTTAGTAGACGACTGAATATGGAAAGGATATCAAGTTATCTATTTTGTTAATTTTATTTTTGTTTTTTATCATCTAGATTTTTATCATGGATTAGTCTGAAATTTAAAGTTCTGGCCAGTCGGTTTTCTTTCATCTTGTAGTTTTTACAGTATTTCCACTGTGCATATGCAAAATGGGTATTACATAACTGTATCATATTTGGTATTGATAATTTTTTTTTTTTTTGAGACGGAGTCTTGCTGTTGCCCAGGCTGGAGTGGAGTGCGTGGTGTGATCTCGGCTCACTGCAAACTCCGCCTCCTGGGTTCAAGCGATTCTCCTGGCCCAGCCTCCTGAGTAGCTGGGATTACAGGTGTGTGCCACCGTGCCCAGCTAATTTTTGTGTTTTTAGTAGAGACGGGGTTTCACCATGTTGGCCGGGCTGGTCTTGAACTCCTGACCTCAGGCTATATGCCCACTTCCACCTCCCAAAGTGCTGGGATTACAGGCATGAGCCACTGTGCCCAGCCTGGTATTGATAATTTATATTCAGATAATTTGTTATGGCTCTTTAATATCCCACAAGGGGCTCTAAAAAGCAAACATTCAAGAGTATGTAGTTTTTAGACATTAAGTTAATTATTTTAAACAGTGACAGCAAAACACAAGTGATTAAATATAGTTTATTTGTTCCAATGACTAAATTTTACCTCATTTATTAATCTGGTCATTAAGGAATATATTTAATAATATTATGTAATTATTCTTTTTATGCATGATACACCTAGAAAAATGCCTTTTGTTTCTATTGATGGCTTTGTTGTTTGGAGCTACTTTTGATTACTTATTGCAGTTTCCCAATTTAGTCTTTACTTTATCTAACTCACAAAGTAAAATTAACTGATCACATGGCAACTACTGTATTTAAATAGTTCTGGAAAAATGAAAGTGCTTTTTGCTGCTTGGTAAATGGGTAATGCCCTTGATTCCTTGACTGTAGGACATAGCTGATCTAAAGTACTCTGTCAGTTTTACCTTCACCCATGACTGTTATTAGTTGTCAAAGTTGAAAAGTACTTTAGCTGTGAGAAATCCTTGTATGTTTTTATTATAAGAGGTATAATCATCCTCAAAGCCTGTTTTTATTACATGATGTGGACTGATTATTTTTTCTATCACAGTGTTAACAGATGGATTTTATTGTAAATACAAAGAAAACATATTGATTATTGTAGTATTCTTATGTCACCTGGCCTTTTGCGTGAGATTATTTATTATTTCTAGCAAGGCTTTCTTCCTTTCTTATTGCCCAGAGACTGACTGATACATCTTTTGTTATTTTTACACATAAATTAAACATAGCCTTTTTGGACAAATTCACTAAATATTAATGTATAAAATGTAATTGAGTAAATTTTTATCAGAATTTTAAAAATAAAAGAGCTTAGACTCAGTAGAACTCAGTAGAAGCTTCACTATTTACTCCAGCGTGTGTAAATTGTACTTACTCTATTCTCAGAGTATATTTACTGTCCTTACCATTGATTCTTTCCCTTTGCTAATTTTTTTTTTTGTTAATGGTAGCTGCGACTTTAGGTGGGGTATATTTTCTTCTCCTAAGAGAATAGACAGTTTTTCCAGATTCATCATCATTGACTGTCAAGAAAGGACCCTTCAGCAAGGCTGTACCCTCAATGCAGTTGATGGCCTGTCTTCACGGATTTACAGACTTGGCCTGATGCCCATGTAAATTCAAGCTTTGGCTTGTGGTAACAACCACAAGAAGACAAGCATCTGTGGTGCGGAGGCAAGCAGGCTAACTAGGAGTTGACAAGCTAAGAAAGTGAAACTGTTCTTTCTTAGTTAACTGTCTTTCTCTGGAGCTCTGTTATTTTGAGTATAATATTTCCATGACACTTAGTAAATGCAAGCTAAAATGTAATAATAATAAATTGTATTGGAGAAACCTAAATGTCACATTTGGGATTTATTTCATGGAAGTACTTACATTAAAAAACTCTGGCCGAGCAAGGTGGCTCACGCCTGTAATCCCAGCACTTTGGAAGGTCGAAGCAGGTGGATCACCTGCAGTCAGGAGTTCAAGACCAGCCTGGCCATCACAGTGAAACCCCGTCTCTACTAAACATATGAAAAATTAGCCAGGTGTGGTGGCACACGCCTATAGTCCTAGCTACTTGGGAGGCTGAGGCAGAAGAATTGCTTGAACCCAGAAGGTGGAGGTTGCCATGAGATGAAATTGTGCCACTGCATTCCAGCCTGGGCAACAGAGCCAGACTCTGTCTCAAAAAACTAAAAACAAACTCTTCGTTGAATAAAAGTATATTCTTAAATTTCGATGTACATTTTCACCACTAAGAACAATGAAATGGCCGGGCACGGTAGCTCACACCTGTAATCCTAGCACTTCCAGAGGCCAAGGTGGGTGGATCACCTGAGGTCAGGAGTTCGAGACCAGCCTGGCCAACATGGAGAAACCCCGTCTCTACTAAAAATAAAAAATTAGTTGGGTGTGGTGGTGTGCACCTGTAATCCCAGCTACTTGGGAGGCTGAGGCAGGAGAGTCGCTTGAACGCGGGAGGCAGAGGTTGTAGTGAGCCAACATCACACCAGTGTACTACAGCCTGGGTGACAAAGTGAGACTCCATCTCAAAACAGGCCAGGCGCGGTGGCTCACGGCTGTAATCCCAGCACTTTGGGAGGCCGAGGCGGGTGGAGACAAGGTCAGGAGATTGAGACCATCCTGGCTAACATGGTGAAACCCCGTCTCTACTAAAAATACAAAAAATTAGCCCGGTGTGGTGGCGGCCGCCTGTAGTCCCAGCTACTAGGGAGGCTGAGGCAGGAGAATGGCATGAACCCGGGAGGCGGAGCTTGTAGTGAGCCGAGATGGCGCCACTGCACTCCAGCCTGGGCGAGAGTACGAGACTGTATCAAAAAAAAAAAAACAACAAAATATTTAAAAATTGTTTTTTTGAGGTGGAGTGTCTCTCTGTCGCCCAGGCTGGAGTGCAGTGGCGCCATCTCGGCTTATTGCAGACTCCGCCTCCCGGGTTCACGCCATTCTCCTGCCTCAGCCTCCCGAGGAGCTGGGACTCGCGCCTGCCACCTTGCCCGGCTGGTTTTTCGCACTTTTAGTAGAGACGGGGTTTCATCGTGTTAGCCAGGATCGTCTCGATCTCCTGATTTCGTGATCCGCCCGCCTCGGCCTCTCAAAGTCCTGGGATTACAGGCGTGAGCCACGGTGCCTGGCTAAAATATTTAAAACTTGTAATTGTTGGCTTTTGAGGTTTTTTTTTTTTTTTTTGGAGACAGAGTTTCGCTTTCGTTGCCCAGGCTGGAGTGCAACGGTGCGATCTTGGCTCACTGCAACCTCTGCCTCCCAGGTTCAAGCGATTCTCCTGCCTCAGCCTCCGGAGTAGTTGGGATTACAGGCACGTGCCACCCACCACACTCAGCTAATTTTGTATTTTTAATAGAAATGGGGTTTCTCCACGTTGGTCAGACTGAACTCCCGACCTCAGGTGATTCACCCTCCTAGGCCTCCCAAAGTGTTGGGATTACAGGCGTGAGCCACCAAGCCCAGCCGGCTTTTGAAGATTCTAAAGCAATTTAAATTGTTTAGGTAAGGCCGGGCACAGTGGCTCAGGACTGTAATCCCAGCACTTTTGGAGGCCAAGATGGGCAGATTACCTGAGGTCAGGAGTTTGAGACCAGCCTGGCCAACATGGTGAAACCCTGTCTCTACTAAAAATAACAAAAATTAGCTGGACGTGGTGGCTCACGCCTGTAGTCCCAACTACTCAGGAGGCTGAGGCAGGAGAATTGCTTGAAACCAGGAGGCGGAGTTTGCAGTGAGCACCACTGCACTCCAGCCTGGGCAACAGTGTGAGACCTTGTCGCTAAATAAATAGTTGAGGTAAGTAAATATTTCCTTTTTTTTTTTTTTTTGAGACGGAGTTTCGCTCTCATTGCCCAGGCTGGAGTGCAATGGCGTGATCTCGGCTCACCGCAACCTCCGCCTCCCAGGTTCAAGCAATTCTCCTGCCTCAGCCTCCCGAGTAGCTGGGATTACAGGCATGCACCACCACGCCTGGCTAATTTTGTATTTTTATAGTAGAGACGGGGTTTCTCCATGTTGAGGCTGGTCACGAACTCCGGACCTCAGGTGATCCGCCCGCCTCAGCCTCCCAAAGTGCTGGGATTACAGGCGTGAGCCACCGCGCCTGGCCAAGTAAATATTTCTAGTACATACAATGAGTTGTTTATGAAGGAATCTTTTTAAAGTTCTCTGGCTTTTTGAAAATGTGTATAATCAAAAGGGCTGAAGCTTTCCTGATAATCATTCGGTGGTCATAGTTAAGATGTTTAGAAGATACATCTCATTGCAGTTTTCAGTATTCTCATTATTATTTTTCTTTATCTGGGACAAACTTAGTCTGGGTGACTTGAGGCAGGATATTGCTTAAGCTCTCATCCTCATTTTTCTCATCTAGAATAAAGAGGTCTAAGGTCCAGGATCCTTACAGCTCAGACATGATAAGATTCTCTGAAATTAATGAAAGTTTAATAAGCTGCCCCCAATTCAGAATATTAAATTAAGCATACCTTGCTTTGTATAGCTTGTTTTACATCTTACAATATACTTTCACACACATTTAAGTAAATTAACTTTTTTATTTTTTTGAGACAGAGTCTTGCTTTGTCATCTAGTCTGGAGTGCAGTGGCGTGATCTCGGCTCACTGCAACCTCTGCCTCCTGGGTTCAACCAATTCTCCTGCCTCAGCCTCCTGAGTAGCTGGGATTACAGGTGCCCGCCATTGCGCCCAGCTAATTTTGTATTTTTGGTAGAGACAGGGTTTCCCCATGTTGGCCAGACTGGTCTTGAACTCCTGACCTCGTGATCCACCCCAACTCGGCCTCCCAAAGTGCTGGGATTACAGGCATGAGCCACCGCGCCCAGCTAATTTTGTGTTTTTAGTAGAGACAGAGTTTCACTATGTCGGTCAGGCTGGTCTGGAACTCCTGACCTCAGGTGATCCACCCGCCTCGGCCTCCCAAAGTTCTGGCATTACAGGCATGAGCCACGGCGCCCAGTAGCTTTTCTGTTTAGTAGAGAAATGTTGGATTTGATAAATGAGGATGGAAGACAAGAAAAGAATGAAGTAGAGGCACAGGAGGAAGCCATGTGGTGAGACAGCACAATGAATGTTGACTTTCTGGTTCTGAGAGTCTTGTGTTCTGCTATTTGTTAGCAGCACGCTGGGCAACATAGCCCTACTGTTAGCTCATATGGTGGTTTTGGATGAAGTAGAAAAGGATGTCGCTGGGCACGGTGGCTCATGCCTGCAATCTCAGCACTTTGGGAGGCCAAGGCGGATTGCCTGAGCTCAGGAGTTCAAAACCACCCTGGGCAACATGGTGAAACTCCATTTCTACTAAAAATACAAATAATAATAATAATAATACCAGGGTATGGTGGAGCGCTCCTGTAATCCCAGCTACTTGGGAGGCTGAGGTGAGAGAATCGCTTGAGCCCGACAGGCCGAGGTTGCAGTGAGCCAAGATCGCACCACTGTACTCTGGCCTGGGAGACAGAACGAGACTCCATCTCAAGAAAAGAAAAAGAAGATGCCCCTTTCTTTTTTCTTTGTAGAGATGGCAGTGGGGGTGCTGGGTCTCACTGCATTGCCAAGGCTGGTCTTGAAATTCTGGGCTGAAGCAATCCTCACAGCTAGGCCTTCCAAAGTGCTGGGACTACAGGCACGCACCACTGCGCCTGGCCAGGTGCCTCTTTCTTAAGATATTTTACTGCCATCTGTTGGAAAACTGTCGTCAACCATATAAATTAATAATGAGTACAATGATGGTGTCTCATGGTACCATGTACACAAATATGAGCAGCAGCTCTGCCTGTCAGCTGCAGGGCCCCTGGGGCCAGGTTACATATGCTGATAACTCACAACTTGAGTTTAGCAAACCTTGAGGGTGGCAGGCAGGAGTTGAGCCAGCAGGCCAAGGAGTGGCCCAGCTATATCACCCCAGGGTCCCAGCCTCAAAGGTGGTCAGTTGAGTTGCTTCTCACTTTATTGTCTTGCCCATGGCAGCCCAGGTAGGTTGTTTTGGTGGGGGCTTTTGGCAGTTCCAACGTTTGTCAAAACCTACTACATGGGAGTGGTGTTTTTTCTAGGTGAAGTTTGTATAGGCTTACCAAAAAAAAAATCTATGTATTTTACATTTCACGGGAATTATATTACCTTTTATGGTCCACATATCTGTATTAATTACAAGATCTGGGACCAGGAGCAGTGGCTCACACCTGTAATTCCAGCGCTTTGGGAGGTCAAGGCAAGCAGATTGCTAGAGGCCCAAAGTTACAGACCAGCCTGACCAACATAGCAAAACCCCGTCTCCACTAAAAATTTAAAAATTAGGCCAGGCGTGGTGGCTCATGTGTGTAATCCCAGCACCTTGGGAGGCCAAGGTGGGTGGATCACCTGAGGTCAGGAGTTTGAGACCAGCCTGGCCAACATGGCAAAACCCTGTGTCTACTAAAAATACAAAAATTAGCTGGGTGTGGTGGCATGCACATGTAATCCCAGCTACTCGGGAGGCCGAGACAGGAGAATTGCTCAAACCCCGGAAGCAAAGGTTGTAGTGAGCGAAGATCCCGCCACTGCACTCCAGCCTGGGCGACAGAGCAAGATTCCCTCTCAAAAAAAAAAAAAAAAAAAAAAAAAAAAGGCCGGGCATGGTGGCTCACTCCTGTAATCCCAGCACTTTGGGAGGCCTAGGTGGGTGGATAACAAGGTCAGGAGTTCGAGACCAGCCTGACCAACATGGTGAAACCCCCGTCTCTACTAAAAATACAAAAATTAGCTGGTCGTGGTGGCGAGCACCTGTAATCCCAGTTATTCAGGAGGCTGAGGCAGGGTAATCGCTTGAACCCAGGAGACGGAGGTTACAGTGAACCAAGATCATGCCACTGCACTCCAGCCTGGGTGACAGAGCGAGACTCCATCTCAAAAAAAAAAAAATTAGCTGGGCGTGGTGGCGGGCGCCTGTAATCCCAGCTACCCAGTAGGCTGAGGCACAAGAGTTACTTGAAGCTGGGAGGCGGAGGTTACAGTGAGCCGAGATCATACCATTGCACTCCAGACTGGGCGACAAGAGAGAAACTGTCTAAATAAGTAAATAAATAAATTAATTAATTAAATAAATAAATGACTCTGTCTCAAAAATATAACACAGGCAAGCTTGCGTTCCTTCGCCAGCTTAATAAGGTGACCTTGCCCCCTCTGAGGCTTGAACTCAGGACCATTCAGATTTTGAGACTGATGCGCTACCTACTGCACTAAGGAGGCAGCTAAAAGATGCTTTGCTTCCTATAATATACAGTTCTATAGGTTTTGGAAAACATAATCGTGTAATCACCATGCAATCAAAATATAGAACAATTATTTTATTCCCCAAAGCTTTTAAGAGCTCAGCTCAGCTATTTAGATGGCTAAATATATCTTCCTTTTGGGATCTGGTCCAAGTGCCGTTCACTTCCCTTCATTATATCATCCAGCCTTTCCTAGGAAGCTCTTGGCTCTCAAACTGATGGGAATAAGGAGGCCACTGTGTTCACAGTGTAAGGGAGAAGGGTGGGTGCAGCACAGATAAAGTCATCCACCCATACTCTCAAAATACTCTCAACCTAGGGGGACCCAGGGAGAAGGGGGAAGAGGCTGAAGGGAGCACTGGAGTCACTCCTGGGCTTGTAGGAGAGCCAAAGGGACTCTTTTGCTTCCTTGGTCCAGCTACCCTACCCTGTCTCAGCCTCCACACACACACTCTTCTCTCTCTTTCTTTCTCTCTCACTTTCTTTCTCTCTTTCTCCCTTTCTTTCTCTCTCTCTTTCCTTTCTTTCTCCTTCCTTCCTTCCTCTCTTTCCTTCCTTTCTTTCTTTCTTTTTTTTTTTTTGACGGACTTTTGCTCTTGTCTCCCAGGCTGGAGCGTAGTGGCATGATCTTGGCTCACTGCAACCTCCGCATCCCGGGTTTGAGCGATTCTCCTGCCTCAGCCTCCCGAGTAGCTGGAACTACAGGCACATGCCACCACACCCGGCTAATTTTGGTATTTTTAGTAGAGACGGGGTTTCACCATGTTGCCCAGACTGGTCTCGAACTCCTAACCTCTGGCGATCCACCTGCCTCGGCCTCCCCAAGTGCTGGAATTACAGGCATGAGCCACCACGCATGGCCCACACACTCATATAAAGTACACACATACAATTATTTACACATGCAAACACACATACATCTAATATATGTAAGCACATAATATACATACATGATTACCACTATGCACAAATGCTTACTCACATAGAAATAAGCTCAAACAGGCTGGGTGTGGTGGCTCATGCCTGTAATCCCAGCAGTTTGGGAGGCCGAGTAGGTGGATTGCCTGAGCGAAGGAGTTCCAGACCAGCTTGGGCAACAGAGTGAGACCCTTGTCTCTAATAAAATACAAAAATTACCCGGGTGTGGTGGCACACGCCTGTAATCCTAGCTACTCTGGAGGCTGAGGTAAGAGAACCGCTTGAACCCAGGAGGCGAAGGTTGCAGTGAGCCGAGATAGCGCCACTGCAATTCAGCCTGGGCGACAAAGAGAGACTACATCTCAAAAAAAAAAAAAAAGCTCAAACAGAAATACACAAGCTCACACATCTGGGAAAGTTGCATCTTGCATCACTTGGGGAAGTCATCAGTCATTTGCTCCTCCTGTTGCTTCAACTTCATACTTCCTCACCATGGGGTATCAGAGTTATCCTGAGGCTGACTATTCTTTGTGGCTTCTTTGTTGCTGTGGGTTATGATAGATGAAGGGTAATGTCTAATTTTCAACTGATTTAGTAAGCTTGTGTTTGAGAGACATGAGGATCCTGATGCTGGTTCCGGGCAAGGTGTTGGAGGCTAGTGGGACACAGGGTATGGGGAAGTGAGGCATATGTGACTTCTTTTGTAAAGATGTGTCAGAGGTAGCTGAGTGCATCACTACTTCCCTAGATGTATTGGTGTTTCTAGTCTTAAGAAAGCCCATATTTGTGAAGCTTACGTTTTTCTACACTATACGTGGAATTTTTTCGATTGTACATGGTGAACTCCCATTGAGTGTTGGAGAGAAAGCGTTTGAGCACCCACGAGTTCATCAGCTGATGTGTTCTTGAATGCTATACTGAGCTGGAAAGTAGATAGGTTATGCCTGGGTGGAGTTGAGCTGACCCATGCTAGCATAGGTATAGGCTATCTCTAGAAGAATTCACAAGGCATTGCTTACATTCACAGTAAAAGGTATTTCTTAGTTGTTTTTGTTTTTTGTTTTCAGGTGGAGTCTTGCTCTGTCGCCCAGGCTGGAGTGCAATGGCTCAATCTCAGCTCACTGCAACCTCAGCCTCCTGGGTTCAAGCAATTCTCGTGCCTCAGCCTCCCGAGTAGCTGGGACTACAGGCACACGCCACCATACCCTGCTAATTTTTGTATTTTTAGTAGAGACGGAGTTTCACCTTGTTGGTCAGGCTGGTCTCGAACTCCTGACCTCAGGTGATCCGCCCACCTCAGCCACCCAAAGTGCTGGAATTACAGGCATGAGCCACCGCACCTGGACTATTACATATTTTTTAATAGTGTGATGGTTAATTTTATGTGTCAACATGACTGGGCTAATGGATGCCCAGGTAGCTAGTAAAACATTATTTCTGGGTGTGTCTGTAAAGCATTTCCAGAAGAGGTTAGCATCTGAATTGGTAGACCGAGATCACCCTCACCAATGTGGGTGGGCATCATCTAGTCCACTGAGGTCCTGAATTCATCAAAAAGGCAGAGGAAGGGAGAATTTGTTCTCTCTCTCTTCTTTTTTTTTTTTTTTTTTTTTTTTTTTTTTTTTTTTGAGACAGAGTCTCAGTCATCCAGGCTGGAGTGCAGTGGTGCGATCTGGGCTCACTGCAACCTCCACCTCCCAGGTTCAAGCAATTCTCATGCCTCAACCTCCCAAGTAGCTGGAATTACGGGTGCATGCCACCACTCCTGGCTAATTTTTGTATTTTTAGTAGAGATGGGGTTTCACCATGTTGGCCATGCTGGTCTGGAAATCCTGACTTCAAGTGATCCACCCCCCTCAGCCTCCCAAAGTGCTGGGATTACAGGCATGAGCCACCATGCCTGGCCTGCTCTCTCTTGAGCTGGGACATTCTTCATCTCCTGCCCTTGGATATCTGATTCTTGGGCCTCCAGACTCAGATTGAATTACACCACTGGCTTTCCTGAACCTCCAGCTTACAGATAGCAGATCGTGGAACTTCTTTCTCAGTCTTCGTAATCATATGAGCCAGTTTCTCAAAATAAATCTCTTTCTCTATATCTATATATATCCTGTTGGTTCTGTTTCTCTGGAGAACCCTGATTAATGCAAATAGGTAATACATTCTTGTGGTTCAAACCTCAAAAAGTATGAAACAATGTACAGTGAAACATTTCCATTCTATTCCTGATCCCAGCCATTCAGTTTCCTTCCCTAGAAGCAATCAATTTTTTTTTCAGATTTTTATTTTATTTTATTTTTTATTTTGAGACAGAGTCTTGCTGTCACCCAGGCTGGAGTGCAATGGTGCAATCTCGGCTCACTGCAACCTCCGCCTCCTGGGTTCAAGCGATTCTCCTGCCTCAGCTTCCTGAGTAGCTGGAATTACAGGTGCCCGCCACCATGCCTGGCTACTTTTTGTATTTTTAGTAGAGACGTGGTTTCACCATGTCGGCCAGGCTGGTCTCAAGTGATCTGCCCTCCTTGGCCTCCCAAAATGCTGGGATTACAGGCGTGAGCCACCACACCTGAAGCAATCAATTTTAACAATGTTTTGTTTATGCTTCCAAAAATAGACTATGCATATACAAAAAAAAATTCTTTTATTTTCTCTTTTTTATACATTTGATAACATATTACACAGTTTTTCCTTATTTTTTTCTTGCTCTTGTTTTGTTTTATAGCTGCATAGTATTCCAGCGTTGGCAGAAACTATAGTTTCTTTAATCTGTCTTCTATAGCTAGGCATTTGGATTGTTTTCAGTTTTTTTGTTTTGTTTTGTTTTGTTTTTCCTGCAAGACGGAGTCTTGCTCTGTCTCCCAGGCTGGAGTGCAGTGGCACGATCACTGCAACCTCTGCCACCCAGTTTTAAGCGATTTTCCTGCCTCAGCCTCCTGAGAAGCTGGTATTACAGGCGCGAGCCACCAGGCCCAGCTAATTTTTGTATTTTTAGTAGAGACGGGGTTTCACCATGTTGGCCAGGCTGGTCTCAAACTCCTGACATGGTGATCTGCCCGCCTCGGCCTCCCAAAGTGCTGGGATTACAGGTGTGAGCCACCACGCCCAGCTCTGTTTTCAGTTTTTGCTGTTACAAACAGTAATTATAACAGTTTTTGCTGTTACAAACAGCAAATTATGTATATTTGCAATTATATATACTTGATCCAAGATATATGTCAATACCTCATTCAGGTTTTCAAAACGGGGTTTGGCTCTGTGAGTGGATCTGTGTGGACCTTTCCTAAGGATTCATTCCCTCCACTCTTACTTAGACTGATCTGTTGTGATCATATTCTCCCTTCTCTCTAGTTTGGTGTTGCTTTTGCAAGGTATAGACTTGCAAGATATAGCCCTGCTGTTCGTGCATTCCTTCAAGGCAAGAAGCAAGACTGGAGGGAGTAATAAAAAGGCAAGTAATCTCCTGTCTCTTCAAATTGATGGTTTCAAAACACTTGTTGAGGCAGGGTTCAGTGGCTCACACCTGTAATCCCAGCACTTTAGGAGGCTGAGGTGGGAGGATCCCTTGAGCCTAGGGGTTCCAGACCAGCCTGGGCAACATGGTGAAAACCCATCTTAATTAAAAAAAAATTATAATTAAATGGCCGGGTGCGGTGGCTCACGTCTGTAATCCCAGCATTTTGGGAGGCCGAGGCAGGCGGATCAGGAAGTCAGGAGATCGAGACCATCCTGGCTAACGAAGTGAAACCCCGTCTCTACTAAAAATACAAAACAAAATTAGCCGGGCGTGGTGGCGGGCGCCTGTAGTCCTAGCTACTCGGGAGGCTGTGGCAGGAGACTGGCGTGAACCCGGGAGGCTGAACTTGCAGTGAGCCAAGATTGTGCCACTGGACTCCAGCCTGGGCGACAGAGTGAGACTGCATCTCAAAAAAAAAAAATTATAATTAAAAAAAGATGACAAGTCAGTTGGGTATATAAAGCTAGAGTCCGGGGGTAAATTCCAGTTAGAGTTAATATATGTAAAGTTCTTAAAACAGTGCTACGTGTTTCTTTTTAAGCTGTCAGATTGTGTCACTCCTTTGCTCAAAACTCTCCGGTGATTTCTCATTTTATTCAGACAATGGCAAAATCTTTCCAGTGTGCCTACAAGGCTCTCCATGATTTATCCTCTTACCCAACATCTACTTTGGTGATGGTTAATACTAGCTGTTGTAACAAATAAACCCCACAGTACCAGTGGCTTCACACAACTGAAGTTTATTTTTTGTTCACAGGACAGTCCGGTGTGGGTATTCTTGGTCAGCTGGAGCCTTTCCTCCATGTGCTTTACCATTACTTAGAGCCTCAGAATCTTCTAATTCTAGCTGGTAGAAGGCAAAAATAGAAAGAAGGGAGAAGTCTAATCTGCTTCTTAAGTGCCCTGACCTAGCAGTGACATACATAAAGTCCTACACACATTCCATTGTTGAGAACTAGTCACATGGCCACATCTGGATGCAAGTAGGGCTGGGCAGTGTCCCTGAGGAGGCGGGTCCACACACTATGGAAGGGAAAATTGATGTTTTTGAATTGCAAGCCAACTCCACCACACCTTCTACCATCTTCCACCAATCCTCCCCACCCTAACCCTCTCCAGCCACCCTGGCTTCCTTATTGCTCCATGAACACTCCAGGCACACTCTGCCGCACACCCTCTCCTGGAGTTATGTTCCCTCAGATGTCCACTTGCTCTCTCATGTTCCTCATGCTAAAATGGGTGTCCCAGATTGCCACTTATTAAAAGTATATTATGTCCCAGATTTTAAAAATTCCTTTTTCCATTAATTTATGAATCTTCAGTGCAATTCTGTGAGGGGTCAGAATGACTCTTCTCATTTCAGAGTGTTTAACTGATGTACCCCAGCTTACACAGCTAGTAAGAGTGGGAGTGGATTTAAACATTAAATCTTCACGCCTGTAATCACAGCACTTTGGGAAGTCAAGGTGGGCAGATCACCTGAGGTCAGGAGTTCGAGACCAGCCTGGGCAACATGGCGAAACCCCGTCTCTACTAAAAAAAAAATTAGCCCGGCATGGTGGCGCAGGCCTGTAGTTCCAGCTACTCAGGAGGCTGAGGCAGGAAAATAGCTTGAACTCGGGAGGCAGAGGTTGCAGTGAGCTGAGGTTGTGCCACTGCTCTCCAGCCTGGGTGACAGAGCGAGGCTCTGTCTCAAACAAACAAAAAAACATTAAATCTTGGCTTGGCGCAGTGGCTCACGCCTGTAATCTCAGCACTTTGGGAGGCCGAGGCGGGCAGATCACGAGGTCAAGAGGTTGAGACCATCCTGGCTAACAGGGCGAAACCCCGTCTCTATTAAAAATACAACAAAATTAGCCACTACAGGTGGCGGGCACCTGTAGTCCCTGATACTCGGGAGGCTGAGGCTGAGAATGGTGTGAACCTGGGAGGCGGACCTTGCAGTGAGCAGAGATCACCACTGCACTCCAGCCTGGGCGACAGAGCGAGAATTCATCTCAAAAAACAAACAAACAAAAATACAAAAAAAAAAAAAAATTAGCCAGGCATGGTGCGCGCGCCTGTAGTCCCAGCTACTTGGGAGGCTGAGGCAGGAGAATCGTTTGAACCTGGGAGGCGGAGGTTGCAGTGAGCCGAGATGGCGCCACTGCACTCTAGCCTGGGTGACAGAGCGAGACTCTCTCAGAAAAAAAAAAAAAAAAAAAAAGAAAAAATCTTAAGAGCATCCCTTTCTATATTTTCTGACTCTCTAAGAAGCAATCACTCTGCCAAACTTATTTCCTACCGGGAAGGAGATCACTTCACAGTTGAGTATTCTGGGCTTCTGAGCAGTTACATTTCCCAGGGCAAATTAATACAGTTATGCATTCGTTTTTAACTTGTGTTTTACGAGTTGAGTTAATATGAGAGGTCGTCTAGCACCAGATCACCCTGGACACCTTGGATAAAAAGTTTCTGGACTTTTCAGTTGAGGACGTTTATTCCTTTCTCAAATTTCTTTTTCCACATCACCCCTAGAGTGATCATTCTCAGATTTGGGTCAGATATCACTCCTTGGCTTGAATTCCTTTACTTTACCTCACTCATCCTCAACTCATATATCTTATAGGATAAATTATTTCTAAAAAATACTATTTATTTATTTATTTATGACAGGGGTCACATTATGTTCTCCACTCTGGTCTCAAACTCCTGGGTTCAAGCAGTCCTCCTGCCTCAGCTGCCCAAAGTGTTGGGATTACCAGCGTGAGTGTGAACCACGACGCCTGGCCGAGGATAAATTCTTTAGCCTGGTATTTGAATCCATGCCTCCTTCCTCTGTTCTCCTTCTTCCTCCCCTGCCCTGGTTTCATTCCCTTTAAACTCTCCATCTCCCATCTTAATGTTAATGAATTACTTGTTGATGCCTGAACATACCCTTTTATCTGTTGCTCCCTGTTGTTACACATACTGAGTTAAACATCTTTCCCTGCCCCTTTTTACCTGAGAAACTTCCTGTTGATCCTCTGGAACTCAGGTCAGAGTATATACCTCCTTCTGGAAACCTTCCCTGACCATTCCCCAATCTGGAAAGATGTCCTCCTTCTGTGCTCTGTAACTTTCTTTTTTTCTTTTTTTTTTTTCAGGGTGTCTCTGTTGCCAGGCTGGAGTGCAGTGGCGCCATCTTGGCTCACTGCAACCTCCACCTCCCGAGTTTAAGCAATTCTCCTGCCTTATCCTCCTGAGTAGCTGGGATTACAGGCACCACCATACCCAGCTAATTTTTATAATTTTAGTACAGATGGGGTTTCACCATGTTGGCCAGGATGGTCTTGATCTCCTGACCTCGTGATCTGCCTGCCTTGGCCACCTAAAGTGCTGGGATTACAGGTGTCAGCCACCACGCCTGGCATATTTATTTATTTATTTATTTATTTATTTAGAGGTAGAGCCTCATTCTGTTGCCCAGGCTAGAGTGCAGTGGCACGATCTCGGCTTACTGCAACCTCTGCCTCTTGAGTTGAAGCGATTCTCCTGCCTCAGCCTCCTGAGGAGCTGGGACTAAAGTTGCCTGCCACCACACCCTGCTAATTTTATATTTTTGGTAGAGATGGGATTTCACCATATTGGTCAGGCTGGTCTTGAACTTCTGACCTTAAGCGATCCGCCAGCCTTGGCCTCCCCAAGTTCTGGGATTACAGGTGTGAGCCACCACGCCCAGCCTCTGTGACTGTTTAACTCACTAATCCCCCTCTACTGTCTCTGTGTCCCCAGCATGCAGGATACGGGTGGAGCATCACCATGAATGGGCGTTTTGAAGCAACCTTCTCCTCCCCACTTTTCTCCCCCTAGTTCAGGCAGGTTAGATACAGGGAGGAACAGGTGCTATGGCTCCGAGAGACAATGGCTATAACCTCTAGGTAAACCTCCCCAAGGGAAACAATATTTGAGAGAAGTACCCAGGAGAACCTAGGAGAGAGCCTAGGCTCAGCCTTTGGGGAAGCCAGCTGCCTTCTACAGCTCTTAGTGGCAGCCTCCCAGAACAAACCGTAAGAGTACTTCCTTCTGGAACAATAATAATAATCCAGGCTGGGGGCTCATTGGCTCATGCCTGTAATCCCAGCACTTTAGGAGGCAGAGGAGGGCGGATCACCTGAGGTCAGGAGTTCGAGACCAGCCTGACCAACACGGTGAATCCCTGTCTCTACTGAATACAAAAAATTAGCCGAGTGTGGTGGTGCGCGCCTGTAATCCTAGCTACTTGGGTGGCTGAGGCAGGAGAATCACTTGAACCTGGGAGGCAGAGGTGCAGTGAGCCGAGATTACGCCATTGCACTCCAGCCTGGGCAACAAGACAGAACTCCGTCTTGAAAAAAAAAATCTGTAATATTTACTGAGTGATTTCCATGTTCCAGGCAGTATTCTCATTGTTTTACCTGTACTTGCATTTACCTTATGTAATTGTCTCAAAAACCATGACGCCAGGCACTTAGAGATTAACTTGCTCAAGGTCAAAAGTAAATGATCGTCAGGATTGAAATCCGAGCATTTTTTTCTAGAGCCCATGCTAGTGACCACTATACCTGTGTTGCCTTTCTGGCCTCTGATCTCCAGTTTCCAACAAAGACACATCTGCCTAGCTTCTATGGGAAAGGAAATCGGAGGGTCCTAGGACAAGGACCAATAGGTAAGTTTCCCTTCGCCTCCTCCCTATCCTCTTACAGGAAAACAGGTTTAGGGGTGGATCTGAGAGTTTTCACAGAGTGAAGAGGAAGAGGAGCTCCCAAATGGCAGGCGCCTCTGGAGGCTTCCAGAGAAAAAAGGAGAGAGCGTGGGAAAAGGGCAGGCTGGGAGGTGGGAGCGGCGAGGAACGGGGAGCTGACCACAAGCCCAGGATTCCAGACCAGGCTTATGTCTCTTAGACTCAGCGTAACCTTGGATAAGTCCTTGCTTCTTTCTGAGACTCAGTTTCCCCGTCTGTAAAATAAGGGTAAATATAAAACCGGCTCATCCGCCCCTGCCAAAAGAGAGGACAGGGAGAAGGCCCTGTCTGGGGTCTAGGCTGACACGCTGCAGCTAGGATTAGGTGAGCTTCCGAGCTCAGTCGTGAGACCCCATCCTCATGGCAAGGCCGCGCTAAGATCTCTGGACCTCTGCTTGCTGGGTGGGTGGTTGGGGGCAGAGCATGGGCCAAATGCCCGGCTCTGCAGGCTGCGCCCACTCTTCTCGCACCTCCTCAGCCCTCCCTAAAGGAGTCTCAATCCCGGGGGAGTGGCAGTTGCGGGCGACCAAGCAGTCACCGGCTGCGCTGCGGCGACCTCCCGGGAAGCTGCGGCCGGCGGGGTCCGAAGAGCATCACGTCATCCTTTCCCCCAGGAGCCCGCCCCCTCCCAGACGGCGCCTGCGCAGGCGCGGTAGGAGGAGGGTCACGGTGGGGGCTGTCCACGCGCTCTCCGCCCTTCTCCAGGCTCGCTCGGGCCGCGGCGCTCTCGGCTAGCTGCAGCGGCGGCGGCGCGGAGGGGAAGGCATCCAGGATGCGGTGCGGGGCGGCCCGGTGCCCCCCCGCCCCGTCACGGCAGCCGCGGCGGCCGAGGGGACCGGGCCAGGGCCGGGGGCGGCGGCCCGAGCCGCGGTAGCGGCGGCGGCGGGAGGGGCGGCCTGAGGGCGGACGGGCGGGCGCCCGGGTTGCGGGGGCTCGGTGCCGCTCCGCACTGCCCGGCCGGTCTCGGCCCCGGCGCCATGAGTGGCGGCGGCGGCGGAGGGGGCTCGGCGCCCAGTCGCTTCGCCGACTACTTTGTCATCTGCGGACTGGACACGGAGACCGGGCTGGAGCCGGACGAGCTGTCGGGTGAGTGCGCGCCGAGCCCGGGGCGCTTTCCCGCGCCCGCTGTCGTCGGGGACCCCAGAAGAAACCTTCCTTCAGCCCCGCTTTGTCCCGGGAGCCGGGCGAGTGTCGGCCGGGAGGACCAGGGCGGGCGCGGGCGAAGGGGGCTTTGGACTGGAGGGGGGAAACGGATGAGGGGCTCTGAGCCATGAGGGGTCCAAACCTACGGCCCGCTGCGCAGTGGCCACGTCTTCGGCGACCAGAAAGAGGGAGGGTTGTGTGTTCTCAGTTTGGTGTAGGTTGAGTGACTTCGTTTAAAATAAAGGAAAGCTTGTCCTCTGGCACCCATTAGGGAGGGAAGGCGTCCCACGTCCTAGTGAAAGTAAGTTCCACCCAGACTTAAAAAAAAGGAAAACAAAAACTTGGTGAGTTTATCTGGCCACTTCCCAAGAAGCTTGTGATACTAGTTCCTCAAAACCGTTATACCCCAGCCCTGGGCTGGGCCCCCTGAGTCAGATTGCAGCTCTGCGCGTCTGGATGGGATATGAAGTAATAAAGTGAACTTGGGCGGCACCAAGAAGAGTAGGAACTCCCTTAGCCTTGGAAAGGGCTTGTATCCCGGGGCCATGCCTTTTTTGAAAAGTAATTTATGTCCTTTATGAGGACAGAGGCGTTTGTGAATAAAAGGGTAGCAGCATTGTAGTTGGAGAGGCTTGGTGTGTTCTGATGCGTTTCAAGTCATATTTGAAAGGGAAAGTGATGAGGGGAGTCAAAGATGGGGCCCTGACCAGATTTGGCACTCACTGCAGAAGGCCGTGAAAATTATACAGTCCCCGTGAATTTTCCACTGCACTGTCATTGGAGTCTTTGAATTGTAACAGTTTTGAAAATAAGTTTTTGTCTGGAGTTTCCAGTTAGTGGGTTTCAAGTGGGTGGAGGTTTGTCGGGTTGTACTTTAAGGTTGTGTCATCCTGATGAGGGGGACTCCTTTTCACTTTTCTGTCACTGTAAAGTTTCTCTTTCGAAAGTGATTATCCTGTTGACTAATCTTACTCGGCTTCAACGATGACAAGACAGTTTTGTTTTTGGGCACCAGAAAAAGTCCAGTGTTTCTTTTTTTTTTTTTTTTTTTTTTTGAGACGGAGTCTCGCTCTGTCGCCCAGGCCGGACTGCGGACTGCAGTGGCGCAATCTCGGCTCACTGCAAGCTCCGCTTCCCGGGTTCACGCCATTCTCCTGCCTCAGCCTCCCGAGTAGCTGGGACTACAGGCGCCCGCCACCGCGCCCGGCTAATTTTTTGTATTTTTAGTAGAGACGGGGTTTCACCTTGTTAGCCAGGATGGTCTCGATCTCCTGACCTCATGATCCACCCGCCTCGGCCTCCCAAAGTGCTGGGATTACAGGCGTGAGCCACCGCGCCCGGCCCAGTGTTTCTTATGAAAAAAAAATTAGGCGGGGCGCGGTGGCCCACCACCCGGCGGCTCAGGGGTAATCCCAGCACTTTGGGAGGCCGAGGCGGGCGGGTCACCTGAGGTCAGGAGTTCGAGACCAATTTGGCCAACATGGTGAAACCCCCGTCTCTACTAAAAATACAAAAATTAGCCGGGCGTCGTGGCGCGTGCCTGTAATCCCAGCTACTCAGGAGGCTGAGGTAGGAGGATCGCTTTAACCCAGGAGGGGGAGGTTGCAGTGAGCTGAGATTGCGCCAGTCTGGGTGATTGCGCCACTACACTCCAGTCTGGGTGATAAAGCGAGACTCTGTCTGGGAAAAAAGAAAAAGAAGAAAAAAGCATGATAAATTCATGCTTTAACAAGGTTAGAAAAAAATGAGCTATTTCCTCAATAGCAGGTGGAGAAAATATGAAGCAGTAATATAATTAATATTAGGCTTTTTGTCGGGGTAGTTTTATGGTTTCTAATTTACTTTAAAAAAATTTTAGTTTTAGGCCGGGCGCGGTGGCTCACGCCTGTAATCCCAGCACTTTGGGAGGCTGAGGCGGGCGGATCACGAAGTCAGGAGATCGAGACCATCCGGGCTTACAGGGTGAAACCCCGTCTCTACTAAAAATACAAAAAATTAGCCGGGCGTGGTGGCGGGCGCCTGTAGTCCCAGCTACTCAGGAGGCTGAGGCAGGAGAATGGCGTGAACCCGGGAGGCGGAGCTCGCAGTGAGCCCAGATCGCGCCACTGCACTCCAGCACTCTAGCCTGGGCGACAGAGCGAGACTCCGTCCAAAAAAAAAAAATTATTTTGATGAGTACCTAATAATTGTTCAAGTTTATCTTTTAAGGTCTTCAAATTCTTATAGTACAGATGTTTTTCATCTTTTTCATATGTAGTAAGTTTGTGACTTTGATGTAATTTTTGGAATTCGGTTCAGGGTATTGGTGTTGGAAGGGACCTCAGAGGGGAAAATGAGGCCCAGGAAGGACAGTGGGGCCTGTATACACTAGTTAATTGCTTGGTCCAGTGCTCTTCTCATGACATTAAACTGCATCTCATTGGCCTGGCTGGAGGTCTTTAGAAAACACTAACATGTTGAGAAATATTAAAAACAACATAATTCTTCTCAGTAAAAGAAACTAAGGTGGTGGAATAAACTTTTTTTTATGCGTGTTTTTGAGTGTCAAATTGTATGAACACTTGGTTTGAGAAGATAGAATGTTTTGCGAATGATAGAGCATAAGAATGAAGCTGGGAAGTTAACTGTTAGCGAGAGCATGAGTTTAGGGTAATATTCCTGCTCTCCTATTGACTATCTTTGTGATTGGGAGCAAGTTAGAGATAACCCTGTCAGGGTCCTCATCTATAAAAAAAGAATGTAAATAAAAATAATCTCATCAAGTAGACCTTCAAAAATGTTTAAAAACTGTCTTTCAACATTTCATTAAAAAAGAAATGTTACTGTCTTAATGGATATGTGTTAATTATCTGGCTTTTTGGCAAGCTAAAATTATATCCTTGTGAAAGTTTATTGGGATAATAAAGAAAGGGGGATGAGTTGTATAAAATGTGTAAAGAGGGGTATTTTCTGTTTTTTTAAAAATGTGGTTGCAGTAGTGGAATGCCGAGACCACATTTCCGATAGGTGGCCTTTGTTAGAGTATGCAGTGTTGGAAGGATTTTTTTTCCCTCTTCATTTCATTTCTGGTGGGTTGGTAGGGGAATCTGAACTATCCAGAGGGAATCTTTTTTTTTTTTTTTTTTTGAGACACAGTCTCACTCTGTTGCCCCAGCTGGAATGCAGTGCTGCAATAGTGGCTCACTGAAACCTCCGTCTCCCAGGTTCAAGCAATTCTGCCTCAGCCTCCCGAGTAGCTGGGATTATGAGCCGCGCGTGCCACCACATCAGGCTAATTTTTGTATCTTTAGTAGAGATGGGGTTTCACCATGTTGGCCAGGCTGGTCTTGAATTCTTGACCTCAAGTGATCTGCCCACCTCGGCCTCCCAAAATGCTAGGATTACAGGCGTGAGCCACCACTCCCAGAGGGAATCTTTGAATAAAACAAAGCAGAGTACAAATAGCAGGTTCTTCCTGAGAGTCTCCAGGGTGCATTTTCTCTCCTCAGCCTGCCTTGTAGCTCCCAAACTGATGATATCATACTCAGTAACTAACTACAGGAAATTGTAATTTGTAGCCAGGTTCTCCAAGAAGGTATTAAGGAGTCTCTAAGAAGGTGCACTCCACACAGTTAACTTACATAGCTCAGGTAGCATCTACATTCTTAAAAAGTGAACCCAGAATAAGCAAATCAAAGATGCTCGGTGTTCCTTCTTGTTTTGTGGAGAAAGGTTAAGATTCATTCCTCTCTGTCTGCAACAAATAAACATGGAGGCTGGGCGCAGTAGCTCACACCTGTAATCCCAGTACTTTGGGAGGCTGAGGTGGGTGAATTGCTTGAGCCCAGGAGTTTGAGACCAGCCTGGGCAGCACGGCAAGACTCTTATCTCTACAGAAAGTACAAAAAATTAGCTGGGTGTGGTGGCATGCACCTGTGGTCCCAGCTGCTCAGGAAGCTGAGGTGAGAAGGTCACTTGAGTCTCAGAGGCAGAGGTTGCAGTGAACTGAGATTGTGACACTGCACTCCAGCCTGAGCAACAGAGTGAGACCCTGTCTCAAATAAACAAATACAACTAAAAATAAAAAATAAAAAAACCCAAATAAGCATAGAGCTTGCTGTGTTTAATATAGACTGAGGTAATTGGATTTTGTAGGAATCTCTTCCTGTCACTTCTTTCCCTTTCTTGCAGACTCAGCATTTAGGCAAGTAATGTAGTTGTTTTTTGTGCAAGGAATTGAGGAATGTGTGAAAATTAATTTTGTTTTCTGGTTGAGGAAGCTCTTTGGGCTAGAAGGAGAAGAAGGTAATATGTGAGCAAAGCACAGATTTAGCCACCTTGAGGATATGGTGTCTGCTTGTTGGCTTTTTGAACTTGTCAGTTAGGTAAGCAAATCTGGAAGAATTGCTTCTGATTTATGTTTTCCATTATTTTTGGCACATCGTAAGTGGGGAGGCAGATGATAGTGGAGTTCAGTTTCTTTTTCTACCTCTGATGGGCGAATGTCCTGGTGAATCTTCTTTTTCTTTGTTTCTGATGGTCACCACTAGGTGACCCCAGGAGAAGGTTTTACTGTGAAATGGGGTTCATGAGTTTATTTTCCTTGTCTCTGCTTGAGAATTAAGGTTCCCAAATACTTGTGACGTATTTCTTACCTTGGAATCTGTAAGTTCCTCTGAACTGATCTGCACCTAGCATTGAGATATAAGTATCCTAGGTTCTTTCATCTTGTACTCCAATTTTCCCAGGCTCTGTGCAGAAGCTCTTGCCAGGAATTGAAGAGAAGTGGCTAGGGATAAGGATAGATGGGAAACTGGCCAGTGTGCTGTATGAACTTACTAGAAAATTGAGACTACACTGAAATAGTCTCTCTCTTTTTTTTTTTTTTTTTTTTTTTGAGATGGAGTCCTGCTCTTTTGCCCAGGCTGGAGTGCAATGGCGTGATCTCAGCTCACTGCAACCTCTGCCTGTCTGGTTCAAGTGATTCTGAGCCTCAGCCTCCCAAGTAGCTGGGACCACAGGTGTGCACTAGCACACCTGGCTAATTCTTGTATTTTTAGTAGAGACAGGATTTCGCCATGTTGGTCAGGCTGGTCTTGAACTCCTTACCTCAGGTGACCCACCCGCATTGGCCTCCCAAAGTATTGGGATTACAGGTGTGAGCCGCTTCGCCTGGCCTGAAATAGTCTCTTAATGTCACCTTTAGAAGAGAGAGGGTCCTGGTACAGTGGCTCACATCTGTAATTCCAGCAGTCTGGGAGGCTGAGGCAGGATGATGCTTGGGTCCAGGAGTTTGAGATCACCTTGGCCACTGTAGCAAGACCCTGTTTTTTTGTTGTTTGTTTGTTTGTTTGTTTTGAGATGGGAGTCTCACTCTGTCGCCCAGGCTGGCGTGCAGTGGCACGATCTCGGCTCACTGCAAACTCCGCCTCCCGGGTTCACGCCATTCTCCTGCCTCAGCCTCCGGAGTAGCTGGGACTACAGGCGCCCACCACCACGCCCGGCTAATTTTTTTGTACTTTTTTTTTTTAGTAGAGATGGGGTGTCACCGTGTTAGCCAGGATGGTCTTGATCTCCTGACCTTGTGATCCGCCTGCGTTGGCCTTCCAAAGTGCTGAGATTACAGGCTTGAGTCACCACGCCTGGCCTGTTGTTTATTTTTTTGAGATGGAGTTTTGCTGTTGTTGCCCAGGCTGGAGTGCAATGGCACGACCTCAGCTCACTGCAACCTCTGCCTCCTGGGCTCAAGCGATTCTCCTGCCTCAGCCTCTCAAGTAGCTGGGATTACAGGCATGTGCCACCATGCCCGGCTAATTTTGTATTTTTAGTAGAGATGGGGTTTCACCATGTTGGTCAGGCTGGTCTTGAACTCCTGACCTCAGTTGATCTGCCCGCCTCGGCCTCCCAAAGTCCTGGGATTACAGGTGTGAGCCACTGCGCCCAGCCTAATACCCTGTTTTTATAAAAAATAAAAATAATTAAGAAAGAGAAAAAGGTGACTGTCTAGGAAAGCTAGAGGACTAGTCAAATCATACTCCTCCTTGACTGTATTGAGCAGTGAAATTCGAACTTCAAAATTATCGAATGTTAACATGAAAGCACCCTTTGCAATTATATAACCTTCTGATTTTACAGATGAGGAAACTGAGGCCCTGAGAAAGTGGGAGAATATTTGTCTCCCTTGCCACATTTCATTCTTTTCTGCTACTTGAGTGATATTTTGCATGCTTTGCAGACCTTTGATGAGTGGTGGATGCGGGGGGAACAAGCAAAAAATTTGTCTGGCAGGGCAGGAACAGACGTTATGGTAGTTTTTTTCTAGTCCAGGTTTCTGTTTCATGGTAAGAAAGAATACTGTGTGTGCAATAGCAAGACTTGGAACCAACTCAAATGTCCATCAGTAAGAGACTGGATAAAGAAGATGGCACATACACATCATGGAATACTATGCAGCCATAAAAAAGGATGAGTTCATGTCCTTTGCAGGGACATGGATGAAGCTGGAAACCGTCATTCTCAGCAAACTATCACAAGAACAGAAAACGGAACACCACATGTTCTCACTCATAAGTGGGAGTTGAACAATGAGAACACATGGATGTAGGGAGGGGAACATCACACACTGGGGCCTGTTGGGGGGGTGGGGGACTAGGGGAGGGATAACATTAGGAGAAATACCTAATGTAGGTGACTGGTTGACAGGTGCAGCAAACCACCATGCCATGCCATGTGTATACCTATGTAACAAAACTGTATGTTCTGCACATGTACCCCAGAACTTAAAGTATAATTTAAAAAGGAAAAAGAAAGAATACTGTGTGTACTGTGTGTAGACCGGGTACGGTGGCTCATGCTTGTAATCCCAGCACTTTGGGAGGTTGAGGTGGGTGGATCACTTGAGGTCAGGAGTTTGAGACCAGCCTGGCCAACATGGTGAAACCCTGTCTCTACTAAAGATACAAAAATTAGCCGGGCCTGGTGGCACACACCTATAATCCCAGCTACTCGGGAGGCTGAGGCGAGAGAATCGCTTGAATCTGGGAGGCGGAGGCTGCAGTGAGCCAAGATGGCGTCACTGCACTCTGGCCTGGGCAACAAAGTGAGACCTTGTCTCAAAAAAAAAAAAAGAATACTGTGTGTGTTGGCTGGGCGCGGTGGCTCACGCCTGTAATCCCAGCACTTTGGGAGGCCGGGGTGGGCGGATCACAAGGTCAGGAGATCGAGACTATCCTGGCTAACACGGTGAAACCCTGTCTCTACTAAAAATTCAAAAAAATTAGCCGGGTGCGATGGCGGGCACCTGTAGTCCCAGCTACTCAGGAGGCTGAGGCAGGAGAATGGCGTGAACCTGGGAGGCGGAGCTTGCAGTGAGCCGAGATCGAGCCAGTGCACTCCAGCCTGGGCAACAGTGTGAGACTCCTTCTCAAAAAAAAAAAAAAAAAGAATACTGTGTGTGATTATCATTAAGGATATCTTTTTTTTTTTTTTTTTTAAGAGACAGAGTCTGTCTCTGTTGCCCAGGCTGGAGTGCAGTGGCACAATCATGACTCACTGCAGCCTCGACCTCCCAGGCCCGTAGCTTTATTGCTTTATCTTTTTTTATAATTTCATATTTAAAGAAGCATTGAGGGCTAGACATGGTTGCTCACGCCTATAATCCCAGCACTTTGGGAGGCTGAGGCAGGTGGATCACTTGAGACCAGCCTGGCCAACACGATGAAACCCCGTCTCTACTAAAAATACAAAAATTAGCCGGGCGTGGTGGTGGGTGCCTATAATCCCAGCTACTCAGGAGGCTGACACAGGAGAATCGCTTGAAATGGGAGGCAGAGGTTGCAGTGAGCCGAGATGGCGCCACTGCACTCCAGCCTGAGTGACTTGGTCTCAGAAAAAAGAAAAAGAAGCATTGACATGAATAGAACAAAGAACTCCAGTATATCTCTTAACCAGATTCACCGATTGTTAACATTTTGCCCCATTTGCTTTATCATTTATGTGTGTGTCCATATATAAACAATTTTATTGAGATATAATTCGTATACCATACAGTTCACTTATTTCAGTGATTTTTAATTTATTTTTACAATTAGTTTTACAATCACACTACAATCCATTTTGAAATGTATTAATCACTCTCCCCTGAAAACCTGTACCCATTAGCAGTTACTCATCATTTTCTCCCAACCCTCTAACCCTGAACCCTAGGCAACCACTCATCTACTTTCTATCTCTATAGATTTGCCTGTTTTTGACATTTCATATAAATGGAGTAATATGTGTGGTCTCTTGTTACTGGCTTCTTTCACTTAGCATAATGTTTTCAAGGTTCACTCATGTTGTAGCATGTATCAGTTTGTCATTCCTGTTTATGCCAGAAAAATATGCCATGGTATGAATATACAACATTTTATTTGTTTATCCATTAGTGGAAGGACATTGGATTGTTTTCTTCTTTTTTTTTTCTGAGACAGAGTTTCATTCTTGTTGCTCAGGCTGGAGTGCAATGGCGCAATCTCGGCTCACTGCAACCTCCGCCTCCCAGGTTCAAGTGATTCTCCTGCCTCAGCCTCCTGAGTAGCTGGGATTACAGGCATGTACCACCACGCCTAGCTAATTTTTGTATTTTTAGTAGAGACGGGGTTTCACCACGTTGGCCAGGCTGGTCTTGAACTCCTGACTTCATGATCCACCCACCTTGGCCTCCTAAAGTGCTGGGATTACAGGCACAAGCCACCGTGCCCGGCCTTCAGTTTTTGATTGTTTTGAATAATGCTATGAACATTTGTGTACACTTCTTTTTTTGTGTGTAGGCCTATGTTTTCATTTCTCTTTGCTGAATACTTAGGAATGAAATTACTGGGTCATATAGTAACTGTGTTTAACCTTTTTTTTTTTTTTTGAGATGGAGTTTCGCCGTGTTGCTCACGCTGGGGTGCAATGGCGCGATCTTGGCTTACTGCAACCACTGCCTCCCGGGTTCAGGCCATTCTCCTTCCTCAGCCTCTTGAGTAGCTGGGATTACAGGTACCCGTTACCAAGCCTGGATTTTTTTTTTTTTTTTAGACGGAGTCTCACTCTGTCGCCCAGGCTGGAGTGCAGTGGCACAATCTTGGCTCACTGCAACCTCTGCCTCCCGGGTTCAAGCAATTATCCTGCCTTGGCCTCCCAAGTAGCTGGGACTACAGGTGTGCACCACTATGCCCAGCTAATTTTTGTATTTTGTACTAGAGACAGAGTTTCACCATATTAGACAGGCTGGTCTCGAACTCCTGACTTCATGATCCACCTGCCTCTGCCTTCCAAAGTGCTGGGATTACAGGCGAGAGCCACTGCGCCAGTCAATTTTTGTATTTTTAGTAGAAACGGGGTTTTACCATGTTGGCCAGGCTGGTCTCGAACTCCTGACCTCAGGTCATTCACCTGCCTCGACCTCCCAAAGTGCTGAGATTACAGGTAAGAGCCACCGCACCTGGCTGCCCGACTAATTTTTAATTTTTTTGTAGAGACGAGGTCTCACCATCTTGCCCAGGCAGGTCTTAAACAACCTGAAAAATGATACTCCCGACTTGGCCTCCCAAAGTGCTGGGATTACAGGCGTGAGCCACCGCGCCCGGCCGTGTTTAACCTTTTGAGAGACTGCCTGCCAGTCTGTTTTCCAAAACAGCTGCACTAGTGTACATTTCCAATAGCAGTGTATGAGAATTCCACTTTATTCATATCCTTACCAATACTTATCTATTGGTTTATAGCCATCTTAGTGGCTGTAAGTGGTATCTCATGGTTTTAATTTGCATATCCTAGAAGACAAAGATTTTTATTTTTATTATTTTATTTTATTTTATTTATTATTTTTTGAGACAGAGTCTTGTTTTGTGGCCCAGGCTGGAGTGCAGTAGCACGATCTTGGCTCACTGCAACCTCTGCCTCCTGGGTTCAAGCGATTCTCATGCCTCAGCCTCCCGAGTAGCTGGGATTACATGCATCTGCCATCACGCCCAGCTAATTTTTGTATTTTTAGTAGAGATGGGGTTTCACCATGTTGCCCAGGCTGGTCTCGAACTCTTGACCTCATGATCCACCCTCCTTGGCCTCTTAAAGGGCTGGGATTACAGGTGTGAACCACCACACCTTGCCGACTGAGACTTTTAAATAAGACTTCTTATTTAAAAGAGAAAAGGATATCCCTCCCCAGAGATGAAGTAGCTATAAAAAGTTTTATGAGCCAGTTTCAAACTGGGAGTCGATGTGGACTACACTTAATTTTCATCTTCCTCTACTGGGCTGGTTGATTCTGGGCAGATTCTTGTGGTCATTTAAAAAGGCATCTTTGCTCTGAAGCCCAGATTACTAGCTGCAGCAAAACTCAAAATCTTATGGCTTATCTCAGACATCTGTGGATGCTTCCAGAAGTCAAGCCTACTGAAGTACGGAAAGAGTTCTTAAGTTAGGTTATGTGTTTTCTTTTTTTAGGTAGAACAAGTAAGAAGTCAGGAGAGATGAGACCCACACACAGAAAACAATTACAGAGTAGCCCAAGGCAGTTAAAATACAAGCTAAATTTCTGTATATATACATATTTTGAGATGTGGTCTGGCTTAAAAAAGCCAGACCCAGGCTAGGGTACAGTGGACAATCATACCTCACTTCCTCGGCGTTTCTGAGCCTCGAATTTCTGAGCTCAAGGGATCCTCCTACCTTAGCCTCTTGAGTACTTGGGACTACAGGCAAGTGCCACCACACCTGGCTTTTTTTTTTTTTTTTTTTTTCTGAGACAGAGTTTCGCTCTTGTTGCCCAGGCTGGAATGCAATGGTGCGATCTTGGCTCACTGCAACCTCTGCCTCCCGGGTTCAAGCGATTCTCCTGCCTCGGCCTCCTGAGTAGCTGGGATTATAGGCATGCGCCACCATGCCTGGCTAATTTGTATTCTTAGTAGAGATGGGGTTTCTCCATGTTGGTCAGGCTGGTCTTGAACTCCAGACCTCAGATGATCCGCCCGTCTCGGCCTCCCAAAGTGCTGGGATTACAGGTGTGAGCCACTGCGCCCATTGTTGTTTTTTTGAGACAGGGTCTCACCCTGTTGCCCAGGCCAAAGTGCAGTGGTGTGATCATGGTTTACTACAACCTTGACCTCCTGGGCTCAAGTGATCCTCCCACCTCAGCCTCTAGGTAGCTGGAACTACAGGTGTGCATCACTATACCTGCTAATGGGCCCAGGCTGGTCTTGAACCTCTGGGCTCAAGTGATCTGCCCACCTCGGCCTCCCAAAATGCTGGGATTATTGGTATAAGCCACCGCACCTGGCTGCCCAACTAATTATTATTTTTTTGTAGGGATGGGTTCTCACCATCTTGCCCAGGCTGGCCTTAAACAGCTTGAACAGTGATACTCCCGACTCAGCCTCCCAAAGTGCTGGGATTATAGACATGAACCACCATGCCTGGCTGAGACTGTATATTCTAAAGAGAACGCTATTTGACTCCATCAGGCAGGGAGGATCATACTGAAATTAGTGGATTTTACTTTAATGATATTGGGGCCCTGCAATTTTCTTCATAGAAGGAAATCCTGAGTCACAGTGTTTGGTGCTTAAACCAAATTCTCTTAGAGTCTGCTCAGCCCTTCCTTCCTTCCTAGGTTAAAAATAAAGTTTTCTTTGCCTAAAGCCTCCTTTGGTAACACCCCTTTCCAGTCCTACATCCTTTTATAAGCTTGTTTTTTGGCTTTGTTGGAAGGTGTACTTGGGCTTCGCTCAGCTTGTAAATTCCTGTTGTGGCCAGGTATGGTAGCTCATGCCTGTAATCCCAGCACTTTGAGGGGCCGAGTGGGGGAGGATGGCTTTAGGCCAGGAGTTTGAGACAATCCTGGGCAACATGGCGAGACTCGGGTCTCTACAGAAAATAGAAAAATTAGCCTGGTGTAGTGGTGTATGTCTGTGGTTCCAGTTCCTTGGGATGCTGAGGTTGGCAGATCAGCTGAGTCCAGGGAGGTCCAGACTGTGGTGAGCCATGATTGTGCCACTGCACTCCAGCCTGGGCAATAGGGTGAGACCCTGACTCAAAAAAAAAAAAAAATCCTGTTGCTGTCCCTGGCTTTGAATTACTGTCAGATAGTCTTAGAGGTCTCTTAGGAACCTGGGTACACATGAAGGAACCTATACTTCATATGTTGATATGTTTTAGGTTCCTGCTAGAGATGGCCTAATGTCCAGTGAGAAAGAGGCTTGCCTTTCAGAAGCTGGTGACTTCCTTGTGGAATTCAGTTTTTTGGTTTTTTTTTTTGAGACGGAGTCTCACTCTGTCACCCAGGCTGGAATATAATGGTGCGATCTTGGCTACTGCAGCCTCCGCCTCCAAGGTTCAAGCAATTCTTCTGCCTCAGCCTCCTGAGTAGCTGGGACTACATGCAAGCGCCACCACACCTGGCTAATTTTTGTATTTTTGGTAAAGACGCTTTCGTCATGTTGGCCAGGCTGGTGTTGAATTCCTGACCTCAGGTGATCCACCCACCTCTGCCTCCTAAAGTGCTGGGATTACAGGCATGAGCCACTGCACCTGGCCGAATTCAGTAATTAAACACAGGCTATTACGGCCAGATTTTTATATTTAGTTCTTTTTTTTTTTTTTTTTTTGAGACGGAGTCTTGCTCTGTCGCCCAGGCTGGAGTGCAGTGGTGTGACTGCGGCACTGCAACCTCTGCCTCCCGGGTTCAAGCGATTCTCCTGCCTTGGCCTCCCGAGTAGCTGGGACTACAGGCGCGTGCTACCATGCCCAGCTAATTTTTGTGTTTTTAGTAGACATGCGGTTTCACCATGTTAGCCAGAATGGTCTCCATCTCTGGACCTCGTGATCCGCCCGCCTCGGCCTCCCAAAGTGCTGAGATTACAGGCATGAGCCACTGCACCTGGCCAGATTTAGTTCTTTTTTCTTTTTTTTCGCGAGACAGAGTCTCGCTCTGTCGCCCAGGCTGGAGTACGGTGGTGCCATCTCGGCTCACTGCAAGCTCCGCCTCCTAGGTTCACGCCATTCTCCTGCCTCAGCCTCCCGAGTAGCTGAGACTGCAGGGGCCTGCCACCACGCCAGTCTAATTTTTTGTATTTTTAGTAGAGACGGGGTTTCACTGTGTTAGCCAGGATGGTCTCGATCTCCTGACCTCGGAATCCGCCCGCCTCGGCCTCCCAAAGTGCTGGGATTACAGGTGTGAGCCACCGCACCCAGCTGGATTTAGTTCTTAAAAGTTACTAAGTGAAGCAGTTAGTCAAATGCCATATTCCAAATCTTCTGTGGTTGCTGATTTTCATTTGGCGTATGTAGAACCCTGGGCTGAGTCTTATGAGTGGTAGAATCCTGGCATGGCAGAAAATGAGAGTGTGTGCCAGATGTCAAGTTGTTTTCAGTATGCCTTCAGGGGATCAGATATGACTCAGGAAGTAAGATGGCAATAGGTATAGTTTAGACCGTTGTGTTTCTCAAATATTGTACTGTCTTTGATATTTGCTTGTTGTCGTACATGGAATCTCTTGTAGAGCTTCCTGTTAAAGAGAACCAGGTTAGTAATTTTTTATTTTTTATTGTTCATTATGTGATGGGTAAGTCAGGTTAAAATTTTGCTTGGCCATCTGTGGTCTACTTTATGTACTGAACTAGCTGGGTTAGCCTAAAATGCTTTCCTGGAATGCTGAGAGGTCTGAGCAGTGAAAAGTCTGTAGAGGTTTCTCACATTGAGTTTCATTCCTCTGTGAATGTGGGATTCCTTGATATCTTTCTTTCTTTTTTTTTTTTTTTTTTTGTTTGAGATGGAGTGTCACTCTCTTGCCCAGGCTGGAGTGCAGTGGCTTGATCTCAGCGCACTGTAACCTCTGCCTCCTGGGTTCAAGCGATTCTCCTGCCTCAGCCTCCCAAGTAGCTGGAATTACAGGTGCCTGCCACCATGCCCAGCTAATTTTTGTATTTTTAGTAGAGAGGGGGTTTCACCATGTTGGTCGGGGCTGGCCTCGAACTCCTGACCTTAGGTGACCCACCCGCCTCAGCCTGCCAAAGTGCTGGGATTACAGGCGTGAGCCACCGCACCCGGCCGGAAGTCCTTGATTTCTAAACTATTCCAGTTGGCCAAACAATGTATGTGCATTGGTTTATATTGGTCACAGAATCAAAAAATGTCAGAGCTAGAAATCAGAGATAGTTCAGCTATCACTTTTGACAGATGGTAATGATTAATATTTATAAATGACTTTGTAGTTTTACACTGTACTTTTAAATGATTTTTAATTTTTTTAGCCCCGCTTGAAATAAAATTGTTTGTCCATTGTTACCCACCAAGTTAGAAAGATCTGTTAGAATCCAGGTCTTCTGTTTGCTGTCTTACTATTACTGAGGTTTGTTTGTTTTTTTAAAATTATAGATGTGGGAAAACTGAAGCAGTGGCATAATCGTTGAAATGCAGAGCTGTAGTGCGACCTCTTTGTGGTTCAGTCTCCAGCCCACATTGCAGTAGAGGAGCTGTGTCAGGAGAGGAGACAGGTTGCTTGTTTTCAGAATTGTGGTTAACAACAACCATTGTTCTTTCCTCTTTCCCCACTCTTTATCAGTTCTGGAAATGTTTTTCTTAGACTAGGTAGTTACTAGGGGTTTGCTTCTAAGAAACTTTTTTTTTTTTGGTGACAGTTTCAGGATGTTTTATGCTTTTTGCCTGGGTCTGTCTTCTTTGAAGGAAAAAAAAGATTTGCATCTGCTAACCTCAGAAATCCCTCAGTGTAGCCTATAATATGCATGTTTTGTAGTTGTAGTTCGGGGGCTGGCTGTGACTTCTGATTAGCCATATTCTTGATAATAAAATGATATGGAAAACACCTGAGAAATTTTAAGGATTTTTTTTTTTTTTTTAAATTTTATTTTTAAAGGCATGAACACAGAAGAGGAAATGGTTTAGAAAGAATAATTGGGCCAGGTGCGATGGCTCGATCCTGTAATCTCACCACTTTGGGAAGCTGAGGTAGGAGGATCCCTGGAACTCAGGAGTTTGAGGCTAGCCCGGGCAACGTAGTGCAACACTGTCTCTACAAAAAAATTTAAAAATGAGGCCGGGCACGGTGGCTCATGCCTGTAATCCCAGCACTTTGGGAAGCCGAGGTGGGTGGATCACCTGAGGTCAGGAGTTCGAGAACAGCCTGGCTAACATGGTGAAACCCCATTTCTACTAAAAATACACAAAAATTAGCCAGGCATGGTGGTGGGCGCCTGTAATCCCAGCTACTTGGGAGGCTGAGGCAGGAGAATTGCTCGAACCTGGAGGCAGAGGTTGCAGTGAGCTGAGATTGCGCCATTGCACTCCAGTTTGGGCAACAAGAGCGAAACTCTGTCTCAAAAAAATACAATAAAATACAATAAAATAAAAAAATATAAAAATGAGCCCAGTGTGATGGCATGTGCCTCAGCTCCAGAGGACGAGCTGGGAGGATCGTTTGAGCCTGGGAGGTCCAGGCTGCAATGAGCTGTGATTGAGCCACTGCATTCCAGCCTGGGCAGCATAGCTAGACCCTGTCTCAAAAAGAAACAAAAAAAGAAATAATCACAGGCCACAATTATAAGACAGTAAATGAATAAACCTGATTTATAACAAATTACATGCTTTTTCGTTACAACACGTTAGAATTACTTTCCAGGAGTGTCAGAGGACTTGGTTCTTTTTCTTTTTTTTTTTGAGTCGGAGTCTCGCTCTGTCTCCCAGGCTGGAGTGCGGTGGCACTATCTCAGCTCACTGCAAGCTCCACCTCCCGGGTTCACGCCATTCTCCTGCCTCAGCCTCCTGAGTAACTGGGACTACAGGCGCCCACCACCACGCCCGGCTAATTTTTTTGTATTTGTAGTAGAGACAGGGTTTCACCACGTTAGCCAGGATGGTCTCGATCTCCTGACCTCGTGATCCGCCCACCTAAGTGCTGGGATTACAGGTGTGAGCCACCGCGCCCAGCCAGGACTTGGTTATTTTTTCAGGTGTATCATCTCTGATGCCTTTTTCATTCTTTCTTTTTGTAGTTTTAGAACAATGGCCCTCTAACAATGTTTTAGCCTAGTTATGAAGATAGCTACTAATTTTGGGATATATTGTTAATATTGTTGAAGAAAACTAAATATTTTATTTTGGGTAAGTTAGATGTGTAAACCAAAAGTAAAATCCTAAGCCCCTCAGCCAATTGAATGCCCACCCAAGGGGACCCTAGAGAAACCTGAAAAACTAAATTCCAGGTCATGACTCAAAGGGAGGTTGGCCATCCCTCATTATACCCCTCTCTTTTGCCCAGGCTGGAATGCAGGGGCTCAATCACAGCGCAGTTCAGCCTAGACCTCCCAGGTTCAAGCCATCCTCCTACTCAGCCTCTGGAGTAGCTGCGACCACAGACACATGCCACCACACCTGTCTCATTTTTAAATTTTTTGTAGAGATAGTGAGTGTGTCACTATGTTGCCCAGGCTGGTCTTGAACTCCTGGGCTCAAGGGATCCTCCTACCTCAGCTTCTCTCTCTCTTTTGGAGAGGGGTATAATGAGGCATGGCCAACCTCCCTTTAAGTCATGACCACCATTAATGTTAAAATGGAGATCATAAGACTGACAAAAGAAACTCTGACAATAAGATACGAAATTCCAGCTGGGCGCTGTGGCTCATGCCTGAAATCCCAGCATTTTGGGAGACTGAGGAAGGTGGATCACTTGAATCCAGGAGTTCCAGAGCAGCCTAGGCAACATGGTGAAACCCCGTCTTTACAAAAAAGACAAAAATTAGCCAAGCGAGGTGTCACCCACCTGTAGAACCAGGTACTCGAGAGGCCTGATGTGGAGGATTGCTTGAGCCTGGGAGGCAGAGGTTGCAGTGAGATCAAGCCACTGCACTCTAGCCTGGGCAACAGAGCAAGATCCTGTCTCAAAAACAAAACAAAACAACCCAAAGATAACCAAATTCCAACCTGACTCTATCTAGCATCATATGACACATAGCAGACCCTGAAGGAAATAAAAGTATTTTACCCCAAAATGTATTTCTTTGAGATGTTTTAAAATGGCCCTGCAAAGCTGTCTTTTGTGGGGGAAATTTGAGTCTGTAGAGAATCTCCATTAGTACAGACAGGGCTTTCCCAGATCTAGCAGATTATCTAAGAGTTGGATACCTTTTAAGGTCTGAAAAGAGATATTTACCATCTATACTCTTGGTTACCTGGAGGCTTCATCCAAAATTTGTAAACCAAAACCAACCTGTAACATGAGCATCTCAGGCACAAGAACGTGTTGAGACTGTTCCCTGGGCCATGGTCGTTCATATTGATTCAAAATAAATCTCTTTAAATATTTTAGAGCTTGTTTTTTTTTTTCTTCACTAGGTGTCTCTCTCCTTGTTTTTCTTAGAGTTTTTATTTGATAAAAACATTTTTTATTTTTTTCTTGATTTTAAAAGCCATAGGTCAGTATGAAAATGGAAACATTATAGAGCTGTATTATAAACTCCTTTGTCTCAGAGTTGTTGTAGAACTAAATTGGAGTCTGCTTGCCCAGTGCAGTAGAACCAGTTATCTACACTGATATTTGCAGTCATTGAAAGAAAGGCTTTTACTGCAGGGTGCCAAGCAAGGAGGACGAGGCAGCTGAATGTTCAAATCCTGGCCTCCCCAGTGGCTTGCAGGCAAGGGTTTTTTTTTTTTTTTTTTAAGACGGAGTCTCGCTCTGTCGCCCAGGCTGGAGTGCAGTGGCACGATCTCGGCTCACTGCAAGCTCCGCCTCCCGGGTTCACGCCGTTCTCCTGCTTCAGCCTCCCAAGTAGCTGGGACTACAGGCGCCTGCCACCATGCCCAGCTAATTTTTTCTATTTTTTAGTAGAGACGGGGTTTCACCGTGTTAGCCAGATGGTCTCGATCTCCTGACCTCGTGATCTGCCCACCTCGGCCTCCCAGAGTGCTGGGATTACAGGCGTGAGCCACCGCGCCCGGCCAAGGCAAGGGTTTTTAAAGGTATGGGTAAATTTCAGGAAAGCAGGAGCTGCAGGCAAAATTGTGAATCAATACTTGGAGGTTACACATTGATTTAAGCCTAAAAGGAAGCGCTGTCTTGAAGTGGGGTTTATGGGTTGTAGGTAGATGCAAAGATTTTCTGATTTGCAGTTGGTTAAGGAAGAAAAGCTTTGTATAAAAATTTGGGGTCAGTAGCAAAATGATAACTAGTTAGGGGGAGTGACTTTCTTTAAGCCCTTCAGGAACAAACCTTAGAACCTTAGAAAGTTATGATGGTTAACTTTCAGTGTTTACTTCCTTTTTTTTTTTTTTTTTTTTGAGACTTAGTTTCACTCTGTGGCCTAGGCTGGAGTACAGTGGTGCAATCTCTGCTTACTGTAACCTCCACCCCCTGGGTTCAAGTGATTCTCCTGCCTCAGCCTCCTGAGTAGCTGGGACTACAGGAGCGTGCCACCACACCTGGCTGATTTTTTGTATTTTTAGTAGAGATGGGATTTCACCATGTTAGCCAGGATGGTCTCAATCTCCTGACCTCATGATCCTCCCGCCTGGGCCTCCCAAAGTGCTGGGATTACAGGCATGAGCCACCCCACCTGGCCCTACATCCTTTTATCTAAGGTCTATGTGTCCGGTGTGGAACCTCAGTGGGTGTCTGAATTTCTGAAAGACAGCTCAGGGACACATTTTAAGATGTTCTCCTTAGTTTGTGTGGGGAAAGCAAACATCTCTGTCACTGACTTCTTTGGCTATTGTTTTAGGCTACTGTCTTGTTTAACAGGTTGCTCAGTCACTTCTAGGGCTAGCTAGGGCGCTGGAATTTTCCTTGAAGGAACTCATATTTTCCTTTATTTCCATGCTTGGGGTCTGCAGGCCCTAAAAAAGGGGTCCCGGCTCCATCTCAGAGTCAGGTAGGCAAATTTCTTAACTTTGGTAGAAAAACGTACTTTATGTAGTAGGTGCTTAATGAATATTTGTTGTATTAATTATGAAGAGATAGGTTGGGCATGGTGGCTCACGCCTATAATCCCAGCACTTTGTGAGGCTGAGGCAGGCGGATCACCTGAGGTCAGGAGTTTGAGACCTGCCTGGCCAACATGGTAAAACCCCGTCTCTACTAAGAATACAAAAATTAGCTGAGCGTGGTGGTCCACGCCTGTAGTCCCAGCTACTTGGGAGGCTGAGGCAGGAGAATCACTTGAATTTGGGAGGCGGAGGTTGCAGTGAGCCAAGATCGTGCCACTGCACTCCAGCCTAGGGGACAGAGTGAGACTCCCTCTCAACAATAAATAAATAAAATTAAATTAAAAATAGAGGCTGCCTATTCGGACTTTTTTCCCCCGAGACGGAGTCTTGCTCTGTAGCCCAGGGTGGAGTGCAGTGTTGCGATCTCAGCTCACTGCAACCTCCGCCTTCCGGATTCAAGCAATTCTCCTGCCTCAGCCTCTCGAGTAGCTGGGATTACTGGTATGCACCACCATGCCCAGCTAATTTTTGTATTTTTAGTAGAGATGGGGTTTCACCATGTTGGCCAGGCTGGTCTCGGACTGCTGACCTCAGGTAATCCTCCTGCCTTGACCTCCCAAAGTGCTGGGATTACAGGTATGAGCCACTGCATTTTTTGTTTTTTTTGTGTTTTTTTTTTTTTTTGGTGACAGTCTTGCTCTGTCGCCAGGCTCAGGTGCAGTGGCACTATCTCAACTCACTGCAGCCTCCACCTCCTGGGTTCAAGCGATTCTCCTGCCTCAGCCTCCTGAGTAGCTGGGACTATAGGCGCGTGCCACCATGCCCAGCTAATTTTTTTGTATTTTTAGTAGAAACGGGGTTTCAGCATGTTGGCCAAGATGGTATTGGTCTCCTGACCTCGTGATTCACCCGCCTTGGCCTCCCAAAGTGCTGGGATTACAGGCATGAGCCACCGCACCCGGCCTGAAGCCTCTTTTAAAAGGGCCTTGGAGCCAAGCACGGTGGCTCACGCCTGTAATCCCAGCACTTTCGGAGGCCAAGGAGGGTGGATCGCTTGAGCCCAGGAGTTCGAGACCAGCCCCGGCAACACGGCGAAACCCTGTCTCTATGAATAAAGATACAAACATTAGCTTTCTGGGTTGCGTGTGCCTGTAGTCCCAGATCCTCAGGAGACTGAGGTGGGAGGATTGCTTGAGCCCAGGAAGTGGGGTTGCAGTGAGCTGAGATAGTGACACTGCACTCTAGCCTGAGTGACAGAGCCAGACCTTATCTCCAAAAATAAATAAATAAATAAAATAGGCTGAGCGTGGTGGCTAATGCCTGTAATCCCAGCACTTTGGGAGGCCGAAGCGGGCGGATCACCCGAGGTCAGGAGTTCAAGACCAGCCTGACTGACAGGGAGAAACCCGGTCTCTACTAAAAATACAAAATTAGCTGGGCGTGGTGGCACATGCCTGTAATCCCAGCTACTTGGGAGACTGAGGCAGGAGAATCACTTGAACCTGGGAGGCGGAGGTTGCGGTGAGCTGAGATCACACCATTGCACTCCAGCTTGGGCAACAAGAGCGAAACTCCGTCTCAAAAAAATAAATAAAAATAAATAAAATAAATAAATTAAAAAAGGCCTTAATCCCATTAACAAGGGAGCAGCTCTCATGGCCTAATCACCTGTTAAAGGCCTCACCTCTTCATACTATCACATTGGCAACACCTGAATTTTGGAAAGGACACATTTAAACCACAGCAGAAATACAATAGAAATTTAGGAGTATCATCTGCTAAACCAACATCCAGTTTTGCTGAACTCTGAGGTTCTGTATGTCCAAATACACTTGACTCTTGAACCAAGTTGGGGGTTAGGGGCACTAATTCTCTGTGTAGCAGAAAATCCACAAGTAACTTTTGACTCCCTGAAAACTTTACTAACAGCCTACTGCTGACTGGAAACCTTACCAATAACACAAATAGTTAATTAACACATATTTTGTATGTTAAATGTATTATATACTGTAGTCTCACAATAAAGTAAGCTAGAGAAAACATAATCATAAGGGAAATAAAATATTATTTTTTGTGTGTGTGAGATGGAGTCTCGTTCTGTCGCCCAGGCTGGAGTGCAGTGGTGTGATCTTGGCTCACTGCAACCTCTGCCTCCCAGGTTCAAGTGATTCTCCTGCCTCAGCCTCCCAAGTAGCTGGGACCACAGGCACCCACCACCACGCCCGGCTAATTTTTGTATTTTTAGTAGAGACAGGGTTTCACCATATTGGCCAGGCTGGTGTCAAACTCCTGACCTTGTAATCCGCCTACCTTGGCCTCCCAACGTGCTGGGATTGCAGGTGTGAGCCACCGTGCCTGGCTGGGAAATAAAATATATTTATCCTTCAGGAAGTGGAAGTGGATCATTTAAAAGGTCTTTATGCTCATCATCTTCACACTGAGTAGGCTGAAGAGGAAGAGGAGGAGTTGGTCTTACTGTCTTGGAGTGGCAGAGGTGGAAGAAAATCTATGTATAAGTGTACCCACACAGTTGAAACCCATGTTGTTCAAGGGTCAACCGTAGTGTGTAATCCCTTTCTTTGTTAAATATTTAATCTAATATACCCCACCCCATTTTCTCACAACATCTGTGTGAAGTACATTCTTTCCCCTGCGTATTAAAAGTAGTACATTTTGAATTTTATCTACTAGAAGAATGTTTAGTGTTTTGTGGAGGATTGTCAGTCTGCCCATCTAGCTCTGTTAACTACTTAGCTCAGTTAGTTATGAGTGTGGTGCATTTAATGAGGCCAAAGTCATTGAGTTAGTCTCCAGAAGAGCAGTTATTCCAATTAGCCTTACTCGCCTCAGTTTTTTTTTTTGTTTTTTTTTTTTTTTTTGAGACAGAGTCTCGCTGTGTCGCCCAGGCTGGAGTGCAGTGGTGCAATCTCAGCTCACTGCAACTTCTGCCTCCTGGGCTCAAGTGATCTTCCTGCCTCAACCTCCCGAGTAGCTGGGATTACAGGTGAGTGCCACCACGCCTGGCTAATTTTTGTATTTTTAGTAGAGACAGAGTTTCACTATGTTGGCCAGGCTGGTCTCGAACTCCTGACCTCGTTATCCACCCGCCTCGGCCTCCGAAAGTGCTGGGATTACAGGTGTGAGCCACCACGCCTGGCCTCGACCCCCTTTTATGCTAGCCTCAGCTGACCATCCTGCTCACTAGTACACTGTGGGTCATAGGGGGCCAAAAACATGAGGCTGGTAACATTCCATCCCTGTTATTCATAGATGATATTTAAGTTAATGGTTGTTTTTTTATTGAATACATTTCAATGCCAGGTATTAGATGGTATTATCCCCATGTTGGAGATTAGGAAACTAAAGTGCAGAGAGTTTGAATAACATGCCCGAGACTATAAAGCAAGAATTGGAAGCCTGTTCTCCCTGTCTCTAAAGTCTTCTACTTTTGTGTTATTGAAAGACCAACTTAGTGATGGGGCACTTGTTTGCAAAGATGTGTAAGTGAGACAGTCACTGTCCTTAAGGGGCTCATAGTCTTCTGAGGGGTTAGGCGTGTAAGCCAATAATGACAATGCACTGTGATAAATGATATAACGAAGGTATGTTTATAATTGAGAGTGAGTGTCTTGCAATCAGTGATTGTCTAGAAGATCTCAAAGTTAGTTTTCTCTGTTTTTTATTCCCTCCTTCAGCTCTTATTTACTGAGTTCCCGTTATTTACTAGTCACTATTTTAGGTTCTTAAGACACATCAATGAGTGAAACTGCCTTTGTGAAGCTTTGGTTTTAGTGGAGGGAGACATTGAAAAATAAACATAATGAACCAGTAATTTACATAGTATGTTAGGAAGTGAAAAGTGCTGTGGAAACAGTAAACAGGGTTAATGGGATCAGGAATGTTAGGGCAGGGTGGAGACAGATGTTGTACTTTTTTTTTTTTTTTTTTTTTTGAGACGGAGTTTCGCTCATGTTGCCCAGGCTGGAGCGCAATGGTGCAATCTCTGCTCACCACAACCTCCACCTCCCAGATTCAAGCGATTCTCCTGCCTCAGCCTCCCGAATAGCTAGGATTACAGGCATGCGCCACCATGCCCGGCTAATTTTGTAATTTTAGTAGAGATGGGGTTTCTCCACATTTATCAGGCTGGTATTGAACTTCCGACCTCAGGTGATCCGCCCGCCTTGGCCTCCCAAAGTGCTGGGATTACAGGCGTGAGCCACCGCGCCCAGCTGATGTTGTACTTTTAATAGGATGGTCAGGGTATACCTCACTGAGAGGATGACAATTTCAGGAGAATTCTAAGGAGTCAAAGGAGTGAGCCATATGTATATGTGGAGAAACGTATTTCAGGCAGAGAGAAGAGCCTGTGCGAGGGCCATAAGCTAGGAGTATACTTGATGTATTAGAATTGTTTACAATGTTACTGAGGTTGGAGGTAGTAAGTGAGGGGACAAGTGGTGGGAAGATGAGATTAGAGAGGAAGGGAGAGGGAGTGTGGGGGAAAGATGTAGGGCTTTATAGGCCAGTGGTTCTCGTTGTCTGGTCTCTGGACCAGTAGTATCAGCATCACCTGAGAACTTCTTAGAAATGTACATTTTAACCCCACCCTTTACCCGCTGAATCATAAACTCTGGGGATGGGGCCTAGAAACCTGTATGTTAACAAGCCACTGTCCTGATGCATACTAAGGTTTGAGAACCACAGTTTTGGCTACTGTAAGAGTTTTAATGTTACGCACCTACATGACTGCAAATTCTTAGGACTGATGTAGCTTTAAGTTCAGTACCCGAATAACTGTAGAGCTTTGGCTTTAGAGTCTTTCAGTTCTGGTTTCAAATTATGGCTTCCTCACTTTCTAGTTATGGGGACTTGGATCAGCTTGTGAGGATTACATGAGGGGAAGAATACACAAACATCACACACAGACATGCACATACACAGACAGAGTTACTAGGGAAGATGAGTCTCTGTCAAGACAACTATTCACATGAAAGAACTTCCAAATTTTGGACTGCTTAAGTTTAGAAGTTGAATTATTAGCTGGTTGTTAACATACCTCATACCACATCTATCAGCCACATTTTTTGTTTCTACTTGAGGTTTTGTGATCCTGTCATGGGTAGTTGCCTGTCAGGAATAAAATCAACACCTATAACCCCTATCAGGGTCTATGTTGAGTGCTAGAGAAGAGAAGGGCAGGCACACTGAAACAAGGCAGGAAAGGATCAGTTCTTCAGTTCTTTTTTTTTGTTTTGAGACAGGGTCTCACTCTGTTGCCCAGGCTGGAGTACGGTGGCACCATCTCAGCTCACTGCAAACTCTGCCTCCAGGGCTCAAGTGATCCTCCCACCTCATCGTCCTGAGTAGCTGCGACTACAGGCAGGTGCCACCAATCCTGTATATTTTTTGTCTTTTTTCTAGCGATGGGTTTTCACCACGTTGCCCAGGCTGGTCTCTAACTCCTGGACTCAAGTAATTTGCCTGCTTTGGCCTCCCAAAGTGTTGGGATTACAGGCGAGTGCCCCTGCGCCCAGTCAGGATCAGTTTTTGTTTGTTTGTTTGTTTTTGAGACGGAGTTTTCACTCTTGTCGCCCAGGGTGGAGTGCAATGGTGCAACCTTGGCTCACTGCAACCTCCACCTCCCGGGTTCAAGCGATTCTCCAGCCTCAGCCTCAACGAGTAGCTGGGATTACAGGTGCTCACCACAACGCCTGGTTAATTTTTGTATTTTTAGTAGAGATGGGGTTTCACCATGTTGGCCAGGCTGGTCTCAAACTCCTGACCAGCCTTGGCCTCCCAAAATGCTGGGATTACAGACGTGAGCCACCACGCCCAGCCTAGGATCAGTTCTTTAAAAGGAACAGATGATGGTGTGTTGTTGGGGTTCAAGAGAGGGAAAGAGTACTATTATCTAGCTTTGCAGTTTATGTCTTGGAAAATTTACTATAGAGGGCGTAGCTCTGGGTGTGACCCTGAACAAAAACATAATCTCTATGATTTATTCATTGATTAATTTAATAATCACTTAATATGTGGAAAAATACCCGAGGGACTATACATAAATTATAGAATCTGAGGGTTGAAAGAGAGGGACACAACTAGAAAGTGAGGGAACCATGATTTGAACTCTTGGGATAGGAAAGAAACATGAAGGTCATCCATATAAGGAATGGCATTTTTCTCTCTTTAAAAATAAAACGTTGGCCAGGCATGGTAGCACATGCCTGTAATCCCAGCACTTTGGGAGGCAGAGGCAGGAGGATGGCTTGAGCCCAGGATTTCGAGACCAGCCTGGGCAACATAGCAAGACCTCGTCTCTACAAAAAATGAAAAGCTGAGTGTAGTGGTGCATGCCTGTAGTCTCAGCTACTTGGGAGGCGGAGGCAGGAGGATGGCTTGAGCCCAGGATTTCGAGACCAGCCTGGGCAACATAGCAAGACCTTGTCTCTACAAAAAATAAAAAGCTGAGTGTAGTGGTGCATGCCTGTAGTCTCAGCTACTTGGGAGGCTGAGGCAGGAGGATTGCTTGAGTCTGAGGGGTTGAGGCTGCCGTGAGTCATGATGACACCACTGTACTCCAGCCTGGGCAACTGAACAAGACCCTGTCTCAAAAAAAAAAAAAAAAAAAGTTTAGCCAGGTGTGGTGGTGTGCACTTGTAGTCCCAGCTACTTGGGAGGCTGAGGCAGGAAGATTGCTTGAGCCCGTGAATTTGAGTCCAGCGTGGGCAACGTTGTGAGGCTCCTGTCTCTTAAATAAATAAATAAATAAATAAAATGTTGAGTTTTAAAATACAGTTTCTAATAGAAAACTTAGAAATTGTAGAAGGATGTAGGCCGGGCGCAGTGGCTCACACCTGTAATCCCAGCATTTTGGAAGGCTGAGGTGGGCAGATCACCTGAGGTCAGGAGTGCAAGACCAGCCTGGCCAACATGGTGAAACCTGGTCTCTACTAAAAATACAAAAATTAGCCGGGTGTGGTGGCGTGCACCTGTAATCCTAGCTACTCAGGAAGCTGAGGCAGGAGGATCGTCTGAACCCAGGAGGCGGAAATTGCAATGAGCCGAGATCAAGCCACTGCACTCCATCCTGGGCAACAAGAGTGAAAATTAGGTGTCAAAAAAAAAAAAAAGAAAAAAGAAATTATAGAAGGATGTGGAAATAATTCACTCATTATCCCTTTATCTGGAATTAGGCTTTATAAGCATGTTGATGCCTTTATATAGTTCCTTTCAGTTAAAAAATATTTTTGGGCCGGGCACAGTGGCTCACACCTGTAATCTCAGCACTTTGGGAGGCCGAGGCGGGCGGATCACAAGGTCAGGAGATCGAGACCATCCTGGCTAACATGGTGAAACCCCATCTACTAAAAATATAAAAAATTAGCCAGGCTTGGTGGCGGGCGCCTGTGGTCCCAGCTACTCGGGAAGCTGATGCAGGAGAATGGCGTGAACCCGGGAAGCAGAGGTTGCAGTGAGCCGAGATGGCGCCACTGCAGCCTAGGTGACAGAGCGCGACTGCATCTCAAAAAAAAAAAAAGTAATTTAAAGACAGTAAAGTGCACAAATTCTAAGTATATAAGTATATAGCTTAATATATATATATACACACACACACATGCATTTAATCATCACCCAGATCAGTTCTTTCCAGATTTTACTATGTGTAGGTGTATGTGTATATATTTTAACAGAGTGATAATGTGTAATGTAAAATTTTGTTTTGACTTTTTTCACTTGATGTTCTATCATGAATATTTCTTGATACTGTATCGTGAGTATGCTCCTGAAATTCCATCGATCTTAGTTAAGAGTTAATTATAAGGAGCAGAGACCCACTCAAAAAACCCACTCAAGTTGAATTCATATCAAATTAACATGTTGTATATGAGATAACAGACAACATCTTAAAAGATGATCCCACATCAAAACAAAGATCTTTCTGGTGGACCCGTGGAGTATTTAAGATTTTTCTTTTTTCAAATATCCATGTACACTTATTTTTACACACTTGTAGGGGTTTTTCTGGAGCATTAATTGCTAAAACTGGACTTTGGTGAATCCAAGAAATGTACTTTTTTTTTGAAATGGAGCCTCGCTCTGTCGCCCAGGCTGAAATGCAGTGGTGTAATCTCGGCTCACTGCAACCTCTGCTTCCTGGGTTCAAGCGATTCTACTGCCTAAGCCTCCCTAGTAGCTGGGGCTACAGGTGCTTGCCACCACGCCCGGCTAATTTTTGTATTTTGAGTAGAGACGGGGTTTCAAGTTGGTCAGGCTGGTCTCGAACTCCTGATCTCAGGTGATCTGTCTGCCTCGGCCTCCCAAAGTGCTGGGATTACAGGCATGTGCCACACTGCACCTGGCCCAAGAAATGTGCATTTTAAATTTTAATAGATATTGCTAAATTACTTTCCTTAAAAATTGTGCCAATTTAGACCTCTGCTAGTAATGTTTAACATTCCAGTTTCTTTATACCTGTAATAAAGTGTTACCGCTTTTCTGAAACGTTTCCAATCTGCTAGGAAGAACATATCTTTTTTTCTGGAGACGGAGTTTCACTCTTACTGCCCAGGCTGGAGTGCAGTGGTACAATCTTGCCTCACTGCAACCTCTGCCTCCTGGGTTCAAGAGCTATTCTCCTGCCTCAGCCTCCCAAGTAGCTGGGATTACAGGCGTGTGCCACCACACCCCTGGCTAATTTTTTGTATTTTTAGTAGAGACGGGGTTTTACCATGTTGGTCAGGCTGGTCTTGTACTCCTGACCTCAGGTGATCTGCCCATCTCTTCCTCCCAAAGTGTTGGGATTACAGGCGTGAGCCACCGTGCCGGCCCAAACATATCTTGTTTTAATCTGAATTTAATTATTAGGCTGAACATCTTTTCATATAGTTCATATACATTTGTTTATTCTATGAATTGTCTGTTCAGGCCTTTTGTCCATATTTCTGTTGTGGTGTTTATCTTTTTTTCTGATTGATTTGTGGAAACTCTTTTTCTGTTACGAATATTTTGTTGTATGTGTTCTAAATATATTTCTGTGCATTAAAAACAGGTTGTCAGGAAATATATCAAAACTTCAAACATAGTCACAATGAAATAATATATACATACACATAATATATATTTATAAAATTGGGATCATCAGAGAAATACAATTTTGTATCCTTTGCCTGCCTGCCTGTCTTCCTTCCTTCCTTCCTTTTTGCTCTCACTCTCTCTTCCTTTTCATCTTTTTCTTTTTCTTTCTTTCGAGGCAGAGGTCTTGCTTTGTTGCCCAGGCTGGTCTCAAACTCCTGGGCTCAAGCAGTCTTCTTGCCTTAGCCTCCCGAGTAGCTGAGATTACAGGGTTGTGCCCAATGCCTAGCTTGTGTCTTCCATTTTTAATTTACTATTTAAAAATGCTAAATATTTCTTTTTTTTTTCTTTCTTTTTTTGAGGTGGTGTTTTGCTCTTGTCGCCCAGGCTGGAGTGCAGTGGTGCAATTTTGGCTCACCACAACCTCTGCCTCCTGGGTTTGAGCAATTCTCCTGCCTCAGCTTCCTGAGTAGCTGGGATTACAGGTGCCCGTCACCATGCCCAGTTAATTGTTGCATTTTTAGTAGAGACAGGGTTTCGCCATATTGGCCAGGCTGATCTCGAACTCCTGACCTCAGGTGATACGCCTGCCTCGGCCTCCCAAAGTGCTGGGATTATAGGCACGAGCCACTGCGCCCAGCGAACTTTATTTGTTTTTTTTTTTTTTTTGAGACAGGGTCTCCCTCTGTTGCCCAGGCTGGAGTGCAGTGGTGCAAACATGGCTCACTGCAGCCTCGACCTCCTGGGCTCATGTGATCCTCTTGCCTCAGCCTCCTGAGTAGCTGGGACTACTGGGCTAATTTTTAAATTTTTTGTAGAGATGGATTCTCACCTTGTTGCTTAGGCTGGTCTTGACCTCCTGGTCTCAAGCAGTCCTCTTGTCTTGTCCTCCCAAAGTGCTGAGATTACAGGTATGAGCCACTGCACCTAGCCCGTTTAAAAATGTGTAATTCAGTGGTGTTTAGTATATTTATGGTTTTGTGTAGCCATCAGCATCATGTAGTTTCAGAACATTTTCATCTCCTCAAAAGAAAATGCTGCACTCATTAAACAGTTACTTCTCATTTCCTTGTCTCCCAAGCCTGTGGCAACTAGTAGTCTGCTTTCTCTCTCTGGATTTACCTATTCTGGATGTTTCATGTAAGTGGAATCATGCAACATGTGGCCTTTTGTGTTTGGCTTTTGTGTCTGGCTCCTTTCAGGTAGCGTGATTTTTTTTCTTTTTTTTTTTTTTGAGACAGAGTCTTGCTCTGTCGCCCAGGCTGGAGTGCAGTGGCGCGATCTCAGCTCACTGCAACCTCCATCTCCTGGGTTCAAACAATTCTCCTATCTTAGCCTCCTGAGTAGCTGGGATTACAGGTGCCCGCCATCGTGCCCAGCTAATTTTTGTATTTTTAGTAGAGACAGGGTTTTACCACATTGGCCAGCTGGTCCCGAACTTCTGACCTCCAGTGATCTGCCCATCTTGGCCTCCCAAAGTGCTGGGATTACAGGCGTGAGCCACCCCGCCCAGCCTAGCAGGATGTTTTTAAGGTTCATCCATGTTGTAGCATGTGTCAGCACCTTATTCCTTGTTATGGCTGAATAATATTGTATTATTGGGATATTTATATGGTATGAATAATACGTACCATATTTTGTTCCTTCATCTGTTGATGGACACTGGGGTTGTTTCCACTTTTTGCCTGTTGTGAATAGTGCTGCTATGAACATTCATGTACAAGTTTCTGTCTGAACACCTGTTTATGTATATATCCAAGAATGGAATTGATGGGTCATATAGTAACTCTGAACTTTATAGTAACTTTAAGAAACTGCCAAAATGTCTTCACAGCAGTGCATCATTTTACATTCTCACTAGCAATGTTTCAGGTTTGCGGATGCCAGCTGGGTCAGGGAGACCCTAACCCAGCGGCGCTAGAGGAGTAAAAGACACACACACAGAAATATAGAGGTATGGAGTGGGAAATCGGGAGTCTCACAGCTTTCAGAGCTGAGAGCCTTGAACAGAGATTTACCCGCGCCTTTATTAACAGCAAGCCAGTGATAAGCATTGTTTCTGTAGGTTATAGATTAACTAGCAGTATTCCTTATGGGAAATAAAGGGATGGGCCGAAATAAAGGGATGGGTTCGGCTAGTTATCTACAGCAGGAGCACGTCCTTAAGGCACAGATCGCTCATGCTATTGTTTGTGGTTTAAGAATGCCTTTAAGCGGTTTTCTGCCCTGGGTGGGCCAGGTGTTCCTTGCCCTCATTCTGGTAAACCCGTAACCTTTAGCGTGGGCGTCAGGGCCATCGCGAACATGTCACAGTGCTGCAGAGATTTTGTTTATGGCCAGTTTTGGGGCCAGTTTATGGCCAGATTTTGGGGGGCCTGTTCCCAACAAGGTTTCCACTTTCTCCATATCCTCATTAATACTTGTTTTTCATTTTTTGCTGTCGTCGTGTTTTAATCTGTATTTCGTTGACTACTACTCAAGTAGATTGAAAAAAAATTACTCATTCTTTATATTGGTATTGTGAATTGTCTGTATACTGGTTATAATTTCTCTTTTTGCTCATTTTTTTGGGGGGGGGATCGGTGGGAAAGATTGAGGTTTGGGCACTTTTGAATCTCTCTTTCTTAGGAAAGCTGGTGAGTTTGCTACAGAATTGGGGTGAGTAAAGGAATGTGGTTTGGAGGGTATATTAGTTGCCTTTTTTTTTTTTTTTGAGACGGAGTTTTGCTCTGTTGCCCAGGCTGGGGGTGCAGTGGCACGATCATGGCTCAGTGCAGCCTCCGCCTCCTGGATTCAAGCCATTCTCCTGCCTCAGCCTCCCGAGTAGCTGGGACTACAGGCATGTGCTACCATGCCCGGCTAATTTTTGTATTTTTAGTAGAGACGGGGTTTCACCATGTTGGCCAGGCTGGTCTCGAACTCCTGACCTCAAGTGATCCACCCACCTCGGCCTCCCAAAGTGCTGGGATTACAGGCCTGAGCCACTGCACCCAGCCTATATTAGTTTACTGTGGCTGTGGCAACAAATTACCACAAACTGGGTGGCTTAAAACAACAATAATTTATTTTCTCACAGTTTTGGAGGACAGAAATCCAAAATCAGGGTGTCAGCAGGGCACACCCCCTCAGAGGCTCTTGGGGAGAATAATTCCTTGAGCTTCTGGTGACTGTTGGCATTATGCTTTGGTTTCTGACTACACCACCCTAATCGCTGCTTCTGTCTTCTCATTGCCTTCACCTTCATGTGTATCTTTTCCTCTGTGTCTATTATTTTAGGGATACCTATCATGGTATTTTGGGTACACTCAACTACTCCAGGATGATCTCATCTCAATATTTTTGACTACATCTGTAAGATCCTTTTTCCAAGTAAGATAACATTCATAGCTTCTGGAGATTAGGATGTGGACATACCTTTTTTGGGGCCACCATTCAACCCACTCCAGAGGGTCTAAAGGGTGGGTCTTGAATTTCTTTTTTTTTTTTTTTTTTTGAGACAGAGTCTCGCTCTGTCGCCCAGGCTAGAGTGCAATGGCGCGATCTCAGCTCACTCCAACCTCTGCCTCCTGGGTTCAAACAATTCTCCTGCCTCAGCCTCCTGAGTAGCTGGGATTACAGGCACCCACCACCATGTCCAGTTAATTTTTGTATTTTTAGTAGAGGCGAGGTTTCACGATGCTGGCCAGGCTGGTCTCGAACTCCTGACCTCGTGATCCGCCTGCCTCGGCTTCCCAAAGTGTTGGGATTATAGGCGTGAGCCCCTGCGACTGGCTGTCTTGAATTTCTTAGGATGTGAGCAAGAAGTAGTCTACTTCAGTCACTATTTGCCTTCCCACTCACCACAGGTAACCAGTATTTTGACTTCTAACAGCATAGTTTTTCATGTCTTTGTACTTTATATAAATGTAATTATATATGGTGAACTCTTGTGTTTGGATTCTTTTGTACAATATATTTGAGAGGTTCATTCATATTGTGTATAGTTTTAGGTTGGTCGTTCTCACTGCTGTAGAGTTTGCCATTGTGTGACTTTACCACACCTTATCTGTTAATTCTGCAGTTGATAGGCTCATGGGTAGTTTGTAGTTTTTGAGTATTACAATAGTGACATGTTATGAACATTCCTGTATGTGCCTTTTCGTGAACATGGCTTTTGGTCTGTTGGGTATATGCTCAGGAGTGGAATTGCTGGGTCATAGGTATACGCATGTTCAGCTTTAGTAGGTGCTGCCAGACAGTTTTCCATAGTGATTGTACCAGTTTACATTCCCACTTGCAGTGCACGACAGTGTAGGTTACTCCCTATCCTTACCAACTCTTGGCATTTTCTTTTCATTTTAGCTATTCTGGTGGTTATATAATAGTATTGTATTATTTAAATTTGAATTTTCTGGATGACTAATGAAGTTGAGCACCTCTCAAAAGTTTATTAGGCATTTATATGTCTTTTTTGAAGTATCTATTCAGGGCTTTTGCTGTTTTTCTTTGAGTGATCTTTTTTTCTTTATTGATTTAATGCAGTTCTTTATATGTTCTAGATATGTCTTTTTTGTTCATTTCATATATATATAGTGCAAATATATTCTTGTAATCTGTGCGTTTTCATTCTTTTAATGGCGACTTTCAAGGAACAAAAGTTTTAAATTGTAATGTACAATTTATACGTTTTTCTCTCTTAATGTTTAGTGCATTTTATATCTTTGTTATTGCAGGATCATGAAGATGTTCTGTGTTTTCTTCTAAAGGCTTTATTTTTTTACCTTTCATATTTAGATCTACAGTCCTAGGGCTAATTAATTTTCTTAAACAGTCTGCTGTTAACACTACTCTGTACTGCCTGAAAAAAAGCTTCCCCATTTTTTTTTCTTGGCCGTTTTTCAGCATTCTGCAAGTGAAAGAGAAACATTACCATTGCTGTCACAGCTGGGCCTGAAGTACAAAAAGGCTTTGATATGACCAATACAGTGCTTTTAATGCAGATTTGATAAAACAAATGCTAGTCTTTGTGCTTTGATATAGTACCAGTTGGTAAAATTTTAGTGGTTAGGAAAGTCTGTTAAAAAAAAAGAGAGAGAATTTATTACTATAAAAGTTCTTAAAAGTAAAGGAAACTTTCTCTTATGTTACTGAGGGTAAACTAACAGGAAGCTCCCAGAGTCTTTTTTTTTTTTTTTTTGAGACGGAGTTTCGCTCTTGTTGCCCAGGCTGGAATGCAATGGCGCGATCTCGGCTCACTGCAACCTCTGCCTCCTGGGTTCAAGTGATTCTCTTGCCTCAGTCTCCTGAGTAGCTAGGATTACAGGCATGCGCCACCACTCCCTGCAACTTTTGTATTTTTAGTAGAGATGGAGTTTCTCTATGTTGGTCAGGCTGGTCTCCAACTCCCGACCTCAGGTGATCTGCCTGCCTCTGCCTCCCAAAGTGCTGGGATTACAGGCGTGAGCCACCGCGCCCAGCCTGGCTCCCAGAGTCTTAAATCTGCTTATGTGCTATGGGGAAGAAGAGGCTGCTGGGTGGTCCCTTATAAGTTGTGGTTTGAAATCTGAATTTGCGGACTTGTCAGTGTTCTTAGTATAGCCACGTTTGCTGCTGTGGGCTCTGCCGTGGTATACATTCTGTGAAACAGATATGTGTTGCCACTTTAGTGCAGTAGAGGTTTGCATGTTAGGAAACATTTGGTAACTTCTAGCACATTTATGTGTCCTGTTTTCATGGCTAAAGATTTTGAGATAACTCTTGCATGTATGACAGACCTTTTGGAAAGAAAGGAGCTAATATTTGTTGAGTACCTCTTATGCTCAATACAAATGTGTCCCATATGCTTTACATATGTTAACTCATTCATTCCTCTCAATAGGCTGATGAGGTAGGTAGTTTTTTGGGTTTTTTTTGTTTGTTTGTTTTGTTTTTGACAGAGGGTCTTGCTCTGTCACCCAGGCTAGAGTGCACGCTAACTGCTCACTGCAGTCTAGACCTCCAGGCTTAAGTGATCTTCCCATCTCAGCCTCCCTAGCAGCTGGGACTACAAATGTGTGCCACCATGCCTAATTTTTCTATTTCTTTGTAGAGACCGGTCTCCCTATGTTGTCTGGGCTAGTCTTGAACTCCTAGGCTCAGGTGATCTACCCGCCTTGGCCTCCCAAAATTCTGGGATTACAGATGTGAGCCACTGTGCCTGGCTTAGGTATTGTTCTCCTCATGTTATAGATGAAGAAATTGAGATTTATGGAAAAGATGCCCTTAGTGTTTCTACAGTAAGGGCAGAAAGATGTGATACCTTTCCTCACCCATCTTAAGGTTCAATGGCTGACACTTCTGCAACAAAAGACAAATTAACAAGAAGAAAGCATAAGAGGCTGGGTGTGGCTCACACTTGTAATCCCAGCTCTTTGGGAGGCTGTGCTGGGAGGATTGCTTAAGCCCAGGAGTTTGAGACCAGCCTGGGAAAAACGGTGAGAACCTGTCTGCAAAAAATTTTTAAAAATTAGCCTGGCGTGGTGGAGCATACCTATAGTCCCAGCTACTTGGGAGGCTAAGGTGGGTGGATCGCTTGAGCTCAGAAGGTTGAGATTGTAGTGAGCTCTGTTTGCACCACTGCACTTTGGCCTGGGTGAAAAAGTGAGACTTGTCTCAAAAAAAAAAAAAAAAAAAAAAAAAAAAAGCATTAGTTTTACATGAAATGGGGCCGGGCGCGGTGGCTCATGCCTGTAATCCCAGCACTTTGGGAGGCTGACACGGGTGGATCACGAGGTCAGGAGATCGAGACCATCCTGGCTAACACGGTGAAACCCCGTCTCTACTAAAAATACAAAAAAATTAGCTGGACGTGGTGGCAGGCGCCTGTAGTCCCACCCAGCTACTCGGGAGGCTGAGGCAGGAGAATGGCGTGAACCCGGGAGGTGGAGCTTGCAAGGAGCTGAGATCACACCACTGCACTCTAGCCTGGGTGACAGAGCAAGACTGTCTCAAAAAAAAAAAAAAAAAAAAAAAAAGAAATGGGAGCTTTCAGAAATGAAGACCCAAAGACCTAGGGAAAACTGTTTTTATGCTTAGGCTCAATGAAGAATGAAGAAAGGGAGAGGCCTGTAGAAATGTTAGTAGACAAAGGGTGTTATCTAATGGTAATAGACTGGGTGGGGCAGGGGGACCCAGCAAGGCCTGTCTGTTCAGATTCTTCTTGGACTCTGTGCAGCATTCCTTCTTCCTGGGTATAGGGCAGGACCCCGCTGGAGCTGAGGGTCTTCAAGGAAAAGGGGAGAGAGTGACATTTTTAGGTATTATGGCTTACTTTGGGGGAGAGGTATATGTTTGAGTAGGAGGTAATACTTTTTAGGTATTATGGCTTGCTTTTCTATTATCTGTGACCCGCCTTGGGGAAAGGGGGATTCTGGTTTCTATGACTTGCTTTGGGGGAGTAAGAGGAGTGAGACAGGAGGGCAAGGAGAGACTTTGCTTCTGAGGCTATTTCTGAGGTCTTCCGGTCTCCTTTAGTTCATAATACTCAGCATGTCAAGGTGTCTTACTTAGGGGTATCATTTTTTGAGCCTCAATACCATGCATTACACCTCTGACACCAAATGTGTGGTTTTTTCCCCACATTTGTAACTTGGCCAAGGTCTCTGTGATAAATGCATATTTGGGCCAGGCGCAGTGGCTCATGCCTGTAATCTAACACTATGCTAACCAATTCTGTAACTCTCTGGTTACCAGCTGGGTGTCCTGCAATTCAATTCAATTGTTATTATTATTTTTTTCCAATTCAGTTCAATTCTGACACTAACTGCCTAGGCTTAGTGCACACTCCACAGGTTAAGTGCTTAGTCTCACAAGACTGTCCCCACTTCAGATGCCAGTAAAGTCCCAGATTGCCGCCCGTCTGTACTTTGACCAACCTGCTATAAGTCAGGGGTTCCCATGACCCCTTCCTAAGTTTGCATAATTTGCCAGAATGGCTCATAGAACTCTGGAAAGTACTTTACTTACTATTACCCATTTATTATAAAGGATATAACTCAGGAACAGCCAAGTGGAAGAGATGGATGGGGCAAGTTTGCGGCAAGATGTGTGTGTGGAGCCTTCGTGCTCACGCTGAGTGCACCATTCTGCAATACTTAAGTGTGTTCATCAACCCAGAAGGTCCCTGAACCCTGTTGTTTATGTTTTTTTTTTTTTTGAGACGGTGTCTCACTCTGCTGCCCAGGCTGGAGTGCAGTGGTGCGATCTCGGCTCACTGCAACCTCTGCCTCCCGGGTTCAAGTGATTCTTCTGCCGCATGCCACCACACCCGGCTAATTTTTGTATTTTTAATAGAAATGGGGTTTCACTATGTTGTTCAGGCTGGTCTCGAACTCCTGACCTCAGGTGATCTACCTGCGTTGGCCTCCCAAAGTGCCAGGATTGCAAGCATGAGCCACCGCACCTGGCCTTATGGGTTTTCAAAGTGGAGTTTTCATTACTGTGTTGGCACGATTTTGAAATAATTGCTCACTGGTGATTAACTCACTTCAGCGTCTCTCTCCTCTCTGCAGGTGGTGGTGGGGAGCTGAAAGTTTCAATCCTGTAATCATCCTTGGTCTTTCTGGTGACCAGCCACCATCCTTAAGCTATTAGCTTAAGCTATTTAGTAGGTATTAAGCCACTAAATTAGTGGCCCTGGTCACCAGTCATGTCATTAGCATACAAACGCTGTGCTCATCTGGGAGATTCCAAAGGTTTTAGGAGCTGCATGCCAGTAACCAGGGACTAAGACCAAATGTAAGTTTTTTTTTTTTTTTTTTTTTTGAGATGGAGTCTTGCTATCGCCCAGGCTGGAGTGCAATGGTATAATCTCCCCTCACTGCAACCTCCGCCTCCTGGGTTCAAATGATTCTCCTGCTTCAGGCTCCCAAGTAGCTGGGATTACAGGCATGCACCACCATGCCCGGCTAATTTTTTGTATTTTTAGTAGAGACAGGGTTTCACCATGTTGGCCAGGTTGGTCTCGAACCCCTGACCTCGTGATTCGCCACCCGCCCCCACGGCCTCCCAAAGTGCTGGGATTTACAAGCGTGAGCCACAGTGCCTGGCCTCATTTTTTTTTTAATTTAAATTTTTTATTTTTGTAGAGATGGTATCTTGCTATGTTGCCCAGGCTGGTCTTGAACTGGCGTCAGGTGATCCTCCCATCTTGGCCTCCCATAGTGTTAGATTACAGGCATGAGCCACTGCACCTGGCCCAAATATGCATTTTTCACAGAGACCTTGGACAAGTTACCTAGAAGAAATTAAACAAAACATGGAACTAATATTTGAGTTCTAAATTTTCCTGTCTTTAAAGTCCTGTGCCTTCCACTATAGTGTATGTAACACAGAATATACTGCACTACCTTCCCAGCTTCATCTGGATGAGATGCCCTTTCAGATTTGAGGGGACTCCTTTGCCTAGAGAAGGAGGTACACATTTACTAAAATGTGCTCATGCGTTCCAGGAGTTACTGGTTTTTAATTATAAATTTGTATGTTTCCATAGCACTTAACATGGAGTTGTATAGATAGTTGGAACTCAATAGAAAAGTGATGGATTAGTTGTTTGAGTGATCGTAATGTAATAATGTAGCAAAACGGCTCAATGTGGGGTAGATAAGGTCTTTATAAGTCCCATGGTGATTGAGTGGAGAAAATATCACTCTGTGCTTGCTTGCTTATTTATTTATTTATTTATTTATTTATTTATTTATTTATTTTGAGATGGAGTTTCACTCTTGTTGCCCAGGCTGGAGTACAATGGCGTGATCTCACCTTACTGTAACCTCTGCCTCCCGGGTTCAAGCGATTCTCCTGCTTCAGCCTCTGGAGTATCTGGGATTACAGGCATGTGCTACCATGCCCGGCTAATTTTGTATTTTTAGTAGAGACAGGGTTTCTCCATGTTGGTCACCCTGGTCTCGAACTCCTGACCTCAGGTGATCTGCCCGCCTTGGCCTCCCAAAGTGCTGGGATTACAGGTGTGAGTCACCACTCTCGTCCTTGTGCTTATTTTCATAGCTTGGATTTATTGACAGGGTGTGAGTATGATGTGAGGTTTTGGGTGAATTGTTTTGAGTCTTGCACATTCAGTAATATTTGTAGGACATGGTGATGAATTATGGGGAAATTTTCACCTTAAGGAAGTATGTTAATTTTCACAACTCTTGTTTAGCTTACTTTAGATCGGTCAGTTTGGTTTTTGCCACTGTGGTAAGAAGAGCTCTGTTATAATTAGCATCTCTGCTTCCTCTTACAGTTTTATGAATTTAAAAAAAAGGAAAACTTTATTGTGTTAAATAATTCTTCAAGAAGAGTATTTTATGTTGGGTGATACTCTAAATGTGAAATCCCAAATAACCACATTTGAAAAACAAAAACAAAAACAAAAAACCTTGAAGATTGAAATAGCCCCAGAAACTTTTTTTTCCCATTGTCAAGGTAAATTATATATAGATTGGAAAGGATAGAACAAATCGATTAAGAGGAGACTGAAATTGAGATCATTACTCATTTATACAGGATCATTTAATTGCTCTGAATGAGAGTCTCCTGACCCAGACAAATTATACCGTAGGGTTCTAGATAATTTTGGGATGAGATCATTCAGTAGATGTCAATAACCTTTGAGGAATCATAGAATTACCACAAGAAGACATAATCTCAAAACTGGGAAGAAGGTAACAGCATGACATGTTCCAGTCAAAATCTAGAATAGCTTATTAATGATATAATCTGAGGGTTTAGAAAAAGACCTGATTGATGATAATGGTGATGATGATGATGATAATGATGATGATGATGATTTTTGAGACAGGGTCTCACTCTGTTGCCCAGGCTGGAGTGCAGTGGCATGAGCACAGCTCATTGCAGCCTTGACCTCCCTGGCTCAATCAGTCCTCCCACCTCAGCCTTCCAGGTAGCTGGGGCCTAGGCACATGCCAACATACTCAGCTAATTTATTTGTTGTAGAGATAGGGTCTTGCTATGTTGTCCAGGCTGGTCTTGACCTCCTGGGCTCAAGCAATCCACTCAACTTGGCCTCCCAAAGTGCTGGGATTACAGGCATGAACCACGGCACCTGGCCAAAACTATTATTGTTATTATTATTACTTATATATATTTTTTGAGACAGAGTCTTGCTCTGTTGCCCAGGCTGGAGTAGAGTGGCGTGATCTTGGTTCACTGTAACTTCCACCTCCCAGGTTCAAGTGATTCCCCTGCCTCAGCCACCCGAGTAGCCAGATTATAGGTATGTGCTACCATGCCCGGCTGATTTTTTTTGTATTTTTAGTAGAGACAGGGTTTTACCACGTTGGCTAGGCTGTTCTCGAAATCCTGACCACAAGTGATCGGCTGGCTTCAGCCTCCCAAGCATTGGGATTACAGGCGTGAGCCACCGTGCCCGCCCCAAAACTATTATTATTAAGAGCCAACATCTGCCCACTAAGAATATGTTAGGTTACACTAACCATGTGTTCATTCAGGTGAGTACATGGATAGAACGGGGAATACTGTGAGCTACCATTTTTGGATTCAAGAATGTTTCACAGGAATGACTAGGATATAGTTGGGAATAAGAGAGAAATTTAAGCTATATGATGAAATAAATGATGCAGAAGTAGAGGTTATAGGAAGAAGATGTGAGCTAATATCAACACTTTTTAAAAAATGTAACACTTTTAGTTGGCTGCGAGTTTGATTTATGGCAAAAGCGTGATTTAGTTGCCAAAAATTGTGATTTTTAGTTGCAATTCTAGAGATACATTGTCAAAAAAGAGGGAGTGGATAGTCCTGTTTTAAATTGTGTTATTAAGTAGTTAGATTACACATAGAGTTAGACGTCGGTTCTAGGGACTAGGATTGTGAGGGAACTGAAAACCATGTCATATGAACTACATTCAAAGGAGCAGATTTGTTTTATAACCAGTAAATGGCTCTGACCCTAGCACTCACAGAAAATTTCCAGAAGAACTTGGGGATGGGAAAATGAAAACGTTGGGATACTGTGGATTTTTTTTTTTTTTTTTTTTGGATGGAGTCTTGCTCTGTTGCCCAGGCTGGAGTGCAGTGGCGCGATCTTGGCTCACTGCAACCTCTGCCTCCCAGGTTCAAGCGATTCTCTTGCCTCAGCCTCCTGAGTGGCTGGGATTACAGGCGCGCGCCACCACGCCCGGCTGTTTTTGTATTTTTAGTAAAGACGGGTTTTCACCATGTCAGTCAGGCTGGTCTCGAACTCCTGACCTCGTGATCTGCCTGCCTCAGCCTCCCAAAGTGCTGGGATTATAGGTGTGAGCCACCGCACTGGGCACCATGGATTTTCATAGCACTCACTTGAATAAAAGTAGATTGGCTAATCAGGTGAAGAAGGGTATAAAGGTTATTCTAAGCAGAGAATAACATCTAACAAAGAATGAAAGCACGAAAAAGCATGCCCTGTTTGGGGAACTCAAGTGAATCAATGTATTAGAGGGAGAAAGCAGGTGTTGGGAGGTGAGACTAGGAATGTTGGCAGGTGCCTTATATGCAGATGGAGAAACTGGAGCCCAGGAAGATAAAGTGATTTGCGTAAGGCTTGAGATATGTTGAATCATGCTAGACCCCCAAGCTTTCTCACTTCCCTTCAAGAGTTCTCTCCTTCTTCCCTTCCTTTAGGCATGTTGTTTTAGGCTTATGTTTTATTTTACTTTATTTTTTGAGATGGAGTCTTGCTCTGTCGCCCAGGCTGGAGTGAATGGCGTGATCTCGGCTCACTGCAACCTCTGCCTCCCAGGTTCAAGCGATTCTCCTGCCTCAGCCTCCCTAGTAGTTGGGATTACAGGCATGCGCCACCACACCTGGCTAATTTTTGTATTTTTTTAGTAGAGACAGGGTTTTGCCATGTTGGCCAGGCTGGTCTTGAACTCCTGACCTCAGGTGATCCGCCCACTGCGGCCTCCCAAAGTGCTGGGATTACAGGCATGAGCCACCACACCTGACCGTTCTAGGTTTATTTTTAAATGGTCAGGGCATGCCCTCTGTTTATGAAAGGATTCTAAATAACAATCACAGAGGACTATCTTTTATATTCTTTAGCAAGCTAAATAATTTATTGGAAAAGCTGTAACCTACAGGCAATAGGTTGAAGGATATTAACATTCCCAGGTACCACTGTCAGATGTTACGCTTTTTTTCTCTCTTGCTTGCTCTGTTGCCCAGACTGGAGTGCAGTGGTGTGATCATAGCTCACCGTAGCCTCAGTCTCCCTGGCTCGAGCAATCCTCCCACCTCAGCCTCCCAAGTAGCTGGGACCTCAGGTGTGGTGCCATCACACCCTGCTAATTTAATTTTTTTAATTAATTAATTTTTTTGAGATGGAGTCTCGCTCTGTTGCCCAGGCTGGAGTGCAATGGTGAGATCTTGGCTCACTGCAACCTCCACTTCCCAGGTTCAAGTGTTTCTCTTGCCTCAGCCTCCCAAGTAGCTGCGATTACAGGTACCTGCCATCATGCCTGGCTAATTTTTGTATTTTTAGTAGAGATGGGGTTTTCACCATGTTGGCCAGGCTGGTCTTAAACTCCTGACCTCCGCCTGCCTTGGCCTATTCTGCCCACCTCAGCCTCCCAAAGTGCTGGGATTACAGGCGTGAGACCCCGCACCCAGCCTTAATTTTTTTTTTCTTTTGGTAAAGATGATGTCTTGCTATGTTGCTTCGGCTGGTCTTGAACTCCTCAGCTCAAGTGATCTTCTTGTCTCAGCTCCCAAAGTGCTGGGATTACAGGCATGAGCCACCGCGCCCAGCCGGCTATTACAGTTTTAACTTTCAGAGACAAGCAGCTTGTATTCTAGATCATTCTACAATCAAGAACTCTTTCTACTTTACCATGCTAATTGCTTCAAAAAGGATTCTTTCTTTGACTAGTTCAAATGATAGATGCAGGGATGATCAGTTACAGCTATAGTGATTTAGCAGTTAATAGCTATGTCTGGTAGAAGGTAGGCTATAGCAAGAGCTTGTGGCAACTTTGCTTCTAACTGATGTAGTTGCAGCTTATTGCTCCACTGCAGGCAGCGTTGAATTTCAGCATGGAAAGCACGTTCTTGAGGCCTCTTTGCTTTTCCTCAGTCAAGGCTGTATCCAGGGTTGATATCTAGCCTATATGCCATATGTGTATGGCTAGTGTTTGTTCTGATTGGTTGGTGCTCACACTGCCCAGATTGTTAAATATTTTGAAAATCGTATCTGGTTCTATTCATCTGCATTCTCTGATCTTATGTCTGGCTCTATTTATCCCTATTCTCTGATCTTATGTCAGACCTGAAGTTCCTCTAATTTTTCTGTGGTGTATTTATAGGGAAAAATTGCCTTTTTTTCTTCTAATGCTCTTAAGCAACTTCATATAAAAAAGTTCCTGGAAACATTAAATTTTTCTTTTACTATTACAGGCCATTATACAGTATTTTAAGTCTACTTAGTGATCTAAAAGGTTTCAAACATTTATGAATAAACTAAAGAAATTTGAACACTGACTAGATTTTTGGCATTAGGATTTTTTTGGTCAAATTTTTCTAGGTATAATAATAGTATTGAGGTTATGTTAAAAAAGATACTGTCTTTTAGAGAGACATGCTGAAATATTATAAATAAAATGATATGTTTGGATTTGCTTTAAAATAATCTGGCATGAGGATATACAAGTAAAGCAAGATTAGCCATGCATTGATAATTGCTAAAGCTAGGTGATAGATACATGGCAGTTCATTGTACTTTTTATGATAAAATGTTAGAAAAAGCTCATGTCCTCTTAAAAGACCCCTGCATTTGTAAAATTATAATTGGATATTAAAAATTCTTGCCAAGCGCAGTGGCTCACGCCTGTAATCCCAGCACTTTGGGAGGCCAAGGTGGGCGGATCATGAGGTCAGGAGATCAAGACCATCCTGGCCAACACTGTGAAACCTCATCTCTACTAAAAATATAAAAAATTAGCCGGGCGTGGTGGCATGCACCTGTAGTTCCAGCTATTTGGGAGGCTGAGTCAGGAGAATTACTTGAACCTGGGAGGCAGAGGTTGCAGTGAGCCAAGATCGCACCACTGTACTCCGGCCTGGGTGACAGAGCAAGACTCCATCTTAAAAAAAAGAAAACAACAACAACAACAACAAAATTCTCAATTAGTTGAAGACATTATTGGCAATTATAACTTCTGATTTCCTTGTAATAACTAGAAATATACATGGGGTTGGCTGGGCGCGGTGGCTCACGCCTGTAATCCCAGCAGTTTGGGAGGCCGAGGCAGACCGATTGCCTGAGGTCAGGAGTTCAAGACCAGCCTGGCTAACATGGTGAAACCCCATCTCTACTAAAAATACAAAAATTAGCCAGGCCAGGCGCAGTTGCTCATGCCTGTAATGCCAGCACTGAATGGGTTGGGACCTATTCAGTGTTTTTTTTGTTGCTGTTGTTTGTTTGTTTGTTTGAGATGGAGTCTTGCTCTGTCATCCAGGCTGGAGTGAGGTGGCGCTATCTCGGCTCACTACAACCTCTGCCTCCCAGGTTCAAGAGATTCTTCTGCCTCAGCCTCCTGAGTAGCTGAGACTACAGGCACTCGCCACCATGCCCGGCTAATTTTTGTATTTTTAGTAGAGACAGGGTTTCACCATGTTGGCCAGGCTGGTCTTGAACTCCTGACTTCAGGTGATCCACCTGCCTTGGCCTCCCAAAGTGCTAGGATTACAGGCGTGAGCCACCGTGTCCAGCCGATTGAATGTTTTAATCTCTGATTCTGATACCAAAGTTTTTTGTTTTTTGGGTTTGTATTCTTTTTTTAGACAGTGTCTTGCTCTCTCATCCAGGTTGGAGCTCAATGGCGCCATCTCGGCTCACGGCAACCTCTGCCTCCTGGGCTCAAGCAGTCCTCCCACCTCAGCCTCCCAAGTAGCTGAGTCTACAGGCACCCGCCACTATGCCTGGCTAATTTATGTGTGTGTGTGTACACACACACACTTTTTTTTTTTGAGACAGAGTCTCGCTTTGTCGCCCAAGCTGGAGTGCAGTGGTGCGATCTCAGCTTACTGCAACCTCTGCCTCCCAGGTTCAAGCAATTCTCGTACCTCAGCCTCCCCAGTAGCTGGGATTACAGGTACCCACCACCATGCCTGGCTAATTTTTTTATTTTTAGAAGAGACTGGGTTTTGCCATGTTAGCCAGGCTGGTCTGGAACTCCTGACCTCAGGTAATCTAACCCCCTCAGCCTCCCAAAGTGCTGGGATTATAGGTGTGAGCCACCTGTGCCCGGCCGGTATTTTCATTCATATTTTTTTCCATGTTGAATTATTATTATTATTATTATTATTATTTTTGAGACAGAGTTTCGCTCTTGTTGCCTATACTGGAGTGCAATGGCATGATCTTGGCTCACTGCAACTTCCACCTCCTGGGTTCAAGTGATTCTCCTGCCTCAGCTTCCCAAGTAGCTGGGATTACGGGCATGTGCCACCACGCCCGGCTAATTTTGTATTTTTAGTAGAGACAGGGTTTCTCCATGTTGGTCAGACTGGTCTTGAACTCCTGACCTCAGGTGATCTGCCCGCGTCGGCCTCCCAAAGTGTTGGGATTACAGGCATGAGCCACTGTGCCTGGCCCGAATTATTTTTAAATATCATACATTGCAAGCAAACTATCATTTTTTGCAATTTATAAGAAAGTTATGCCACAGGCGTTTAAGCACATCTATTTTTTTTGCTTTTAGTGTTCTTTGTCCTGCTTTAATTTTTTAGTATGATTTTTCTTATATACCACCTTGTTTTTTGACATAGGTGGGACATAAATCACAAATTGAAAAAACAAAACAAAACCAATCTCTCTTCAGAATGTTTTGAGGAGTAAGGTATTAAGCTTCATTTGAATCAAATTCCCTGGGCTTCTAGAGTGCTTTAACTGAGCCCCTTTCCTTTCTTTCTAAATGATGATATCCAATCAGAAAAAATGTGTTAATCTACTGCATTACTCCACATTCTTTGTCTCTGAGATTTGCAACATCTGAAAAATTTCTTTTTGTTATAGAAGTCTGTTGTGGTTTGTCCCTTGTGCAAGACCTGTAATGGACACCTTAAAGCAGTGGCTTAAAGTATTTTTTGGCTCACAGATCCCTTGGAAAATATGATGCAAGCTGTGGATTCTTGCCTGAGCCCCATCAATCTGGATTATTTGAGGTGTTGGCCTGCCAGGCCTATTGCACTAAAATCTTGGGATGTCCCCTCACCTTATCTTGGAGTTATCCTCTGTCACTTTCTCGTGATGGCTCCAGTTTCCTCCATCCCATATGTAAGTCGTTTTTTTTTGTTAATTCTCGTTTTGGCAGAGCATATGCTTCCTGAGAAAGGATTCATAGAAAATACATTCTTTTTTTGAGATTACATGTTTGAAATTTCTTTCTTTTACTCTCTTATTATTTGGCTGAGTATATAATTCTAACTGGAAATAATTTTCCCACAGAATTTTGAGGACATTGCCTCATTGTCTGCTAGATTCCAGTGTTGCTATTGAGAAATCCAGTGCTATTCAGATATCTTTCCTTGGTAAATTTGTTTCTTCCTGGAAACATCTAGAATTTTCTCATTGTCCCTGGCATTCTGAAATTACATCATGACGTGTCTTGGTGTGGGTCTGTTTTCATCCATTGTGCTAGATCCTTGAAGAGCACTTTCAGTTTGGAAGTTCATGCCTGTCATTTCTGGGAAACTTTATTATTTTGTTGATAATTTCCTCCCCTTTATTTTTTCTCTTCGCTTTTTATGGTATACTTTTATTTGGGTTTTAGACCTCTTGGATGGACTCTAATTTTATTATTTCTTAAATAAATAAATAAATTTATTTCATTTATTTGTTTATTTATTTTTTTGAGATGGAGTTTCATTCTTGTTGCCCAGGCTGGAGTGCAGTGGCGCGATCTTGGCTTACTGCAACCTCCACCTCCCGGGTTCAAGCGATTCTCCTGCCTCAGCCTCCCAAGTAGCTGGGATTACAGGCATGTGCCACTACGCCTGGCTAATTTTTATTTTTTTAGTAGAGGTGGGGTTTCACCATGTTGGCTAGCTTGGTCTTGCACTCCTGACCTCAGGTGATCCACCTGTCTCAGCCTCCTGAAGTGCTGGGATTACAGGCGTGAGCCACCACGCCGGCCCAATACATTTATTTTTGAGACAAAGTTTCACTCTGTCACCCAGCTGGAGTGCAGTGACACGATCACAGCTCACTCTAACCTTCATCTCCCGGGCTCTAGCGATCTTCCCACCTCAGCCTACTACAGGCACACTCCACCACACCCAGCTAATTTTTGTATTTTTAGTAGACAGGATTTCGCCATGTTGCACAGACTGGTCTCAAACTCCTGGGCTTAAGTGATCCACTCCCCTCGGCCTCCCAAAGAGCTGGGAGCCACTGCATCCCGCCTAAGCATGAGCTGAGCCTAAGCATGAGCCACTGTACCCAGACTAATTTTATTACTATTTTTTCTCTAATTTTATTTATTTTGTCCTACTTCTGAGGATATTTCCTCAAATCTATTTGCTAACTCTTCTGTTGAGTTTTAAATTTTTCTGACACCATTTTAATTTCCACAAGCTTGTTTTTTTTTTGTTTATTTTTTTGAGACGGGGTCTTGCTCTGTCACCCAGCCTGGAGTGCAGTGGTGCTATCTCAGCTCACTGCAGCCTCTGCCTCCTGAGCTCATGCAGTCCTCCTGCCTCAGCCTCCTGAGTAGCTGAGACTACTGGTGGGCACCACCATGCCTGGCTAATCTTTTAATTATTATTTTGTACAGATGGGGTCTTGCCATGTTGCCCAGGTTGGTCTTGAACTCCTGGACTCAAACAATCTCTACCCACCTTGGTGCTGAGATTACAGGCATGAGCCACTGCCCAGCCTTGTTTTATTTTCTGAATATTCTTTTAAAACAACAGTCTATTCTTGTTTTATGTATACAATGTCATCTTTTATCTCTGCATATCTTTTATCTGTGATAATAATTTTTGTGTGTGGGAAAAGATACTTTGTTGGAAATGACACATGCTTTGACAGTAGGAGACTGTATTTTACTAGCATGCCAAATTTCTTTTGTTGTTTGTCCTTTTATTTTTTAAATCACTTTATGAAGATATACTTTACATAGCCTAGTTTACCTGCTTACAGTATACAATTTCTGTTTTTTAATGTATTTGCAGAGTTGTGCAATCGTTACCATAATTTAATTTTAGAATATTTTAATCACTTTAAAAAGAAACTTTGTACTAATTAGCAGTCACTCTGTATCCCCTCATCCCAGGTAAACACTAATCTACTTTCTGTCTCCATACGTAGGCCTTTTCTGGGCAATTAATTAATTAATTAATTTGAGACGGAATTTTTGCTCTTATTGCCCAGGCTGGAGTGCAGTGGTGAGATCTCGGCTCACTGCACCCTCTGCCTCCTGGGTTCTAGCTATTCTCCTGCCTCAGCTTCTCGAGTAGCTGGAACTACAGGTGTGCCCCACCACGCCTGGCTAATTTTTGCATTTTTAGTAGAGATGGGGTTTCACCATGTTGGCCAGGCTGGTCTCAAACTCCTGACCTCAGGTGATCACCCGCCTCAGCCTCTCAAAGTGCTGGGATTACAGGCATGAGCCATCGCGCCTGGCCAGGACATTTTATATAAATGGAATGATACAGTATGTGATCTTAAGCCACTTGGCATGTTTTCAAGATTCATCTGTGTTGTAGCATGTAACAGTACACCATTCTTTTTTATGGCTGAATAATGTTCCATTGTATTATTATACATTTCATTCATCTGTTCATCAGCTGATGCCTGCTGATTCTTTCGTATTTATTTTTTTGAGATGGGATCTTGCTCTGTTGCCCAGACTATAGTGCAGTAGTGTGATCATAGCTCACTGCAGCCTCAAACTCCTGGGCTTAAGTGATCCTCCCACCACAGCCTCCTGAATAGCTGGTACTACAGATGCATACCACCATGCCTGGCTTATTATTATTATTATTTTGAGATAGGCTCTTGTTCTGTCACCCAGGCTGGAATGCAGTAGCACCATCACAGCTCACTGCAGCTCAATCTCCCAGGCTCAAGCAATCCCTCCACCTCAGCCTCCAGACTAGTAATTATTAAATTTTTTGTAGAGACAGGATCTCGTTACATTGTCCAGGTTGGTTCCGAGCTCCTGGCCTCAAGCCATCCTCCTGATTATCTGGGATTACAGGCATGAGCCACAGTCCCCTGCCCTGCTGGTTCTTAAACAGGCTTTCGGTTAGTCCTCCTGTTTTTAGCTCCATCTTTATCCCCACTTTGAAAGGTGCCTAATGCTATAAGTTCCTGAGCTTTTTGGAGGTTACGTTGTATCTCAGCCTTTCTCAAGCCTACTGTTGGTAACCATTCATCCATCAGCTTTTCAGCTTCTAAAATGTTGTTACTATTACCTTCACTCTGATTTTGTGGGTTTATGCCACTCCCCATCCTCCATTGTTTTAGCAAGGTTTTGGAAAGAGAGAGGTAGCTGAGGAAGAGCTAATGCATACCTTCAGCCCTCAGTCTTTCACTGAAAGTTTAAAAGGTGGGATTCCCATGCTGTATCAGGCTCTAGGCCCAATAGTCATGGAATGACCAAGCTGGAAAAACCTTTAGAGATGAGCAGCTAGTCATATACTTCATCTTTCAGGTGAAGAAAATGAGACTCACAAGACTCAGTAAATTGTTTAATGTCATACAATTAGTAAGTAGCCAAGTTAGGTCCTTAATCCTGTCTCCTGCCTTCTTGACTAGTTGCTCAGACTTAATTTAGGCTGATTACATTAAAATTTGGTATTGAGGAGAGCATGGGGACCCTTGTTCACATTTGGCCTTTGCCACTTTTTAGTTACAGAAATGGGTTTGCTTAAGCCCAATTTTCTGGAGGGGCTAGCTTTTAGAGAAAGGTGCATGTGTACCTACCTGTGTAGCCTCTGGGAGCTCACTATATTTGGAAGAGTGTGCGTATACATCTAACTAACTTATTAATTATATAAAAGAACGGCCAGGCGCGGTGGCTCACGCTTGTAATCCCAGCACTTTGGGAGGCTGAGGCGGGCGGATCTTCTGAGGTCAGGGGTTTGAGATCAGCCTGGCCAACACGGCGAAACCCTATCTTTACTAAAACACAAAAACAATTAGCTGGGCATGGTGGTGTGTGCCTGTAATCCCAGCTACTAGGGAGGCTGAGACAGGAGAATTGCCTGAACCTGGGAGGTGGAGGTTGCAGTGAGCTGAGTTCGTGCCACTGCACTATAGCCTGGGCGACAGAGCGAGACTCCATCTCAAAAAAAAAAAAAAAGAACACAGGATTGGGTTTCTTAGACTGGTCTAAAAGACCATGAATTGGACAGCTGGTTGCATCACCCACTAAACAGGAAATAATGTGAGTTCCAGGTGTTACCTGACAGATGTGTGCTCTGCAGGGCATTCGGCTGGGCTAAAAGGAAGGCAATGTGAACAAAAGTGCTTTCAGTTTGTCCTAGATGCAGTTTGGAACAGTCCTGACTGGATAGGCTCTCAAACCTAGTCTCTCTAAAACTGGTCACATAAGAAGTTCAGCCATTTTAGAAATACTAGGTACATGAGTTGGATCATGTGTGGTGCCTGGAAGATGTTAAGCAGGAGGCAAAACATCAATAAAAATAATGGCTGTGTATACAAACCTAAAACTATCTGACAAAGTAAATGTATTGAGAAAGAGAGTGAACAAATCTGCCTTGAGAAAATAGGAGTAACAGGGTTTCTCTTAAATTTACATTGAAAAGCCTGGTAAGCAGCTTTCCTGGGTTAGTGCCTTGGAAGAGGACTTAGAAGTGGCCTGCGGGGCTGGTGCGGTGACTCATGCCTGTAATCCCAGCACTTTGGGAGGCCAAGGTGGACAATGGACCACTTAAGGTCAGGAGTTCGAGACCAGTCTGGCTAATGTGGTAAAACCCCATCCCTACTAAAAATAGAAAGATTAGCTGAGGGTGATGGCAGGCGCCTGTAATCCCAGCTAGTTGGGAGGCCGAGGCAGGAGAATCAGTTGAACCTGGGAGGCACAGGTTGCAGTGAGCCAAGATTGTGCCACTGCACTCCAGCCTGGGTGACAGAGCGAGACTCCGTCTCAAAAAAACAAAACAAAACAAAAAAGTCTTGTGGGTGGGGGTTGGGGGGCAGTGGACAGTTCACTGCTTGTATTCTGGGTACTTACTTGTGAATGTCTGACTCCTGAGCATCACAGTCAGCTGGTGATGTGGGCCAAGTTACAGCCTGTCTCTTCAAGGAACAGTTACCTTCTTTTCTTTACGGTGTAGGAGTTGTAAAATCAATTTCATGTGAAGAAGAGATAAGGAAGAGTGATAGCTTCCAAAGCTCTGCAGTCCTTATTGTGTATGTGTGCCTGTATTTAAGGTGTCTCTATTTAAAAAGTGCTGATAGTAATGAAAGTCATCTATTAATAAAAGTAATGATAAGGTTAATTCTCATTTAATTAGAAATGTGTAATCTCTTCCCTTCCTACATTGTGCCCTGCCATCAGACAGGTGATGCCCTCTGATTTGTATAGGGGTTCAGAAATTATGTGGAAGATAGGGAGAATTGAAATGCTGGAGCAGCCAGAGAGTTGAAGACAAAACAACCTGGCTCTCAACATGCACAAAAAATAGAAGTGTGAGTTGGTAGCAGTACTATGCTATTGGGCAGTCTATTTCACAAGTGTTTATAACAGGAAAGATACAGTGCCATCTTTTAGTGTGGGAAATAAACTGATTATAGCATGGACGACACTCAGTTGATGACCGTGGTTGGTCACCAGTAGTATCAATTTTAGTATATCCCAGAATGCCAATATGCAAAGGATAGCATATTAACTTAGACGTATGCATTCGCAGAGGAAAGAATTTCATCACTCTTGCTGCAGATGATCTACAGATAATATGAAATAGACCTTATAGGATTGTTGTTGATATGGTAAGTTGAGGCAGTCTATGTGATACTGAAACAGGAGAGGTTCCCTTGTCCCCTCCCTGGCTCACTGCTTCTTCTTCTTCTTTTTTTTTTGGGAGACGGAGTCTCGCTCAGCCACCCAGGCTGGAGTGCAGTGGTGCAATCTCGGCTCACTGCAGCCACCATCTCCAGGGTTCAAGCGATCGTGCCATCTCAGCCTCCCAGGTAGCTGTGATTACAAGCACCTGCCACCATGCCTGGCTAATTTTTGTGTTTTAGTAGAGATGGGTTTTCACCATGTTGGCCCAGCTGGTCTTGAACTCCTGACCTCAGTTGATGCACCCGCCTCGGCCTCCCAAAATGCTGGGATTACAGGTGTGAGCCACCGTACCCTGCCCACAGTATAGTTTTGAATGCTTGAAATATATTGCCTGCAGCCTCTGTTTTAAAAACCCTGAGAGGTTGTTAGAACCATTAAAAAAAAGGTGTTTTTTTTTTAAGTTAAACTTTAAATTTGAGGTAATTATAGATTTATTTGCAATTGTAAGAAATAATAGAGAGATCCCCTGTGCACTCTACCCAGCTTCCCTTATTGGTGACATCTTGCAGAACTATATAGATATTATCAGAAACTCACGCCTGTAATCCCAGCACTTTGGGAGGCTGAGGCGGGTGGATTGCCTGCGGTCAAGAGTTCGAGACCAGCCTGGCCAACATGGTGAAACCCCGTCACTATTTAAAATACAAAAAAATTAGCTGGATGTGGTGGCAGGCACCTGTAATCCCAGCTACTCGGGAGGCCGAGGAAGGAGAATCACTTGAACCTGGGAGGTGGATGTTGCAGTGAGTCAAGATTGTACCATTGCATTCCAGCCTGGGCAACAAGAGTAAAACTCTGTCTCAAAAAAAAAAAAAAAAAAATCAGAACCAGGAACTTGACATTGATATAGTCAAGGTATCAAAGAGTTCCATCACCATAAGAATTCTTGGGGTTGCCCTTTTATAGCCACACCCATCTACCTTCCTCTCCCCACAACCACCCAACTCTCCCCCTTCCCCACCATTCTTTGTTTCCCTAATTTTATTGTTTCAAGAATATTATATAAATGGAATCACACAATACGTAACCTGTTGTGATTGGCTTTTCTCATTCCTGTACAGGTCTACTGGTGATGAATTCTCTCTGTTTTGCCTGAAAATGTTTTTAATTTGCCCTCATTTTTGAAGGATATTTTTTCTGTTCATAAAATTCTGGGTTTGACAGATTTTTATTTATTTGTGTTTTTTTTTCAGTACTTGTGTTGTTCCATGTTTTCTAGCCTTCATTGTTTCTGATGAGAAGGCAGTAGTAATTTCAGTTTCTTCCCCTTGAATATAATGTGTATCCTTTCTTTCTAGCTCTTTTCAAGGTTCTCTCTTATCATTGGTTTCTAGAAGTTTGTCTGTGGTGTACTTGTGTATTATTTTATTGGCATTTATACTGCTTGGAGTCCATTGAGCTTTTTGAATCTGTAAATTTTTGTCTTTTACCAAATTTGGGAAAATTTTGATTATTAATTCTTCAAATATTGTTTTCTGCCTCATTCTTTCTATTTTCCTTCTGGAACTCCAATTATATTATGTTAGACTTGTTGCCCCACACATCTCTGAGGTCCTCTCTCCTGCTGCCCTTTTCTTTTTTAATTTATACATTTTATTGTGTAGAGATGGGGTCTTGCTGTGTTACCTAGGCTGGTCTTGAACTCCTGGCCTCAAGCAGTCCTCTCAACCTTGGCCTCCCAAAGTGCTGAGGTTATAAGTGTGAGCTACCACGCCCAGCCAGCTCTTTCTTTTCCTAATCCTTTTTTCTGTCTGTATTTCTGATTGGATAATTTTTGTTGTTCATTTTTCAAGGTCAGTATCTCTCCTGTCATTTCCAATCTGCTTTTAAGCCAGCCCACTGCATTGTAATGTCTGTTCTCTGTTGAGATCTGTTTTTTTTTTTTTTTTTTTTGAGACGGAGTCTTGCTCTGTTGCCCAGGGTGGAGTGCAGTGGCACGATCTTGGCTTACTGAAATCTCCACCTCAACCTCAAGAGATTCTTCTGCCTCAGCCTCCCCAGTAACTGGGACTACAGGCACACGCCACCACACCCGCCTGATTTTTATATTTTTAGTAGAGACGGGGTTTCACCATATTGGCCAGGCTTGTCTCGAACTCCTGACCTCGTGATCTTCCCGCCTCGGCCTCCCAAAGTCCTGGGATTACAGGAGTGAGCCACCATGTCTGGCCTGAGATCTATTTTTTCATTCATTATGATCATAGCTGCTTTAAAATTCTTGTTTGCTAATTCCAGTATTTGAGTAAACTCAGGGTTGGTTTCTGTTGATTGACTCTTCTCTTGAGAATGGGTCATATTTTCCTGTTTCTTTATATGCTGAGCAGTTCTGGATTGTAAAGAACTAGATTCTGTTACCTCCCTCCAGAGAGCATTCTTTTTTTATTTTATTATTATTATTGTTATTATTTTTAAGTTAACTGTTTCCCTGTAGTGGGTGGCAACTTAAATTTCAGTTCAGTTCTTTTACCCTTAACTTGGCTGCTTGGGGTCTTCTCCATGCATGCGTGTTTCAGGGATCAGCCAGGTTTGTAGGCAGAGTTTGTACACAGATTTTTGGGTCTTCCCTTCTGTGGTTCTCTCTGGAATCTCCCTCTTTCACTTCCCAGCTGCTGTGGTTTGCCTTAAAATTTGCCCTCTGGTTTCTTAAGCTAGTAAGATTATGAGTTTTTGAGTTTTACCCACCTCTTATGACAGACAGGTACTTGCCTGACTGGAAGCCATAAAAAAGGGAAACTCACCCAGTATCATTACCTTCTTTGAAGTGCTGACCTTCTTCCCTACTTGAGAATCTTCTTGCTTTTTAATTCTCCAGACAAGCTCATACTTGTCTGCAGGAAAGTTGGTCTGAAGGGAGCTACTCTGCCATGACTGGAAGCAGAATCTGTATGAACTAGACATAAAATATTCTGTTGATAAAATCAATTTTTTCCCATTGTAGTTTCACAGATCTTTATATTATCCTCCCTATCACCTTCAAGAGGCCAGATATAAAAATGTCTTTAAACTGGGTGTGGTGGAGCATGCCTGTAAGGGAGGCTGAAGTCAGAGGATTGCGTAAGCCCAGGAATTTGAGAGCAACCTGGGCAACCTAGCTAGACCCTGACTCTACAAAAAAATTTAAACAATTAGCTGGGCGTGGTGGTCCTAGCTACTCTGGAGGCTGAGGTGGGAGGATAGCCTGAGCTCAGGAGGTTGAGGCTGCAGTGAGCCGTGATTGTGCCACTGCACCCCAGCCTGGGCAACAGAGTGTGACCTTATCTCAAAACAACAACAACAACAAATGTCGATTTATTTCTGGCTTGGTCAAAACAGAACAGATAAAAAACCTATTAGAAGTTCTTGTAAGGCATGTATGCTTTAAAAAAAAGTCTGTTATGATTGATTTGAACTGTACTTCCTTGGAAGCAGATTCACAAAGATAGACTCACACATAGTTGACTAATTTTGAAATTGTTCTTGGAAATGGGCTTTAGATCTTATATCTGGATCTGCTGATGTTTGTATAATCTATATGTGTTGAACAAATAATTAGTCGTTGTTTCTAGGACAATAGGACAGTCATGTTGGTGATGTCATATTCCTAATATTGTTTGAATTTCCAAGGGTCTAAATAATTGAGAATTTAAGGTACCTGTGATACACAGGTTTCAGGAGGTGGGCCTATGTAGGTGTTTCTGAGGATTAAGTTTTCCTACTGTTTCTTCTCTTTTTTTTTTGAGATGGAGTCTTGCTGTGTCACCCAAGCTGGAGTATAATGGTGTGATCTCAGCTCACTGCAACCTCCATCCCCCGGGTTCAAGTGATTCTCCTGCCTCAGCCTCCCAGTTAGCTGGGATTACAGGTGTCCGCCACTACGCCTGGCTAATTTTTGTATTTTTTAGTAGAGATGGGGTTTCACCATGTTGGCCAGGCTGGTTTGTAACTCCTGACCTCAAGTGATCCACCCACCTTAGCCTCCCAAAGTGCTGGGATTACAGGTATGAGCCACCGTGCCCAGCCCCTTACTGTTTATTCTTAAAACTCAGCCCTAAGTAAATGATGAGTGAATCATTTCACTAAAAAAAATCTTAGGTTTGTGAATCCCCTTCTCTTACCTTTTCTGGCACTCTTTGTAGAGCGGCTGAAATGAGAATATGATTTGTTTTCAGGGCCCTCATACTTCTTTATACATCTCCTTTCCCCTTATGGAGAAAATACTTTGCTCTTGCTACTGGTCCAGTCTAATTCACAGAAGGACATTTGTCTAACTTTGGCACCCCGTATAGTCCTTTATTTAGAACCAGACTCTTTAACAAGACTTCTTCCCTTAGCTAATTTAAAGAAGGGGCAGATGTGGAGAGGTGGTGGTGGGGACAGAGGCTCTAACAATCACTTCTCCAGTGATTCATAGCCTTTCTCTCCCTTTTGACCACACTTCAGATCAGCTGGTCATGCTCACCTTTGGCTCCATTCTTCATCTCACTTTTAAAAAGTTCTCCCCTTAATCACTCAGCTTTCCTATCTTCTCACACATGCATGTCATGTCTTAGGGAGCTCCTTACAGCCATTTTAGATGAGATCAGGCGCATTTAGGGTGGTTATGGCCATAGACGCCTAGAGCCATTTTAGGAAGGCGTCTTTCCTTTACAGAGAACGGTGATAGTTGTCCTGATTCCTCTCTCTGTTGTGATATTTCGTGGTTTTTACTGAGGGGATTTTCTGGCTAGTTAGGAAGAAATGAACAAACTGATAACTGAAAGTGAAGAAGCTTAGGAGGAAGAAACAGTTATCTTCTTTCAGACATGAATGCAGTTTAAAAATACATCCCAAGAATTTCAGACTGTAGACGAGATCATTATGTCAGCGGCTTGCTGCTTAATTACTTTGTACAGTAAGTGCAGGCTTACCATGGGTGGGCTCTGCAGGTGTTACAGAAAGCTCTGAGCCTAGCTCTACATAAGCTGTAGGCCTTGTTGCTGCAGCTATTACCAGCTGCCTGCTGATTTTTGCCAGTCTTTAGTGAAGATTACCAAATGTATTTTGAGGGACGAAATTTACTCAAAAAGAAAGTTTCAGAAGAATTTGTTTGGAAGAAGGATCAGGAAATAAGAGGAATGAAATTGTGGCACTTGCTTTTAATAACAGAAAGAAGGTTGGGTCCTATCAGAATTTGAAAATTGTGAATAAGTGAGCTGCTGCTTCTGATGATGGACAAAACCTCAGAGAAAATAGAGGAGAGATTGTAGTTATAAAAGCAGTAACTTTCTGACTGGAATTATTATTAGTTTCTGGAACAGGTGCCTTAGAGTTATTATAAACTTTTCTCTTTTAGAAACTTTTGAGGTGCCTTTGGGATTGATTTAGGGTAAAGGATTTTCTGACTTAGGTGCATCTCATCCTGTGATAGTGAAGAATGCATTTTCCTTAATAACCACAAGTCCCTTTAGGTTCCAGACCAACTTAGAAAAACTACATTTGTAACAGAATTTATTCTGTCAACTAGCACACGCAAACAGGACCCTGTGCAAGTGTACTCTGAATGGTTAGGCCACGTAGGTGAAAGATCTGGAGCCTCCCAGATAATAGCCTTCCTGTGAAATGGTTATTTGTATGTGTATGTTCTTTTTCCTGTATATTTGACACTGAGATCATTGAGGGTATGTGCTTTGTCTGGTTCATCTCTATTCCTCACAATATCTAAGTCCCTTGATTACTCAGTAAACAGGTATAGATTTCACTTGAATTGTCCTTGATTATGTTCCCCCGACACCTGAGATTTGTTTGTTTGAACTGTTTATATGCATTTAATTTGTCCCACACTCCCTAATTCCTTAGGAAAAGCAATATTTGGGATAGTATACTTTTAGATAAAGCACTAGTGACTTTATAGTAATTTGGTATCAGTTGAGCTCTTCGTTCTACTATACCGTATTATAATGTTTTTCAAACTGAATTATGATAATTAGTAGGTCTGCAGTCAGCATTTTTTGTTTTAATGATATAGAGTAGGAAATATGAGAGGACATTATATATATAGTAAAGGTAAGTATTGTTTTGTGAAATTTTTGCTTTAGGTAAATTTATGTATACACATACATGTATGTGTTTATTGTTTCATAATGTAAAATGTAATTTGTACTGGAATAATGGTCAAAAAAGTTTGAATAACACTGCTTTATTGTAATACTCTGTTATTTCATTTATCATATAGCATTATGCCAGTACATACAGGCTTCTAAAGCCAGGGATGGTGCCAGCCCTTTCATTTCAAGTACGACTGAAGGTAAAAACAAAACAAAATTGAGAACACCCAAAGCTTTCTAATGGTTCTTACATATATCTCTCCAGTGGCATTTTGTAACCTTTGACCTTCTAACTTTCTTGTGCCTTTTTTGACCACTAGATTTTTCAGATTTGTATCCCTCTAGGTGGTGGGTTCTTTGGTTCTTTCTCTCTTCACTTTAATGTTGTTATTTCAATATACTTTAGTGTTTTTAGGAGGGGGAATGGGAAAACAAAGGACAATTCCAGAAATTTCAAGTAATTCTGAATTGACAGAATATCTCATTAGATTTACCCTGAAATCTGCTTCGTTAATGTTCTTACATCTTTTCATTTCTTTGTATTTTTCCCAGAGATCATTGAAATGCATAGTTTATTCTGAATTTTAGGTAAAATATGCTTCTGTGATGTTTTTAGTTGACTTTAAGCAAATTAAATGTGGCTTTCAGGGAAAAAAAAAAGATAGATACAATCCTTGTCATTCCTTGTGCTTTCTCACTCTCTCCCATGAAAATTAACCATTGGGTTTGAGTAGTAATTTCATTTTGAAGAAGAACTGACAGCTAGTGATGTCTGACATTAACCATGCTATACTTTTTCAGCTTCTTTACTGACCTAATAACTTTAATGCCTTTCCTATTTTTATTCTTAGATGGTTGGCATACTAACCCCCTTGCCTTCATTTCTGTACCTTGCTGGACTACCAAGCTCAGACATTTATAACCCTGTGACTTAAAGGGATTTTGTAGAAATGATTTACTTCATTCTTTTTCTTACAGGAGAAAATTTTGAGCAGACACCATTGAGAAGAACATTCAAATCTAAGGTCCTTGCACGATATCCTGAGAACGTAGAATGGAATCCCTTTGACCAAGATGCAGTAGGAATGGTTGGTATTTGTTAGCCACAAGTATGAGATAATTTACAGAGTAATTTATAATAGGATTGTGAGTTCAGGCTGTGGTAGCAGTGGTGCCACCAAATACCAATAACTTTTGAAGAAAGGATTATAATGCATATTGTTTATTATTCTGCATTTTGGTCAAAATACCAAATATTCAGAATATATTAAATATGCTAAAAGTTATAATGTGTTTCTGTTGTGTCAGAGAAATACATAGTATTGTGTCAGTGAACTTATTTTGTGGTCCTGATCTGTTGATTATTTATTGCATTGAGATTATATGATGAGTCAATTTTAAACTTCACTAGTTTAAAATTGTTTTCTTTCATTCTGCACTGTATATATCTAAGTAATATGACAGAAGTGGGTATTTTTGTTTCATCATAATTTTATTTTCATTTTTTTGTTTCATCATAATTTTAGATAGGACAGCATTTAAAAATCTCATGTGGAAGAATATACCACTAGAGTAAGCTAACCTTTATTGAATATTCACCTTGTGCTAGGCACTCTAATAAGCATTTTATATGAATTAACTTATTTAATCCTTACAGTACTCTTTACATGGGTAGTATTAAATAAACACATACACACGTACATATTTTACAGATGAAGAAATTAAGATCCAAAGAGGTTAGGTAATGTATTCAAGCTCGCATGGCCAATAAGTAGTTGAGTTGGAGTTTGAGCACTGTAGTCTGGTTCCAGACCTCTGCTCTTAACCTTATCTTTGTACTGCCTCTATTACATTTGATTTTGAGACAGGGTCTCATTCTGTCACCCAGGCTGTTGGAGAGCAGTGGTGTGATCTTGCCTCACTGCAGCCTCATCCTCCTGAGCTCAAGTGATCCTCCCACCTCAGCCACCCGAGTAGCTGGGACTACTGGTGCACGACACTATGCCTGGCTACTTTTTGGATTTTTTTTTTATAGAAGCAGTGTTTTGCTCTGTTGTCCAGGCTGTTCTCAAATTCCTGGGCTCAAACAGTCCGCCTACCTTGACCTCCCAAAGTGCTGCGACTATAGGCGTGAGCCACTGCACCTGGCCTTCTATTACATTTTTAATAGCATTCTGTAGTTTTTAGAGGATGGTCTTGTTTGATGCATACAAAAACCCTGTGAAGTAGGGAGAGGAAACTATATTATTATTTCACAGATGAAGAAACTGTCTTTGAGAGCCTCAAGTTTTTTGACTCCTAGTCTAGCGTTTATTTCATTTTAACATGCTATGTTCTAGAAATACCTAGCCTTTGGGAAGTCAAGTTTAAGGCTAATAGATATAATATAATATAGGTCCTTGTATTTGTTAACCCAGGATATCATATTTTATTTGTATAGCCAGGTTCATGTAAAACTGGAAAATGGGAACTGATTGATTCAGGTCAGTTCGTTTAACTATCCAAGTTTCTTTATATAACCCCTCTGAATTAGAGTGAAAACAGTACATCTTTATCCTGATTATGTCATCTCCTTGGTTTATATGAAATGAGCATACTTTTTGATGTGAAAAGAAGTTTTACTAATGACAGAATTTTGTGAGGTGATAGTCCAATACTATTTACAAGTTTGTTTTATTTTTAGGTATAAAGTTGCATGTATCTGGTTTTTAGATATATTTCTAGCATCATCTCCTAATATACATATCTTACTCTCTGTCATGCTGTCATGCTTAACCACCTACCATTTCCTAAATTTTCCAAGTTTTCTTTTATCTCCATGTCTTTGTGCATTTTCTTCTTGTCCCCAAAATACCCTTCTATCCCTTGTGTACTTGATGAACTCTAACATTACCTTTTTTTGGTGACAGTCTTGCTCTGTCGCTCAGGCTGGAGTGCAGTGCATGATCTTGGCTCACTGCAACCTCCGTCTCCTGAGTCAAGTGATTCTTATGCCTCGGCCTCCCCAGTGGCTGGGATTATAGGCGTGCACCAGCACACCTGGTTAATTTTTGTGTTTTTAGTAGAGACAGGGTTTCGCCATGTTGCCCAGGCTGGTCTTGAACTGCTGGCCTCAAGCGATCCACCTGCCTTGGCCTCCCAAAATGCTGGGATTACAGGTGTGAGCCACTGCACCTGGCCCATTTTTGTAGCTTTTTCTGATATTCCCAGGCTGAGTTGTCTGTGCTGTGTTCCTGTAGTACTTTGCATATACTTTTGTATATCCCTGATGACTGCATTATGATTTTATTTACTTGCATGTCTTGCATTAGAAAGAGAGAGCTTTAAGCCAGATACACGCTCAGCTTAGTAGGTGCTCTATAAATAAATAAATAGTGATGGTGTTCTGAAAGAGGATCGCCAGTGAGTGTTCTCACTGCTTGTTGCCTTGTTGTCTTTTGCAGCTATGTATGCCGAAAGGGCTGGCATTCAAGACCCAGGCTGATCCCAGGGAGCCCCAATTCCATGCCTTTATTATCACAAGGGAGGATGGCTCTCGGACATTTGGGTTTGCCCTCACATTTTATGAAGAGGTGACTAGCAAGCAGATCTGCAGTGCAATGCAGACCCTCTACCACATGCACAATGCTGAGTATGATGTCCTACATGCTCCCCCTGCTGATGACAGAGACCAGAGCAGCATGGAGGATGGTGAAGACACTCCTGTGACCAAACTGCAGCGCTTCAACTCCTATGACATTAGCCGGGACACTCTCTACGTCTCTAAGTGCATCTGCCTCATCACACCCATGTCTTTCATGAAGGCATGTCGGAGCGTGCTGGAGCAACTCCACCAGGCAGTCACTTCACCTCAGCCCCCTCCACTGCCCCTTGAGAGCTACATATACAACGTACTCTACGAGGTGCCGCTCCCACCTCCTGGCCGGTCCTTGAAGTTTTCTGGGGTCTATGGGCCAATAATCTGCCAGAGACCAAGTACCAATGAGCTTCCCCTATTTGACTTTCCTGTCAAAGAGGTTTTTGAACTGCTCGGGGTGGAGAATGTGTTTCAGCTTTTTACTTGTGCCCTTCTGGAGTTTCAAATCCTGCTCTACTCACAGCGTAAGTCAGTGCTTACTAGAGCCTTCTGCCTGCCTCAGGCTTCTTTGCTTTCCATGTTCAGATACAGTGAGGCTGACTGTAAAGGTTAAGAGCTATTACAGTTTGAGCAAAACCCAGATCTTTTGCAGGTAGGTGGTGGATGGCAAATTGATAGACATGAGAGGGCCAGTATTTCTGATTAACTATCTTCATGGCCTTTTGCTGGGCATTCCAGTCTTGGAGGGGAACATTGCTTCCTATGTCCCTTCTGATTGAAGTGAAAAGAGGGGTGGGTAGGAGGTGATGGTCACAGGAAGCTGACTTTCCATCAGTTCTGTTCTGTCATTCTGCAGAGTTATTTCTGCCTCTTCCTCAGCCTAGTAAAATTGAGGATTCACAAAGGATAATCCTTTATATATTGAGAAAATGTGGATGTGTTGCATCTTTTTGTTGTTTGCTTAACTGAATTGTTTTCATAAATGGGAGGTTGAGTGTAAGCAGCATATTTGGACAAAATAGTAAAGTAGATTAGAAAGAAACAGATGCTTACTTAATGAGCCAGGCTAGTAACATGAAATTCATTCATTCAGTACATATTTACTGAGAGTGCACTATGTGTCAGGCATTGTTTCAAGGGTAGTGGTGGACAAGACAGAAAAATTGTTGCTATAGTGGAACTTAAATTTTAGTGGGAGAAGAGAGGTGATTAAATAAATATATAAAATATGTAGTTTGTAAGGTACTTAATAAGGGTTATAAAGAAAAATAAAACAGGGAAAGGGATAGTATTTGGGGAAGAGAAGTTCCAGTTTGTAATAGGGTGGTTAGGTAGGCATCCCTGAGTGACCTGTTAATATCTGTAGGAAAAGTATTCCAGGCAAAGGGCACAGGAAGTATAAACGGTCTAAGACAAGAATGTGCTTCGTGTATTCAAGAACCAGAAGCTGGGTGGATGGAATGGAGTGAATGAGCGGGAGTATAGTAGGAGATGGTGTTAGAGACTTAACTGGAGGCCAGATGGTATAGAATCTTGTAGGCCATTGTAAGGACTTTGGCTTTTACTCTTAAATGGCTCTTAGATAGCCATCAGAGTTTTCAATTTTTTTTACTTTTTATTTTAAAATAATTTCTAGCTACGGAAGATTCGCGAGGGGTATTCAAAGGACTCTTGTATAACCTATCCCAAATTCACCAATTGTTAACATTTTGCCACATTTGCTTTATTATGATCTCTGTGTGTGAACATAACTGAACCATTGAGAGTTATTGTGACTCCTAAATTCTCATGTGTTTATTTCCTAAGAATAAAAACATTCTCTTAAATAACTATCATTGATCAAATTTGGAAAACCTAACATTGAGACAATACTATATTAAAGTTTCTCTGGTACCCGATAATGTCTGTTATGATAATTTAAAAAAATTCCTTATTCAGGATCTAGTGCCATATCATGCATTGCTTTTAGTTGTGAGTTTCTCAGCTTTTGTCTTTCATGACATAGACATTTTTGAAGAGTACAAGCAAGTTATTTTATAGACTGTCCCTTAATTTGGTTTTGTCTGATGTTTTCATGATTAGATTCAGATTATAAATTTTTGCCTAAAATACCATAGAAGTGATGTGCTTCTCTCAGTGCATTATATTAGGAGGCACATACTGTCAGTTTTCATGATTACAGGAGGCAGGCATATGATGTCATTTTGTCTCATTTTTGGTGATACTAATCTGCTTACTTGGTTAAGATGGTGTCTGTGGTTTCTTAACTGGAAAGTTATAATTTTTCCCTTGGTAATTAACATGTAAGTCATGGGGAGATACTTTGAAACTAATTATTCTGTTCTTCTTTAAAGTTTTGCCTAACCATTTTTTTTTTAGTTTTTATTTTTTGAATTATATTTGCAGTTTATGGATGCCTAATAGTTTAGCATTTATTGATGATTCTATTCTGAATCAGTTATTTCAAGAATAGTAGCAAAAAGGTGATTTTCTTTTTCTTTTCTTTTTCCTTTTGAGACAGGGTCTCACTCTGCTGCCCAGGTTGGAGTTAAGTGGTGCCTTCATGGCTCACTGCAGCCTCGTCCTCCCATGCTCAAGTGATCCTCCCACCTCAGCTTCCCGTGTAGCTGGAACTACAGGCATGCACCACCATGCTTGGCTAATTTTTTATTTTTTGTAGACATGGGGTCTTGCTACATTGCCCAGGCTGGTCTCAAACTCCTGGGCTGAACCTCCTGCCTGGTTTCCCAAAGTGCTGGGATTACAGGCGCCACTGTGCCCAGCCTTAAAATTTTTTTTTTTTTTTAAAGAAATAGAGTCTTATTCTATCACCCAGGCTAGAGTGTAGTGGCACAATAATGGCTCACTGCAGTCTTGATATCCTGGACTCAAGTGATCTTCCCATCTCAGCCGCCTGAGTAGCTGGGACTACAGGTGCCCACCACCATGCCTGGCTAATTAAAAAAAAATTTTTTTTTTTTGTAGAGCTAGGTTCTTGCTTTATTGCCCAGGCTGGCAGAATAGTGGTTTTCAAACTTTATCTTTATTTATTAATTGGCATTATACCATAATGAAGAGTGTTTCTTTCTCCTTTGTTTATTATTGTATGGATTCATAGATTTTTATTTTACTCAGGTTATAATTCACTATAATTATTTATTTTGATGCTCAAATTTCCCAGATTTGGTCCATGGGCAAAGGAATGGACCTCCACAATGGCAGGGCTTTTGCTTTTTGCTCATTGATGGATTCCAAGCACTAAAACTGTGGCTGGTATATAAGGGTGCTCAATAAATGTTGTTAAATAAATGAATAACTTAGGCTTTTAACAGGATCACTCTGGCCATTATATTAAGAGTATATCCCCAAAGGGAGAATGGAAGAAAGCAAAGAGTTCCGTTAAGAGGTAATTTGTAATAATCCAGGTGAGAGGTGATGTCAGTTAGAACTAAGGAGATAACAGTGAAGTGGTGTGGAATGGTTGGGTTCTGGATATAGTTTGAAGGTGAAGTAATGGAAACTATGTTGAACTGAAGAGCACATACCTCATATAAAGTGGATAGCCGCTAATTAGCTCCAGTTAATTCCTTGTGGGTATACTGGCCTGATGTTACTAAATATTCCAATAATTGATGAGGACCCAGATTTTTTACATGAAATCTCTGATTTTTAAATATTGGCAATAATGTTCTTTTTAAACACTGCAGGCCAAACAAAAAGCATCTGCTGGCTGAATGTAGTTCCTGAGGCTTCACTTTGCAACTTCTAGTTTAAGATACGAAGTTAGAGCCTCCTCTCTCTGGGTGAAATATAGACTTGGACAAATCATATTGCTTTCCTAGCTATTTCTTGGCTGGAGCTTCATAAAAATACTTTGAAATGGAGAATTAGTTGAATAGGGAGGAACTTCTCTGGTTTAGAACAGAACAGAGAGGAGGAAACCAAACTATATAGAGTGTTAGAAGATACAGTAGGCTTTTAGGCATTGGGGGTGTTTAGAGGCAAGGAAAGGATGATTGAAACAAATATGATGAACATAATGGAAAAATAACATTCTTCCATCTGAGTTTCTTTTGTATTTCCTAGAATATGGGTTACTGTATCCATAATAAGAATTTTAGGAGGTTTGAATGTAATTGAGATGGTTAGTATGTAGAATTGAATTTAACTTAGGACCTAAAGTCAGGCTCAGCATGGACAAGAGAAAGCTTTTTTCAGAAATTCCTGGATATTGCTGAGCCTGGCTGAGGCCACAGTGGAGTGGATTACTTTTCATTGGATGTAAATTATGCTTTTTGTTGTTAATAGAGTGCTTTAAACAATTTAGGTTGGTTTTCTTGAAGTAGTTATATTAATGATCCAAGGACATCTTCCTTGTATGGATAAAAATCACTCTGGCCAAAAACAAGCTATCACCACTGCAGTTGATTTTGCCTGCTGCATGTCCTGCCCTCTGAATAGAAAAGAGGTGTTACATAGGGAAAAGGAATGCAGGCTGAATTGTAAGATTCTGAAAGTGTAACCCTTTGGAATGCTGAATTGGCAGTTTTAAGCAGTGTTTTCTTTTTGGTATAGGTCATTTTATTTACTTTTAGATAATATTTATTCTTTAGTCCATATAGAATTAGTGTTTTTTTAATAGCATAATTTTTAATTGGTTGTTAAAAAATTATTGTTACTTTTTTTGAGACAGGGTCTCATTCTGTCACCTATGCTAGAGTGCAGTGGCACAATCATGACTCACTGCAGCCTTGACCTCCCCAGACTCAGATGATCCTCCCACCTCAGCCTCCTGGGTAGCTGGGACTACAGGCATGTACTGCCGAGTCTGGCTAGTTTCTGTATTTTTTGTAGAGATGAGGTTTTGCCATGTTGCCCAGGCTGATCTTGAACTCTGGGCTTAAGCAATCCACCTTCCTTGGCCTCCCAAAGTGCTGGGATTACAGGCATGAGCCACTGCACCTGGCCTTATTTAAAAATTATATGCAGAACAGAAGCTCTTTATCTGAAGTGGCCTGATAGAGTAGTTGATTGGAAACCAAAAAAGTCAGTTAAGTCACAGAATCCTAAAAATGATATGTACAATTAATTTTATAGTTAAACTATTTATTATTTATTATTATTTTTGAGACGGAGTTTGCTCTTGTTGCCTAAGCTAGAATGCAGTGGCATGATCTCGGCTCATTGCAACCTCCGCCTCCTGGGATCAAGTGAGTCTCCTGCCTCAGCCTCCCGAGTAGCTAGGACACCACACCTGGCTAATTTTTGTATTTTTAGTAGAGATGAGGTTTCACCATGTTGGCCGGGCTGGTCTCGAACTCCTGATCTCAGGTGATCCACCAGCCTCAGCCTCCCAAAGTGCTGGGATTACAGGCATGAGCCACCACACCTGGCCTAAATAATTTAACTTAAAACATATAACTGTATAGTCACTAATCTTTGACGAAGGGTCCAGGCATTTCTCATGATTATGACTTCACAAATCAGATATCTGCACTTCTTGCATAAACCACACCCATAATACATTGACTAGATTTCCTAGTTACTTTACTTTTCTTTTTTCTTTTTTTTTTTGAGGTGGAGTCTTGCTCTGTTGCCAGGCTGGAGTGCAGTGGCGCAATCTCGGCTCACTGCAACCTCTGTCTCCTGAGTTCAAGCAATTCTTCTGCCTCAGCCTCCTGAGTAGCTGGGACTACAGGTGTGCACCACCACGCCCACCTAATTTTTGTATTTTTGGTAGAGATGCAGTTTCTCCATGTTGGCCAGGATGGTCTCGATTTCTTGACCTCGTGATCCACCCGCCTCGGCCTCAAAGTGCTGGGATTACAGGTGTGAGCCACTGCGCCCAGCCCTGGTTACTTTTTTTTTTTTTTTAAAGTGGAGTGATAAAGAACCTTGCAAAAGAACATGAGCAGAGACTACTTCTAGATTTTTGTAGTGTTCCCTAGTTTTTTATTCTTAATTGCTTCATGATATGCCTAATTCAATTACAGTGTTTTTTAGTGACTTTGTACTACTGAGTCTTTTAAAAGCATTTAATTTTGTTTCCAGAGAAACAGACATCCTTTCTTTTTGCCCTCAGATTTTACCATTTATTTACACAATATTTGGTTACGTTGTATAATCCAGTAGTAAGTTCAGCTAGCACAGGTTTGGGAACAAATGAGTGGGAGCAATGTATGCTTTACTCAGAGTGGGGAAAATCAATCGGTAAAGTGAGTTGGCTAAGTGGACGTTGGTAAGAAATCTCCAATGATATTTTACTATCTAAAGTAGTCTTTTACTGTAAAAATAATGATTGCTTAAGGCATATAATTAAAACAATTCCAAAGGGAATCAAATATTTTCCTCTCTTTTCTTCATATAGTAGCTGGATATCCAATTTTTTGTGTATCCTTAATGAAAATAATAGTTTTTAAAAACAAATAAATAATATGTGCACAAATAATGCAGAGAAAGTTGAAGGTTCTCCCCAACTCACTTTTTTTTAAGACGGGGTCTTGCTCTGTTGCCCAGGCTAGAGTGCAGTGGCGCGATCTCAGCCCCCTATAGCTTCTACCTCCTGGGTTCAAGCAGTTCTTGTGCCTCAGCCCCCCAAGTAGCTGGGACTACAGGTACGTGCAACCACACCTGGCTAATTTTTGTATTTTTAGCAGAGATGGGATTTGCCATGTTGGCCAGCCTGGTCTCAAACTCCTGACCTCAAGTGAACTGGCCACCTTGGCCTCCCAAAGTGTTGGGATTACAGGCGTGAGCCACTGCACTCAGCCCCTTTTTCTTTGATCTAGTATCCTATCCCTGAGAAGTAATCTCTTAATTTTTAAAAATTCCCTCTTTTCCAGTATTTTTAATAATACACTATATATATATATTTTTTTTGAGATGGAGTTTCACTCTGTTGCCCAGGTTGGAGTGCAGTGGCGCGATCTTGGCTCGCTGCAACCTCTGCCTCCCGGGTTCAAACGATTCTTCTGCCTCAGCCTCCCTAGTAGCTGGGATTACAGGCACGTGCCACCATACCCAGCTAATTTTTGTGTTTTTAGTAGAGACGGGGTTTTGCTATTCTTGCCAGGTTGGTCTTAAACTCCTGACTTCAAGCGATCCGCCTACCTTGGCCTGCCAAGGTGCTAGGATTACAGGCATGAGCCACCACACCTGGCCTAATGTACTATTTTTTATGTTAGGTGTTGAATATATGTGTATTAATTTTAATATTCTTTAAATTATACATATACACTATGAAATCTGTATGGTATATTAAAATAAAACTTGAGGCCAGGTGTGGTGGCTCACGCCTGTAATCCCAGCACTTTGAGAGGCCAAGGAGGACAGATCACTTGAGATCAGAAGCTTAAGACCAACCTGACCAACATGATAAAACCTCATCTCTACTAAAAATACAAAAATTAGCTGGGTGTGGTGGTACACACTTGTAATCCCAGCTACTCCAGAGGCTGAGGCACGAGAATCACTTGAACCCAGGAGACAGAGGTTGCAGTGAGCAGAGATCCCACCACTGCGCTCCAGCCTGGGCGACAGAGCAAGACCCTGTCTCCAATAAAATAATAAATAAATAAAATAAAATTTGAAAAAAGGCATTTCAGGAGTGTAAAATGAAGGGTAGAAATTCACAGCATTAGAAGAGTGTACAGCGAAGTGTGTAACTTCTGCCTCTGCACCCTGGTTCTCCTTCAGGGAGGTTACCACTGTTTTCTGCTTACTTGTAGATATAGCCGTGTATATACTATATATATACTTTTCAAAAAGAACACAAATGGGAGCATACTAATCATTGTTTTGCAACCTCCCAGGATAGTTTATAATTGTTCATAAATACGTAGGAGCTGCCCTGTAGTTTGTTTAGAGGGGGCTTATTTATAGAGTGATTCCAAGTCTGATGTCTTTATCTGCACATACAAGTCATAAAAATGGGCCGGGCACGGTGGCTCACACCTGTAATCCCAGCAGTTTGGGAGGCCGAGGTGGGTGGATCATTTGAGGTGAGGAGTTCGAGACCACCCTTGCCAACATGATGAAACTCCTTCTCTACTAAAAATACAAAAATTAGCCAGGCATGGTGGCTCGTGCCTATAATCCCAGCTACTGGGGAGGCTGAGGCAAGAGAATCGCTTGAACCTGGGAAGCATAGGTTGCAGTGAGCCGAGATTGCGCCACTGCACTCCAACCTGGGTGACAGAGCGAGACTTTGTCTCAAAAAACAAAAAAAGTGCTGGGATTACAGGTTTGAGCCATTACACCCTATTTAAAAGACATCCTTTTTTTTTTGTTTTTTGAGACAATGTCACTTAAAAGATATTCTTACTGCCCAGTAGCTTCCAAGGGTTTTAGGAGCTGTGTGTTTCAGGAACCGGGGAAAAGACCAAATAGATACATATTTATCACACTAGTAAAGTTATCTACAGGTTATGCTCTTCTTTGATTAGCTAGGAGCAAGGTGATAGGCAACTTTCAAAGCTTTATTAGTGAGCAAATGTAGGATGTTTTGCTAAACTTCTACCTTAATACTTTTCAGCTTCTGTTCCCTTTGTACTGAGACTTCCTCATTTCCTAGAAAGTTTTTTGTTACTTACAACTACTTTATGAACCAAGCTGTGATTTAAATGGTGGAGTGGGTTTTTAGTGCATAACATCATTTTAATTCCTATGACAGCTCATTTGAAACCAGCCATTCCAGAAGGATTTTACTCATATGATTTAAAAATGCATATTTCTGCTTTGTCCTTAAATGCCTGAAACCATCATATCATCATATCATTACAAATAGTAATTTGTAAAATTTAAGTTTTAGGCCAAGCGCAGTGGCTCATTCCTGTAATCCCAGCACTTTGGGAGGCCGAGGCAGGCGGATCACCTGAGGTTGGGAGTTCGTGACCAGCCTGACATGGAGAAACCTTGTCTCTACTAAAAAATACAAAATTAGCTCGGGTGGTGGCGCATGCCTGTAATCCCAGCTACTCAGGAGGCTGAGGCAGGAGAATCGCTTAAACCCGGGAGGTGGAGGTTGTGGAGCTGAGATTGTGCCATTGCACTGCAGCCTGGGCAATAACAGCAAAACTCCGTCAAAAAAAAAAAAAAAGTTTTAACTAGTCAATTTTATTGGCTGTACCAATATATTTATTAGTCATTAAAAAAAAAAAAAAAAGGCTGGCTGGGCGCGGTGGCTCACACCTGTAATCCCAGCACTTTGGGAGGCTGAGGCGGGTGGATCACAAGGTTAGGAGTTCGAGACCAGCCTGGCCGAGGTGGTGAAACCCCGTCTCTACCAAAAACACAAAATTAGCCAGGTGCGGTGGTGGGCACCTGTAATCCCAGCTACTCGGGAGGCTGAGGCAGGAGAATCACTTGAACCCAGGAGGTGGAGGTTGCAGTGAGCTGAGATGGTGCCACTGCACTCTAGCCTGGGCAACAGAGCAAGACCCCGTCACAAAAAAAAAAAAGGCCTAGAAATTACATTCTGAAGATAAGCCAAATATGATCACAAGCCCACGAGCCTTCCCTTTAGGCTATGATCTCTGACCTATAACAAGAGTTTTGAGTAGCTAAAGTCAATCCTCTGAGTCTTTCAAGTTCTAGGGAAGCCTTTTTTTTTTTTTTAAGAAGGAGTCTAGCTCTGTCACTGGCTGGCGTGTGCAGCTGTGCAGTCTCGGCTCACTGCAACCTCTGCCTCCCAGGTTCAAGCAATTCTTACGTCTCAGCCTCCCAAGTAGCTGGGATTACAGGTGCATGCCACCACGCCCGGCTAATTTTTGTATTTTTAGTAGAGATGGGGTTTCACCATGTTGGTTGGCCAGTCTGGTCTCGAACTCCTGACCTCAAGTGATTCACCTGCCTCGGCCTCCCAAAGTGCTGGCATTACAGGCGTGAGCCACCATGCCCAGCCTCTAGGGAAGCTTTTTATTGAAACGTTATAATAACATTTTTATGCTGTTCTCATTCAGGAAAGGTTGCCAGGTGTAGAGCAGACTTGGCTAGTGTGGAAAACCAGCTTCTGCATGCTTGGTGGTTCTTTGTGCTTGACTTTGCAGGCAAAGCTCACATAAGCTCCTTATAGGATGTTCTGCAGATGTATCTTAGTGAGAACTGAGCATGTTTTTGCTTCCATGCTGAATGGAGACCCAGGACCACTGTCTTTCTTTTTGTTCAGTTCTCCTACCCCCTTTCTTAAGAGGATCTACTTAACATTCTGTGGTAGTATTTGGAGCAAGATGTCATTAATTATTTTTGTTGTATTTCCATATTAGATTTTATTATGAGCAAGGACCTGTGTGTGTAGGTTTATTTCAATTTGTGGTCCACAAGGGTCTCTTGGTTGTCTCTTGGACACCCTCAAGGGAATCACATTGAGCATACCCTAGCTGAAGTTTATCGTGATCGTTTCTAAATAAGAAATTGTACTGAAAGTTTTAACTTACTGTTTGGAAAGCAAGTGCCTTGTTTTTGACTGATTTGTGTGTGTGCTTTTTTTGTTGTTGTTGACCCAGATTACCAGAGACTGATGACTGTGGCGGAGACGATTACAGCTCTCATGTTTCCTTTCCAGTGGCAGCATGTCTATGTCCCTATTCTCCCAGCTTCTCTCCTGCATTTCTTAGATGCTCCTGTTCCATACCTGATGGGTTTGCATTCCAATGGCCTGGATGACCGGTCAAAGCTGGAGCTGCCTCAAGAGGTGAGATCTTGAGTGTTGGTGCCTCTGGCCCCAATCCAGGATTGGGGAGAGAAGGGCTTTGGGATGAACCCAGCATGCATGATGTTACCAAGTTTATTTTCTTCTATTTTGGTGATTATGAATAACTTCTCAGGAAAAAAGTAAAAACAATGAATATTTAGTTCAATTTATGTCATCCCAGAGACACTTATTATCTTTATCAACTGACATATGTACATTGTAATTTCTGTATTTATGCTATTGTTTTTGTTTTGTTTTGCTTTTTAAGAGACAAGGTCTTGCTGTGTTACCCAGGCTGGGTGCAGTAGCATGATCGTAGCTTACTGTAGCCTTGAACTCCTGGGCTCAAGTGAGCCTCCTGACTCAGCCTCCTGAGTAGTTGGGACTAAAGGAGTGTGCCACGATGCCCAGCTAATTGTTTTTTTATGTCTTGTAGATGCAGGGTCTCACCATGTTGCCCAGGCTGGTCTCGAACTCCTGGGCTCAAGTAATCCTCCTGCCTTGGCTTCCCAAAGTGTTGGGATTATAGGCATGAGCCACTGTGCCTGGCTAAGAAAAGAATTGATTTAAAATAATGTATTTCCTATTCCATTCTAAAGTAGATTTAAAGCATGATTAGAAATAAGATTTTTTATTTTTAATTTTTTTAGAATTACCAGCAGAACTGGTATGTTACTTTGTGGCTGTTGTGAAACTACCTGCAGGGAAGTGCTTTCCTACTTTGAATTTCTTAGTCATTAGAAAGGCCTGGGAAGAAGACTTTGGAGTATACATACACTGGTGTCACCATGACTCTTCGTTTCCTCCTTCCACCACCATTTTTTTGGGGGTAGAGTTTTTTTTTTGTTTTTTTTTGTTTTTTTTTTGAGACGAAGTCTCGCACTGTCACCCAGGCTGGAGTGCAGTGGCACAATCTTGGCTGACTGCAACCTCTGCCTTCCAGGTTCAAGTGATTCTCCTGCTTCAGTCTCCCAAGTAGCTGTGATTACAGGTGCCCACCACCACACCCGGCTAAATTTTTGTATTTTTAGTAGAGACGGGGTTTCACTATGTTGGCCAGGCTGGTCTCGAACGCCTGACCTCATGATCCACCCGCCTTGGCCTCCCAAAGTGCTGGGATTACAGGCGTGAGCCACCGCGCCCGGCCGGGGGTAGAGATTTTTGTATATAAGTGAGGAATATAAGTGAGGGGCCCCAAGAAGAGAGCATTCTCATGGAACTGGATCTGGGCAGCACTGTGTCACTGGTCATGACTGGGCAGCATCTTTGATGAATACCCTGATAATTAGACCATGTCTGTGATATTTAAATTATAGTCAAATGCATCTCTGCTCTTTTCTCTCTTCTTTAGTTTTAGAATCAAAATGTCTTCCTTGTCTTCCTTGTAGCTTCTTCCATTTCTGCCCTTTTTTCTTCTTTGACTTTATAGAGCGTTGTGCTCTTTGGGGTGGAACAAGATTAATTAAGGAAAAAAAATCTAAATGATGGATAAAATCATTGAGTTGAGATAATATTGGGGTTTTTTGTGTACTTGCTTACTGTACCATACATAAACCTGAAGAGTCGACTGGAGAAAGAAGAGCTTTTTGTTGTTTGCTTTAAACAAATGTCTATTTAATATTGATACAACTTAGTCAACCTAATTATGATTCTGTAAAGTCACAAAAAGAACAATAACAAAAAATTGTTGAAGGTGGAAGGCCAAAGAGGCAAGCTATGTGCATACTTTAATACATAGGCCACTAAGCAAGAAGCCAGATTTCTCAGTTTTATTTTCCTCTTTGGCATCAGCTTTCTTTATACTTGGGGCAAATTCTGATCTCTCTAGGATTTTTCAACGTTGTTCCCTATGTGCTTCATGTATACGGCTATACAAAGGGACCTCTGAGGGATCAACAGATTTCTTAATGGGACTGTTTAAGAAACCATGGGTTGTTTAAGAAACCCAAAAGTTGGCCGGGTGCGGTGGCTCACGCCTATAATCCCATCACTTTGGGAGGCCGAGGCGGGCAGATCACCTGAAGTCAGGAGTTCGAGACCAGTCTGGTCAACATGGTGAAACTCCATCTCTACTAAAAATACAAAAAAATTAGCTGGGCATGGTGGTGCACGCCTGTAGTCCCAGCTACGTGGGAGGCTGAGGCAGGAGAATTGTTGAAGCCCGGAGCCAGAGGTTGCAGTGAGCCGAGATCACGCCACTGCACTCCAACCTGGGTGGATCGCGCCACTGCACTCCAGCCTGGGTGACAGTGTGAGACTCCACCTCAAAAAAAAAACAGAAAAGAAACCCAAAAGTTCCCTCTGTTCTGGGCTATTGGAGCCTCCATGTTGCTGTATTCCCCATCCCTGCTATAAACTTTGTATCTGAGCTTCTGGCTCCCCTGTAGTCTGCTTGGGAAGGAGTGGTGACAGTGGAACAGTAGAATTAACTGTGTGTGCTTCATAAGTGGTTCTTGGGTTTCAGAGTCCTAGTTCATCCACACCTGTCTTCTGAAGGTCACACATTTGTGGGAGCAGTTATATAGCTGGATATTTTCTACCTTGATTTTTAGCAGATAAGCTCTGGGGTATCTGAGCCTATGTATTTCCCGTGGAAAACCTTAGACTAGGGGAAGAGAGCTGGCTTTGAAAGACGACTTTGGGGTGTCTCAGAAATGACATGTTCATAGTAAAAAATGCTAACAGTGCACAAAAGCATAAACAATAAAATTAAAATTACCTCAAATTTTACCACCCAGAGATAACTACTTTTGATATTTTGATGCACATCTTTAAAGTATGTGGTATCTTTTAACTACAGTCTTAGAAGGAAGCTTTGGGGCAGTGTATTAGTCCATTTTTACACTGCTGAGAAAGACATACCTGAGACCGGGCAGTTTACAAAAGAAAGAGGTTTAATGGACTTAGAGTTCCATGTGGCTGGGAAAGCCTCACAATCATGGTGGAAGGCAAGGAGGAGCAAGTCACGTCTTACATGGATGGCAGCAGGCAAAGAGAGAGCTTGTGCAGGGAAACTCCCCCTTATGAAACCATCAGATCTTGTGAGACTTATTCACTATCACGAGAACAGCATGGGAAAGACCTGCCCCCATGATTCAACTACCCCCTACTGGGTACCTCACACAACACATGGGAATTTAAGATGAGATTTGGGTGGGGACACAGCCAAACCGTATCACTCTGCCCTGGCCCCTTCCAAATCTTATGCCCTCACATTTTATAACCAATCATGCCTCCCAACAGTCCCCCAAAATCTTATTTCAGCATTAACTCAAAAGTCCATAGTCTAAAGTCTCATCTGAGACAAGACAAGTCCTTTCCTTATAAGCCTGTAAAATCAAAAGCAAGTTAGTTACTTCCTAGATACAATGAGGGTACAGGCATTAGATAAATATTGCCATTCCAAATGAGAGAAATTGGCCAAAAACAAAGAGCTGCAGGCCCCATGCAAGTCTGAAATCCAGCGGGGCAGTCAAATCTTAAAGTTCCAAAATGATCTCCTTTGACTCCGTGTCTCACGTCCAGGTCACACTGATGCAAGAGGTGGATTCCCTGGCTGGGCACAGTGGCTCACGCCTGTAATCCCAGCACTTTGGGAGGCCGAGGCAGGTGGATCACCTGAGGTCGGGAGTTCAAGACCAGCCTGACCAACGTGGAGATACGCCATCTCTACTTAAAACACAAAATTGGCTGGGCATGGTGGCACAAGCCTGTTATCCCACCTACTCGAGAGGCTGAGGCAGGAGAATTGCTTGAATCTGGGAGGTGGAGGTTGCAGTGAGCTGAGATTGTGCCATTGCACTCTAGCCTGGGCAACAATAGTGAAACTCCATCTCAAAAACAAACAAACAAACAAAAAAACCAAAAAAAAAAAACCAAACAACAGCAACAAAAAAAGAGGTGGGTTCCCATAGTCTTGGGCTGCTCCACCCCTGTGGCTTTGCAGGGTACAGCCTCCCTCCTGGCTGCTTTTATGGGCTGGCGTTGAGTGTCTGTGGCTTTTCCAGGCACACAGTGCAAGCTGTCAGTGGATCTACCATTCTGGGGTCTGAAGGATGATGGCTTTCTTCTCACAGCTCCACTAGGCAGTGTCTCAGTAGGGACTCTGTGTGGGGGCTCTGACCCTACATTTCCCTTCCGCACTACTCTAGCAGAAGTTCTCCATGAGGGCCCTGTCCCTGCAACAAACTTCTCTCTGGGCATCCAGGTATTTCCGTACCTCTGCAAAAATCTAGGCAGAGGTTCCCAAACCCCAATTCTTGACTTCCATGTACTTGCAGGCTCAATACCACGTGGAAGCTGCCAAGGCTTGGGACTTGCACCCTCTGAAGCCACAGCCTGAGCTCTGTGATAGCCCCTTTCAGCCACAGCTGGAGCAGCTGGGATGCAGGGCACCAAGTCCCTAGGCTGCACACAGCATGGGGACCCTGTGTCAGGCCCACGAAACCACTTTTTCCTCCTAGGCCCCCAGGCCTGTAAAGGGAGGGGCTGCCGTGAAGACCTCTGATATGCTCTGGAGACATTTACCCCCATTGTCTTGGGGATTAACATTTGGCTTCTTGTTACTTATGTAAATTTCTGTAGCCAGCTTGACTTTTCTCCTCAGAAAATGGGATTTTCTTTTCTATTGCATTGTCAGGCTGCAAATTTTCCAAACTTTTATGCTCTGTTTCCCTTTTAAAACTGAATGTCTTTAACAGCACCCAAGAGACCTCTTGAATGCTTTGCTGCTTAGAAATTTCTTCTGCCAGATACCCTAGATCATCTCTCTTAAGTTCAAAGTCACACAAATCTCTAGGGTAGGGGCAAAATGCCGCCAGTCTCTTCAGTAAAACACAAGAGTCACCTTTGCTCCAGTTCCCAGCAAGTTCCTTATCTCCATCTGAAACCACCTCAGCCTGGATTTCATTGTCCATATCATTATTAGCATTTTGGTCACAGCCATTCAACAAGTCTCTAGGGAGTTCCAAACTTTCCCACATTTTCCTGTCTTCTCCTGATCCCTCCAAACTGTTCCAATCTCTGCCTGACACCCAGTTTCAATGTTGCTTCCACATTTTTGGGTATCTTTTAAGCAGCGCCCCACTCTACTGGTACCAATTAACTGTGTTAGTCTTTTCTCATGTTGCTGATAAAGACATACCTGAGAGTGGGAAGAAAAAGAGGTTTAATGGACTTAACAGTTCCTCGTGGCTGGGGAAGCCTCACAATCATGGTGGAAGGCAAGGAGGAGCAAATCATGTTTACATGGATGGCAGCAGGCAAAGAGAGAGCTTCTGCAGGGAAACTCCCCCTTATAAAACCATCAGATCTCTTGAGACTTATTCACTGTCACAAGAACAGTATGGGAAAGACCTGCCGCCATGATTCAACTATCCCCCACTGGGTCCCTCCCACAACACGTGAGAATTTAAGATGAGATTTGGGTGGGGACACAGCCAAACCATATCCGGCAGGGCTGGGGAAATTTACCTGGGACCGTATAAGGGGGCATCATCAGGGTAGTGAGGTGGGGCAAGCTTGGTTTATAAAAAGGACTTTCTCCAGAGGGACAGAGAGTGTACATTTCCTAGCCCACCAAATCAGAATTCATCAGTTACTGCCGTCTTTGGGCATCAGAAGTCTGTAAAAAGCTTTTTGTTCCTTTTTGCACCAACACATGAGCTCAGCTGGCCCTGAGCAAGTGAAGGTACTGAGCTGCCTTTGTGAGGCATCCTTTGTCTTAGGCTTCTCTTTGGAGCTTCGTTGTCTGAGTTCAGGAAGGAGGCATTTCATCCACAGCTATATTACAGAATTAAGCAAAGGATATTAGAGTAAAGAAAGGGGTACCATTTTTTTCTATCTTGGACCCCTTTTTCCTACTTTTCCCCCATTTTCTCAGGACACTCCTTCAATAGCTTTTTCCCAGTCATCTGTGTGTTGAACTCCTTTTCAATGAATAACATGAGGATAGACTGGAGAAACAGGCTGGCTGTTTTTTGGTATTAGGAATTGAGCATTGGGAAAGATCATTGTGACCTTGAGCGGAAGATATTTGGGAGACTTCTTGGGATTTGGGGGATCCATGTGATCACTACCTCAGAGCAGCTAAGTCTACCCATCATCCCTCTCAACAAGGCAGGAGGTTAACAGAGGAAAACTGATCACTTGGCATTCGGTACCTCTTCCAGGCTACTCTCCCCAAAGCTGTTAGGTAAGAAGTAACCCCTCGTCAGCTGAGGAAGGAGGATATATGAGGAGTTCCTAGTATTTTGTAAGTGCTTCTGTGTGCTAGAGCCCCTCTGTATGATGGGAGGAAACAGCATGAGGCTATTGTATGAGTCTAGTAATTGACTATTGTATGAGTGTAGTAATTTGCTTTTTTACCACTCCCTCCTTTAGCTCAATTCTTTCTTCTCTTTTTTTTGTTTGAGATGGAGTCTTGCTCTGTTACCTAGGCTGGAGTGCAGTGGTGCCATCTCAGCTCACTGCAACCTCTGCTTCACGGGTTCAAGCAATTTTCCTGCCTCAGTCTCCCGAGTAGCTGGGATTACAGGCACACACCGCAATGCCTGGCTAATTTTTTTTGTGTTTTTAGTAGAGACGGGGTTTCACCATGTTGGCCAGACTGGTCTTGAACTCCTGACTTCAAGTGATCTGCCCGCCTCAGCCTCCCAAAGTGCTGGGATTACAGGCGTGAGCCACCGCACCCGGCTCTTTTAAAACTCAGTCTCTAGGGTATATTAACTTCAACCAATTTTTGCAAAGAATGGCTAGTGGTGCCTACTCAGAGGGTCCTATCTTATCTTAATCTAATTCATCTCTGAAATGTGCATGGGCATATTTCTTCTCTACCCACCTCTGACCAAAGGTTTCTACAAATGTGGACACAGCATTTGGAGTTTTAAAGATTCTTTACAGACTCTATATTTGGTTCACAGTAGTGGGAGAAAAGCCAACCAAGCATTGTTTAGTAGATGTAGGTATTTCTAGCTGTTTCTGTGTTTCCTATTGGAGAAACTGCTTTTTTCTTCTGAGGAGAGGGTAACTGAGGAGGTAAATGATTGCATTGTGTGCCTTTCGTGGGTCACAGTGGCTTGTTTTGTTAGGTGTATGGACAGGGCTTATGAGGCAGGTGATCTTCATGACTAGATGATTTAATTCTGTCTTTATCTCTTCTAATGGCGCAGCCTGATGACATAATTTTAAAATCTTAAAGGAATAAGCAAAATGTAGCGTGTTTTTAGGTGTTAAGTTAAACATTTATTGGCCTTTTGACTAGGTGGGGTTCAAAGTTGTTATCCAGTGGAGGAGCTCTAGAAAGTGAAATTTAAAGTGATTCTTACAGTCTTTGAATTTTTGACATGGGAAAGCTCTCTTAGTTATAGATTGGTAGACAGAGTAATTTATGCACTCAGCAAATGTTTATTGAATGATACACACATGGACTTGTTAAACATGCAGTTTTAATAGATTGAGAGTTTATGAAATAGTTATATTAAGCTGGACTTACGCCTACCCTTCAGTGTCTTCTTTTTTATTTTTTATTATCACAGACACAGAGACAATACAGACACACAGAGACAACACACAGAAATACAATAGACACACATGCACAGACACGTAAACATCCAGAAAACGCACACACACAGACAACACAGACACAGATACACACACACAAATTTACAGACAGCTCACACAGAGGCACAAAGACACAGAGATAACATACACAGCCACACACACAGACGCAGACCACACATACAGGAACAACACACACGTAGACACAGACACGTACAGAGACACACAGATACACAAATATACAAGCACACACAGACACATATACATCTTAAGTTCTGGGATACATGTGCAGAACGTGCAGGGTTGTAACATAGGTATACATGTGCCATGGTGGTTTGCTGCATCCATCAACCTGTTATCTACATTAGGGTATTTCTCCTAATGCTATCCCTCCCCTAGCCCCTGCAGTGTTTTCTTTTAGAATATGACTTGTTGGCATAGGGAGAAACAGATCAATGAAACAACATTTAGATATACAATAGGGATACACACTCAAGGAAGAGCTATTTAATAATGGAGCTGGAAAAATTGCTTATCTGTAGGGGAAAAAAGTAAACCATAACAAAATCAACTTCAGATGGATTAAGAAGTTAAATGTCAAAAGCACAAGTTTAAATCTTGTGGAAAAAAAAATTAATAAATACCTTTCTGACTTCTGGCTAGGGAAGGAGTTTTGTAAACAAGTTATAAAAAGCACTATCCATCAAAGAAAATAAAAGATTGATAATTGGGGGTTTTTTTTAATTGGTCCAGAGTCTCACACTGTCGCCCAGGCTGGAGTGCAGTGGCGCAATCTCGACTCACTGCAGACTCCGCCTGCTGGGTTCATATGATTCTCCTGCCTCAGCCTCCCAAGTAGCTGGGATTACAGGTGTGTGCCACAATGCCCGGCTAATTTTTGTATTTTTAGTAGAGATGAGGTTTCGCCATGTTGGTCAGGCTGGTCTCGAACTCCTGACCTCAGGTGATCCACCCACCTGGCCTCCCAAAGTGCTGGGATTACAGGCGTGAGGCACTGTGCCCAGCCTGATAAATTGGATTTTCTAAATGAAGAAAAAGACACCTTAAAGATAAAAACTGAAGAAATACATAACATTTATAACCTACAAAGAGTTAATATCAACAGAATATAAAGAACTGCAAGTGGGTAAGAAGGTGATAAGCAATCCAATAGAAACATGGCATAAGATATGAACAGGCATTGCGTAAAAAATGCACATTTCTTAATTTCTCTTAATTTCTTAATCAGGGAAGTGAAATCAAATACACGATGCAGTGCCATTTTATGCTCATTTTGTTGGCAAATTTCAAGAAGTGTGATAATACCAAGTTTTGGGAGGGATTTGGATCAGTAGGATCACTTTAGTTTGCTGGTTAAAAATGTAAATTGTTGCAACCACTTTGGAATACAGCTAGGCATCATTTTCTAAAGTGGGATATTTGCATACCTTACAACACTGTGGTTCTACTCCTAGGATATACCCATATATAAAATCTTGCAGGAGTCCAAGAAAACATGTAATAACAATCAGTGTAAATACAGTAAACAAAAAACAACTGAAATGTCTTTTTTTTTTTTCTTTTGAGACGGAGTCTCGCTCTGTCGCCCAGGCTGGAGTGCAGTGGCGCGATCTTGGCTCACTGCAAGCTCCGCCTCCGAGGTTCATGACATTCTCCTGCCTCAGCCTTCCAAGTAGCTGGGACTATAGGCACCCGCCACCACGCCCGGCTAATTTTTTTGCATTTTTAGTAGAGACAGGGTTTCACCATGTTGGCTAGGATGGTCTCTATCTCCTGACCTTGTGATGCGCCCGCCTCGGCCTCCCAAAGTGCTGGGATTACAGGTGTGAGCCACTGTGCCCGGCCCAAATGTCTTTTTTTTTTTGAGATGGAGTTTCACTGTTGTTGCCCAAGCTGTAGTGCAATGGCATGATCTCGGCTCCCTGCAACCTCTGCCTCCCAGGTTCAAGCGATTCTCCTGCCTCAGCTTCCCTAGTAGCTGGGATTACAGGGGTGAGCCACGGCGCCCGGCCTCAAATGTCTTTTAACAGGAAAACTGATCAATATATTATGTTATATTCATATTGGTGGAATATTATAGAAGAGTGAAAATGAATGAAGTATGGCTACACACAACAAAATGGTTGAATCTCAACCTAATGTTGATTGAAGTTACTACCAAAAGACTGCTTATGGAATGATAATCCTTGTATAAAATTTAAAAACCTGGCTGGGTGTGGTGGCTCACACCTGATCCCACCCAGTATTTTGGGAGGCTGAGGTGGGAGGATTGCTTGAGGCCAGGAGTTCAAGACCAGCCTGGGCAACACAGCGACACTCTGTCTCAACAACAACAATTAGCCAGGTGTGATGTTGTGTGCCTATAGTCCAAGCTACTTGGCAGCCCAGGAAGTCAAGGCTGCAGTGAGCCATGACTGTGCCACTGCACTCCAGACTGGGCAATAGAGCAAAACTCTGTCTCAAAAAAAAAAAAAAAGTTAAAAACCTGTATGAAATTTAAAAATATGTAAAAATTTAAAGGCATACATACATATATATAATAAATGTTGATTAACATTTATTATGTACTATGTGCCTGGCACTGTGCTAAATCCTTGACATTTATTGTTATATAATCCTCAAAACAAGTCTATGACATTGGTAATATTGTTATCTCTGTTACGTGAATGGAACAGAAGCACCCTTAAGCATTTAATAATGTGCTGCAATGAAGGCAATGTTGTCTTGGCTAGAACAGATTCATGAGTATAAGATAAATATACAAATATGAAAGGCTTCTGTAATTTATACCTGCAAGAACATTCCAACAGGGACAAGAACTACAAAGTATTTAAATATATATGTACACACACATTTTTATTGACACATAATTATACATATTTACAGGGTATGGTATATTTCAGTACATGTATGTAATGATCAAATGGGGGTGTATGTAATGATCAAATGGTAATTAGCATATCCATCATCTCAAACCTTTTTTATTTATTTATATTGGTAACATTCAGAATCCTCTTTTCTAGCTACTTGAAAAAATACAACAAATGTTTGTTGAGTGTAGTCACCCTACAGTGCTATAGAAGACTGCAATCCTCCTGTCTAGCCATAATTTTGTATTGGATAATCAGTCTCTTTCTATTCCTCCTCCTTGCCACCCTTCCCAGTCTCTGGTAACCACTCTTCTATTCTCTACTTCAGTGAGATCAACATATTTAGCTCCCACATACAAGTGAGAACATGTGGTATTTATCTTTCTGTGCCTAGCTTATTTCACTTAACATAATATGCTCCAGGCTCATCCATATTGCCATGAATGACAGGATTTCATTCATTTTTATGGTGGAATAGTATACCATTGTTAAACTACAAAGTATTTAAATTAAATGTACAAGACCGCTAAAGAGGAGAAGAGTAGATGGTTAAGAGCTTAAGCATATGACTGAAGTCAGGGTAGCTGAGTTCAAGTCCCAGCTGTACTAGTTAATAGCTGTGTGACTTTTGGCATGTTACTTAACCTCTCTGTGTCAGTTTTTGTCTGTAAAATAGGGATAGCTAGATACTGCTGCATTACTGTGGGGGTTTTTTGTTAGTTTGTTTTTTGAGAGGGAGTCTCACTCTCTTGCCCAGGCTGGAGTGCAGTGGCACAATCTCAGCTTACTGTAACCTCTGCCTCCTGGGTTCAAGCAATTGTTCTGCCTCAGCCTCCCGAGTAGCTGGGATTACAGGTGCCCATCACCACACCTGGCTACTTTTTGTACTTTTAGCAGAGATGGGGTTTCACCATGTTGGCCAGTCTGGTCTCAAACCTCTGACCTCAGGTGATCTGCCTCAGCCTCCCAAAGTGCTGGGATTACAGGCATGAACCACTGCTCCTGGCCCCTAAATTGTTTGTTAATCCAGATTATCTACCCCATCAGCAGTGTGTGAGCACTATCTCTTTACATTCTCTCAGAAGCAATTTTAAATCCAGAAGGAAGCACAGAAAGAACAAAGATCAGCCACTAAACCTTACAAATTAAGACTGAGGCTCAGAAAGAGAGAATGGTATATCCAGGGTCATAGAGGGAGATCATAACAGAGTCAAATCTGGAACCTAGACTTTTTGAACTCACTCCTAGGGTTCTTTTCACTGAGTATAGAATTCACAAATTCACCAGGAATTTATTTTTTATTTTTTGAGACAGAGTCTCACTCTGTTGCCCAGGCTGGAGTGCAGTGGTGTGATCATGGCTCACTGCAGCCTCAGCTTCTTGGGCTCAGGTGATCCCTCCTACCTCAGCCTCTCAAGTAGCTGGGACTGTAGGTGCATGCCACCATCCCTGGCTAATTTTTGCATTTTTTTGTAGAGACTGGGTTTCTCCATGTTGCCCAGACCAGTCTGGGCAACAGTCTGGGTTCAAGTGATCCGCCCATCTCAGCCTCCCAGAGTGTTGGCATTGCAGATGTGAGCCACTGCGCCTGGCCTTTACCAAACATTTAATGAGTGTTTACCATGTGTGAGACTTTTGTGTTTGATGCTAAACATCTATGACATTATAAAATCTTCACCACTCTAACATACATTGTTTATCTCTTTATCTCCATTTTACAGCTAAGGAAATAGAATCAGAAAGGTTAAGTAACTTTCCTAAGGTCACACAACGAGAATGTGGCAGGGTAATATTGGAACTCAAGTCTGTCTTATTTCTGAGCCCTATCTTCCTTATACCATATCTCAAATATAGCCATTTCAGGTGTTTTGTTTTTGCCCTCTTGTTCACTAACCTTTCTAAAACTTCTTCCTGTAATGCTCTGGAGTTATTCATACTCCTCATCCTGTTTTGACTTCCAGGCTAACCTCTGCTTTGTGGACATTGACAACCACTTCATTGAGTTGCCAGAGGACTTGCCACAGTTCCCCAACAAATTGGAGTTTGTCCAGGAAGTCTCTGAGATTCTCATGGCATTTGGAATTCCCCCTGAAGGGAATCTTCATTGCAGTGAGAGTGCCTCCAAGCTGAAGAGGCTGCGGGCCTCTGAGCTTGTCTCGGACAAGAGGAATGGGAACATTGCTGGCTCCCCTTTGCATTCCTACGAGCTTCTTAAGGAGAATGAAACTATTGCCCGGCTGCAAGCCTTGGTCAAGAGAACTGGGGTGAGCCTGGAAAAGGTAAGATGTGTATATGAGTCTGTGACACGTGTGATCTGTGCTAGGGTGCTGTCCTGGTGAAGTAAGGTATGGGATGAGAAAGCACCCAGTTCTGGACAACTCATATTTGTGAGCAGTGAAAGAATGTTCTGTATGGGGGACTCTGAATTCCATCTGGCAGATGTTATCCTAGTAAATGCTACTTTAATCTAAATCTGAGTAGCTTCCGCTTTGAACATCAGGGAGAGTCTGCCATCATTCTATGTGAACACTACAGCACAGTGATTGGAGAGACCATGATAGTAATCTTAGTGTTCAGACCTCTTTTATTTTTTGAGAGAGGTTCTTACTCTGTCACTCAGGCTGGAGTGTGGTGGCACGGTCACGGCTCACTGCAGCCTCAATCTCCTGGGCTCAGGTGATCCTTCTGCCTCAGCCTCTCAAGTAGCTGGGACCACAGGTGCATGCCACCACACCCAATTATTATTATTTTTTTTTTGTAGAGGCAGGGTCTCACTATGTTGCTCAGCTAGTCTCAAACTTCCGGGCTCAAGCAGTCCTCCAGCCTTGCCTCCCAAAGTGGTGGGATTATAAGTGTGAGCCACCGTGCCAGGCCCAGATCTCTTTTAGATCCATTGCCCTTTGAGTTTCACAGCAACCTAAGGCAGATAGAACAGGTTTTATAGCCAAAGAAACCAAGGCTTAGAGAGCCTAAGTGTTTTGCCCAAGATTAAATGCCTAATATGTAGCTGAGCTGAGCCTAGAATCTAGTCCTCTTGAATTCTCACTGTTAAATTACTTTCGTAAGTTACTTATAAACCAATGGGCCAATGTAATAATCTTGTTGGGCTGTTTTTTAGTGAAATATTTCATTTTTTCTGCTTTAGTGGAGCAGATTTTTTTTTTGCTTAGTAGACTAGATATTTTTCAAAAATCATGGGCAGTTAAAGAGGAACAGAAATATTTGGTGAGATTAAAAAGGTGTTTTGGGCTGGATGCGGTGGCTCACGCCTGTAATCCCAGCACTTTGGGAGGCTGAGGTGGGAGGATCACCAGAGGTTGGGAGTTCGAGACCAGTCTGACCAACATGGAGACACCCCGTCTCTACTGAAAATACAAAATTAGCCGGGCGTGGTGGCGCATGCCTGTAATCCCAGCTACTGGGGAGGGTGAGGTAGGAGAATCACTTGAACCTGGGAGGCAGAGGTTGCGGTGAGCCGAGATGGCGCCATTGCACTCCAGCCTGGGCAACAAGAGCGAAACTCTGTCTCAAAAAAAAAAAAAAAAGGTTTTTTTGCAGAAAGAAGGAAAGTGATATGAGGGAAAAAATAAAAAATCAAGAGAGCCAGAATTTAACCTTGTTGGTTTGTTAAATTGACCTCCCACATTCCTTCCTTTCTCCCTGACCTTTGAGATAATTAGCACCTTTTCTTTCATGGCAGAATCTCTCTCTGCCCATAAAGATCTTATCTCCACTTTCATTGAGTTGTTGGATATCTTTAAGTGAAACTCTTTGACTTTTCTCTCCTCTGTGTCTGAGTCCCTTTCCTTTTATTTATTTATTTTTTCCAGTTTTTCCTCTTTTGTTCTCATCATTTCCTGCTAAGTAAATTAGCACTGTAAAAAAAAATCAGATAAAAAAATCAGGAATTGCATTCCTTGGGTTAAAAGGAAAAAGTGTATGTGTTCTCAACTGCTTTTTCTTTTTTTGTAGTTGGAAGTGCGTGAAGACCCCAGCAGCAATAAGGATCTCAAAGTTCAGTGTGATGAAGAAGAACTCAGGATTTACCAGCTAAACATTCAGATCCGGGAAGTTTTTGCAAATCGTTTCACTCAGATGTTTGCAGATTATGAGGTGTTTGTCATCCAACCCAGCCAGGATAAGGAATCCTGGTTTACCAACAGGGAGCAAATGCAAAACTTTGATAAAGTGAGTGTAATCCTGCTTGGGAGGTGGTGAGGAATGAGAACTTGCCAGTTATGTCTTGAAGAAGTAATGGAAAATTACTCGAAGAAGTAATGGAAGATTATCATATGCTGGAAACAAGTTTATGGTCCATTTGATGTTGATAAAATAGGTCTTGTTGCTTATGAATAGATGTGCTGATTATTATTATCAGACGATTTACCTTCAGCCAAAGGGATCTCTTAAGGCAAAGATAGACATGTAGAGTGAACATCAGGATTCTGGGAAGATTGGTTGACTCAGTAGGTTACCCAAGTGAGTTTGTTCCAGTGTCAAAGTTTCAAGATACCTGAACTTACATGAGTGGGTTTTTTTTTTTTTAATGTAGAGATTTTGCAGCTTGGTATTCTTAAAGACCTAGGCAGCCTCAGAGAATAATTAACCTACTGGATCCCTTGGGCACATTGACATTACCCTTTTCCCTGTCAATTACTGCTTCTTTTTGGTCCCACCAGGCATCTTTTCTGTCAGATCAGCCTGAGCCCTACCTGCCCTTCCTCTCAAGATTCCTGGAGACCCAGATGTTTGCATCTTTCATTGACAACAAAATAATGTGTCATGATGATGATGATAAAGACCCTGTACTCCGGGTATTTGATTCCCGAGTTGACAAGATCAGGCTGTTGAATGTTCGGACACCTACTCTCCGTACATCCATGTACCAGAAGTGTACCACTGTGGATGAAGCAGGTAAGGCCTCCTTGGAAATGTACATTCAGGCCTCTTGGATTATGGCATTAACATGTCCCTTTTCCTAAATATGCCAGCCTCTTTATCTGTTTCTGCCTTTGTGTATGTGGTTCCCATTGCCTGCAGTCTTCTTCCTTGTTTTCTTTTTGCCTGGTTATCTTCTTCTCATCCTTTAACACTGTTAGTTAGGAATGGATCTCATTGTATGTAGTAGAGACCCTAATCAGCAGTGGGTTAAACAAATAGGGGGTTCTTTTTCTTATATTAGCAAGAAGTACACAATTGGTGGTTGCTGGGGTTGGCTCAGCTGCTCAACCATGTAAACAAGAACTGAGATTCTGTCTTTTTATTCAGTGAATCCTTGTTGTTGGCTTTTATGGTCATACTGTTGCCTCATTTTTTTTTTTTTTAAATGATGTCAATGAAAGCCTCATGGTTACAGAAGCTCTTTCTTTTCTGCCCTTTTTTCTGCCTGTGTGACAGGGTCTCTCTCTGTCACCCAGGCTAAAATGCAGTGGTGTGAACATAGCTCACTGCAGCTTTTGAACTCTTGGGCTCAAGTGATTCTCTTGCCTCAGCCTCCCAAGCAACTGGGACTACAGGCATGTGCTCCCATGCCTGGCTAATTAAAAAATTTTTTTTTTTTGTGGAGACAAGGTTTTGCTATGCTCCGTCTGGTCTTCAATTTTTGCGTTCAAGTGATCCTCCTGTCTTGGCCTCCCAAAGTGTTGGCATTACGCGCATGAACCACCACACCCAGCTCCAGCCCCAGAAGCTTTTCATATTCACATTCGAGGCAAGAAGAGGGGAAGGTTGATGCCGGCTATATTCACCATTCCACCTTTTTTTTTTTTCTTTCTTTCTTTTTTTTTTTTTTCGAGACAGGGTCTCACTCAGTTGCCTAGGCTGGAGGGTAGTGGTGCGATTATGGCTCGCCACAGCCTTGACTTCCTAGGCTCAAGCAATTCTCTCACCTCAGTCTCCCGTGTAGCTAGGACTGCAGGCACATACCACCATACCTGGCTAATTTTTTATATTTTTTAGAGACAGAGTCTCGCCATGTTGCCCAGGCTGGCCTCGAACTCTTGGGCTCAAGCAGTTCTCCCACCTCTGCATTCCAAAGTGCTAGGATTATAGGCGTTAGCCACTGTGCCCAGCCTATTTTTCCCACTTTTATCAGAAAGGAAAAGCTTTCCCAGAAATTTCTAACAACTTTCATTGTCTCATAGGCCAAAATCATATTATATGATCAACCTCAAGTGCATGGGAAGCTGTGAAAGTGAACATTGAACTGGGTATAATGTTACCCTGAACAGTATGAAGGTCTATGAGCAAGAAAGAAGGGGTGAATGAATTATGAGTAAGCAGTTGATGGTATTTGCCACACAAACCTAGCAGATACATTTCCTTCTCTATGAAACCTTCTCTGATGCCCCCAGACTGAGTCAGTTGATTCTTCTTCTCTGTTCCTGTGGTGCTTTGTGCATGCTTTTACTCAATAATCTCTACTTTTTCTAGCTATCATTATTGGGGAACAGCTTAAGGACAGAGATTGTATTTACTCATTTTCTTACCCCCATTCTTCTGGCATTGTACCCAGCATGTAGGGATGTTATAATCTACACAAATGATTGAACATGTCCTTTTGTTCAGAGGACTCATCTACATTAGTTTAGCTAGAGAATGGTTTCAGCTTGAAGTACTAGATTAAGTAGTGTGTTCACTTCCTGCAGGATGTTCAGTGTCCTTGTTAAGGCATTTTTGTATATTTTGGTCACTCATTTGCTGCATTTTATAACTACCTACCAGATGCCAAATGTATGGCAAGTCTTCAAGAAATATTTGCCAGATGAATGAATTTGCCAGGCTTGTTTCTAGGCTTTGAAGATATAACTGCTGACAGTTTAGACAAAGTCTTGCATTTTCTAGTTCAAAGTCTTACATTTTCTAGTTCAGGAACCTATGTTCTAACTGAGTTAAAGTAGTCTAATTGCATGGACAACTTGTCCTCAAGCCTTTGCCAAAAGGACTTTGCCAAAAGGTCATCTTAATGAGGGTCCTGGAACAGGAATGAAAGGTAAAGAGAGAAGACTAGAAAATGTAAGGGAGACGTGATTTTGATTTGTGTGTGCCTAATTGTCTTTTTGAGAACAAAATCTTTTATTTTGATGAGGCCCAATTTATCAGTTGGATTATACTTTTATTGTATCTAAGACACTTTTGCCCTACCAAGGTCACATAGAGATTTTACCCTATATTTCCCTGTAGAAGTTTTATAGTTTTAGGTTTTACGTTCAAGTCTCTGATCCATTTCAAGTTAATTTTGTAAGTAGTATAAGTTATGCGTCCATTTTTTTTTCATATAGATATTCATCTGTTGAAAAGACCATCCTTTCTCTAATGAATTGCCTTTTTGCTTTTGTCAAAATGTTATTAGTCTGTATATGTGTTCGTCTACTTCTGGATTCTCTGTTCTGTTTCATTGATCTGTTGGTCTACATTTATACCAATACCACACTGTCTTGATTACTGTAGCTTACATTAAATGATTACTGTAGCTTATATTAAATCTTGAAATCAAGTAGTGTTAATCTTGTAACTTTGTTCTTTTCAAAGTTGTTTTGGCTATTCTGGGTTCTTTGTATTTCCATACATATTTAGAGTCAACTTGCCAACTTCTGCAAAGAAACCTTTCAAGATTTTGATTGATATTTGACATCCTAACAGTACCGAGTCTTCTGATCCATTAACATGGCATATCTTTCCATTTATTTAGGTCATCTTTAATTTTTCTCAACAGCATTATGTACTTTTCAGGGTACAGGTTTTATATGTCTTATCAGATTTTTCCCTAAGTAGTTCATATTTTTTGGTGTTATTTTAAATTGTTTTGTGTTATATAAATTTGGTGCTATTTTATTGCTTTCTTAATTTTAATTTCTAATTGTTCATTGCTAGTATATAGAACTATAATAGCATTTTGTATGTTTATATTGTGTCCTGCAACCATACTAAACTAACTTTTAATAGCTTTTTTGTACATCCATCAGATTTTCTACATAGACAGTCATATTACCTGTGAATAATGATAGTTTTACTTTTCCTTTCCACCACCCTGGATACCTTTTATTTCTTTTCCTTTTCTTTTTCTTCTTCTTCTTATTTATTTATTTTTTTTCTGTATTACACTGGCTTGAACCTCTAGTACGAAGTCAAATAGAAGTGGTGAGAGTGGGCATCTTATTCCTTTGTTTTTCATAGATAACCTTTAGCAGTTAAGGATCTTACTAGTTTGTTCAGCGTTTTTATCTGAGGTGGATGTTGAATTTTGTCAAATGCTTTTTCTGTATCTATCAAGGTAATTATATGGTTTTTAGCTTTAGTTTGTTAATATGGTGAATTATATTGATTTTTTTTGTTGTTGTTTTAATGTTGATGGGGTCTCGCTCTGTTGCTCAGGCTAGAGTGCAGTGGTGTGGCCGTGGTTTTCTGTAACTTTGAACTAGTGGGCTGAAGGGATCCTCTCGTCTTAGCTTCTCAAGTAGCTAGGACAGTAGATGTGTGCCGCCATGCCTGGCTAATTTTTAATTTTTTTTTCTAAAAAAAAAAAAAAAAGAAATAACCTTCTTTATTCAGAGTAATATTCTTTACTGTGAAATCTGTTTTGTCTGATATTAATAACTACTCCAGCTTTCTTTTGACTAGTGCTAACAGGGCATATCTTTGTCATTATTTTACTTTTAATCTATTTGTGTCTTTATATTTAAAGGGTATTTATTGTAGGCAGCATGTAATTGGGTTTTGCATTTTTATCCAATTTGACAGTTTCCGGTTTTTAACTGAGGTCTTCAGACCATGTACATTTAATATGATTATTGATATTGCTGGGTTTAAGCCTGTCATTTTGCTGTTTGTTTTCTATTTGTCCCATCTGTTCTTTGTTCCCTTTTCTTCTTTTTCTGCCCTCTTGTGTACTAATTGAATATTTTCAATTTTTTTTTCTTTTTTTTTTTTTTTTTTTTTTTTTTTGAGACGGAGTCTTGCTCTATCGCCCAGGCTGGAGTGCAGTGGCGAGATCTAGGCTCACTGCAACTTCTGCCTTCCGGGTTCACGCCATTCTCCTGCCTCAGCCTCCCGAGTAGCTGGGACTACAGGCGCTCGCCACTGCGCAGCCCAGCTAATTTTTTGTATTTTTAGTAGAGACGGGGTTTCACCGTGGTCTTGATCTCTTGATCTCCTGACCTCGTGATCCGCCCGCCTCGGCCTCCCAAAGTGCTGGGATTACAGGCGTGAGCCACTGCACCCGGCCTTTCAATTTTTTTTATGATTTCATTTTATCTACTTTGTTGGTTTACTAGCTATAACTTGTGTTATTTTAGCAGTTGCTTTAGGATTTATAGTACACATTTAACTTATCACAGTCTACTTTTAGGTGATACAATATCACTTTCCACATAGTATAAGAACTGTACAGAACTGCCAGGCACAGTCATGTGCACCCATACTCCCAGCTGTTTGGTAAGCTGAAGGGGGAGGGTTGCCTGAGCCCAGGAGTTTGAGTCCAACTTGGATCACATGATGAGACCCTGTCTCTAAACAACAACAAAAAGAACTTCACAAAACTCTATTTCCATTTCTCTCTTCCTAGCCGACGTGCTATTGTCATCTATTTTACTTTTACATATGTCATAAACCTAACACTACATGGTCATTTTTGTTTAAACAGTCAATTACCTTTTAAAGGGATTTGAATAATAAGTACAAAATCTAATACATTAACTGTGTAGTTAGCATTTCTGGTGCTCTTCTTTCTTTTCTGTAGATCCATACTTCCATCTGGCATTATTTTCCTACTGCCAGAAGGACTTCCTTTAACATTTCTTGTAGTGTAGATCTGCTGGTGATGAATTCTTTCAGCTTTTGTAATTCTTTTGTCTTTGAAAGGTATTTTCCCTGAGTATAGGTTAATAGCTTTTTCCTTTCAGTACTCTAAAGATGTTGCTCCAGGCCAGGCGCGGTGGCTCACTCCTGTAATCCCAGCACTTTGGGAGTCTGAGGTGGGCAGAACACTTGAGGTCAGGAGTTTGAGACCAGCCTGGCCAACATGGTGAAACCCCGTTGCTACTAAACATATAAAAAAAAAAAAAAATTAGCCAGGCATGATAGTACGTGCTTGTAGTCCAAGCTACTCAGGAGGCTGAGGCACAAGAATTGCTTGAACCCGGAAGGTGGAGGTTGTAGTGAGCCAAGATCACACCACAGCACTCTAGCCCGGGCGACAGAATGAGACCCTGTCTCAAAAAAATAAAAATAAAAAAAAGATGTCGCTCCTCTGTCTTCTCACTTTATAATTAGTTTATTCTCATGCTGCTATGAAGAAATACCCAAGACTGGGTAATTTGTAAAGGAAAGAGGTTTAATTGACTCAGTTCCGCATGGCTGGGAATGCCTCAAGAAACTTACAAGCATGGTGGAAGGCACCTCTTCACAGCACAGCAGGAGAGAGAATGAGTACCAGGAGGGCAAATGCCAGATGCTTATGAAACCATCACATCTATGAGAACTCACTCACTATCGCGAGAATAGCATGAGGGAAACCGCCCCTGTGATTCAGTTACCTCCCACTGGGTCCCTCCCACCACACATGGGGATTATTACAGTTCAAGTTGAGATTTGGGTGCGGACATGGAGCCAAACCATATTACACTTCCATTGTTTTCTGATAAGAAATCTGCTGTCATCCTTAATTTTGATCTTCTCTATATACAAAATGTCTACTTTCTCTACCAGATTTTAAGATTTTCTTTTTATCACTGATTTTGAGCAATTTGATTATGATGTGGCTTGGTGTAGTTTCCTTCATGATTCTTGTGCTTGCAGCTCATTGTGCTTTTTAGATCTGTGGATTTTTTGTTTACGTCAAATTTGTAAAAATTCTGGCCAGTATTTCTTCTAGTAATTTTTCTGTTCTCCCCATCCCTACCTTAGGGACTGCAGTTACACATACATGTAATATCTGGGATTGCGTAGTTATCCCAGAACCGCTGATACTCTTTTAATGGCAACAGTTTTTTCTCTCTCTCTGTGGCTTCTTTGGGATCATTTCTCTTGCTATGGCTTCAAGCTCACTTATTTTTTCTCCTGCATTGTTGAGTGTGCTTTTAACCCAGCCCGTGTATTTTTCATCTCAGATATTACAGCTTTCATCTTCAGAAGTTTGAGTTCCATGTTTCTAGTTTTTTGTTGTTGATGTTGTTTGTTTGTTTGTTTTTAAGAGGTTCTGCTTTGTTGCCCAGGCTGGAGTGCGGTAGTGTAATTATAGCTCACCATAACCTTAAACTCCTGGGCTCAAGTGATCTTCTGGCCTTGGCCTCCTGAATAGCTAGGAATAAAGGTGTATGCCACCATGTCTGGCTCATTTTTTTTTTTTTTTTGAAGAGATGAGGTCTCACTATGTTGCCCAGGCTGGTCTTGAAGTCCTGGCCTTAAATGATACCCTCACTTTGGCCTCCCAGAGTGCTGGGATTACAGGCGTAAGCTATCAGGCCCTGGTAATCTTTGATTAGATGCCAGACACTGTGAATTTTACTATTTGAGTCCTGGACACTTCCATATTCCTATAAATATTCTCAGTCTTTGTTCTGGGATGTAGTTAAGTTACTTAGAAATAATTTGATTTCTTTGTGCTTTCCTCTGGCAGGACCAGAGCATCCTTTAGGCTGTGATTAATTATCTACTACTGAGGCAAGACCCTCTGAGTACTTTACTCAGTGCCCCATGAGTGATTAGGTTTTCTAGTCTGGCAGGTGGGGACAGGCATTATTCCCAGCCCTGTGTGAGCATTTTGTATTGTTTCTCCTAATCCTTTCCGGTGATTCTTTCTCCAGCCTTGAGTAGTTTCTTTACTTGCGTGAACTGACCCATTACCCTGCTGAATGCCCTGCAGATCCCCTGGATTCTCTCTCTTCTCTGGTACTGTTCATATGAACTCTAGCCACCTTGGTCTCCTTAACTCAGGGAGTCCACCAGTCTCTGCCTAGAACTCCCCTCCCTGTGCCACAGCCTGGAAGCTTTCTCTAAGCAGTTAGCTGGGATAGTTCTAGGGGTTACCTCATTTGTTACCTGTTTCTCAGGGTCCTGCCCTTCATTGCCTGATGTCCAGTATTCTGAAGTTTATCATTTTATATTATTTTGCATGGGTTTTTTCCTATTAGGCAGGAAAATCAGTCCCTTTTACTCTATCTTGGCTGGAAATGGAAGAGTAGCTAGATTCTTAAAGAATGTTTGACTTGATTTATTTGTGTGTGTATTTATGTGTGTGTGTGTGTGTGTGTGTGTGTGTATTCTCATCCAGAGAAAGCAATTGAGCTGCGTCTGGCAAAAATTGACCATACTGCAATTCACCCACATTTACTTGACATGAAGATTGGACAAGGGAAATATGAGCCGGGCTTCTTCCCTAAGCTGCAGTCTGATGTACTTTCCACTGGGCCAGCCAGCAACAAGTGAGTCAACCCCAGGGATTCACTAATCCAACTCCCTAGCTGTAATAGGGTCATCTAGTATCTGGGCTAGGGCTGTTACCCCTAGAAGACCTTGTACTTTTCTAAAGCAGATATGGAGAAGACCCAGACTATCTAGGTGGTTTGCTTATTTGAACAAGAAAGTATGTGACAGAATATCTTTCAGTTCTGCCTCCACTATGCAGATTGGGATAGCTCCATATGTCTAGGACCTGCAAAAAGCTGCAGATGGGTTAAAATCATCTCATGCCTGGATCCCATTCAACAGCAAGCTAGCATTGTATTTAATAAATGGCAGTTGAAATAATCAGAACCTGAACTGAAAAGTAGGTAAGTTAGCAGAATTACTCATTAGTTACTTTTGAAGATGACTGTATCAAAGCCCAGATAGAGTTAAGTGAATATAGTTTTAGATCTATATGTCAAGTGTTTGTAGATGTTTCAAGAGAGACATGTTCCATGAGGAGGTGTCTCTCTCATGTCCAGTCACTCATCTTTAATCTGCTCTTCCTCAAGGTCTCTGAGCTGTCTCTGGTGACATCTAGGTCATTTCCTGTGTCCAGCATTGACTCGTAGTCATTCATGTTTTCTCCTGTTAGTTGACATTGCTTTTTAAGTGAGACATTATTAATTGCCTGCTTTGGTTCTGATTGTGTTAGGTGGACGAAAAGGAATGCCCCTGCCCAGTGGAGGCGGAAAGATCGGCAGAAGCAGCACACAGAACACCTGCGTTTAGATAATGACCAGAGGGAGGTAAGATACCTTAAGAATGATAAGGATGACCTTGCTATCATGCTGTGCACTCCTTCTCTTTCTCATTTCCTGTTCTCTGGTCTGATTCAAACGTCTCAGCAATGACCTCACCCCATAAAGAAGGGTTAATAATAGGTCTAGTTCCTGATATCTAATGCTGGGCCTGGGTTATCACAAATCAGAATGTGGGATGTTTTGCAAATTCCAGCTAGCTACTAACCGATTGTAATTTCTCATGCATGATGCTCCCTGAGGAGTTCAATAGGAACCTCAGAAGTTAAGAGTCTGAAACTTGGGAGAAATCCTTTAAAAATTGGTGTGAGTTTTGTGTGTGTGTGTGTGTGTGTGTGTGTGTGTGTGCGTGTGTATATAGGAAAAAAGTTAATTTTTTTTAATTCTTTTTTTGTTTGAGACAGAGTCTCGCTTTTATCGCCCAGGCTGGAGTGCAGTGGAGCGATCTCGGCTCACTGCAGCCTCCATCTCCTGGGTTCAAGCAATTCCCCTGCCTCAGCCTCTTGAGTAGCTGGAATTACAGGCACCACCTCAACGCGCAGATAATTTCTGTATTTTTAGTAGAGACGGGGTTTCACCACGTTGGCCAGGCTGGTCTCAAACACCTGACCTCAGGTAATCCGCCTGCCTCATCCCCGCAAAGTGCTGGGATTATAGGTGTGAGCTACTGCGCCCAGCCCAGAAAGAAGTTAATTTTGTTAGAGTTTTTTTCCTACTGTTTCTTACCTTAAATTGAAACAGATAATCTTGACTTTTTTTTTCTTCTTCTTCTTTAAAAGACTAAAGGAGAGGAACATTATTATCAGGTACCTGGAAACCCAAGATTCTTGAATTTACCTCCTGAATCTTCATTGCTTGTAAGCTGAGTTTCTCAGCTCTACTGTAACTTGCTTCTTAAGTTTCTAGTTATAAACTTCAGGTTGTAGACCCTGCCTTACTTAGTTGCAAAGAAGTTGTGAAAATGAGTGTTAACTTCAGAAGCCTATTTCAGTAACTTATCTTTGAGAAAAGACCCTGTAATTTTCATCTTGCACAGAGAGAACCCAAGAAGGCATACTGTTTTCATGTGTCTGGCAGCTCAGTGAATTGGAAAATAAATAACATATTCTCCCTTTGCTATGTTTTTAATGAATAAATTAAAATTGTAAGATATGGTTATGAATCTTCAACTGCTGATTTATAGGATACAGTTGCACTGGGATTTTTTTTTTTGTGAGAGTAGCATAAGAAATTTTGGTTATTTGTGTTATTTTAAAAGTCTGTCTTCCACCTAACCTCCTCATTACTATTTTCAGCAGTGTTTATTGACCACATTTTCTTGGTCAGAATCACTGAGTGTATTAGTCTGTTTTCATGTTGCTGATAAAGGACATACACAAGACTGGGCAATTTACAAAAGAAAGATTTAATGGACTCACAGTTCCACATGGCTGGGGAGGCTTCACAATCATGGTGGACAGCAAGGAGGGAGCAAGTCACGTCTTAACGTGGATGGCAGTGGGCAAAGAGAGAGCTTGTGCAGGGAAATTCCCCCTTATAAAACCATCAGATCTCATGAGACTTATGCACTATCACGAGAACAGCTCAGGAAAGATCTACCCCCGTGACTCAGTTACCTCCCACTGGGTCCCTCCCACAACATGTGGGAATTGTAGGAGCTACAATTCAAGATGAGATTTGGATGGGGTCACAGCCAAACCATATCACTGAGGTATCAAGGAATTCTTTGCTAAAGACAAAAAAAAAAAAAATCACTGAGGTTAACACTTTGAAATACAAAGGTGACAAAAGAGGTTAGTCTTGTCCTCAGGGAATACCAGTTGATATAAGGGAGCAAAATCAGATAGAAAGATAACTTCAAGAGAATAAGCTTTTGAAATGACCATATGAGGAGCAAACCAATGTTTGATTACTGATTAGAGAAAGCAGAGGTTACTTCTACTTGGGGTCATCATCAAACAAGATGATTTGGAAGAGGAGCAAGCATCTCTTTAAGCCTTAGAGAATGATGGGATTGTTAGAAGAGCTTTTATTTTATTTTGAAATGGGGTCTTACTCTGTCACCCAGGTTGGAGTGCAATGGTGTAACCTTGGCTCACTGCAACCTCTGCCTCCAAGGCTCAGGTGATCCTCCCACCTCAGCCTCTCTAGTAGCTGGGACCACAGGCACACGCCACCATTCCTGGCTAATTGTTTGTTGTTGTTGTTTTGGTCTTTTTTGTATTTTTGGTAGAGACAGGGTTTCTTCATGTTGCCCAGGATGGTCTCAAACTTCTGAGCTCAAGTGATCCACTCGCCTCAGTGCTGGGATTACAGGCCAGAGTCACTGCTCCTGGCTGTTTTTCTTTTTCTTTTTTTTTTTTTTTTTAATCTTTCATCTCCCTGGAGCTATAAGAAGAGCATTTCAAGTAGAGGACATGGCAGGATCTAAAGTTTGGTGTGTAAATGTGTAAAGGAGGCTGTGGGCAGAATATTTTGGAGGAGGGTGGTATGGAGATAGCTAACAAGTTAGGAGACAGGTAACAGCAGTCCAAGTAATAGTAATTGGACCCTAACCTTGGGGGGTTGGTAGTAGAGATAGATTAAGGGGCCATAAGATAGAATGGACAGAGTTATGCCACTGGAATAAATATGGGGGAAGGGAGAAGTTTAGGGTAAAAATGTTGGTTATGAACCTACTGAGAGGATATCAGATTGCATTTTACTGCATTGATGTGGGTTCTGTGTTAAACAACATATGAAGAAGAATCACCAGCACATTATACAAAATAATTGCAGTTGTTGTTTTGAGTGTGCAATCTTATTTTCCAGGCCTTAATTTTATACTTTATGATAGAAAGGGTAGATATCTTTGATACGGGCAGAGGAGTTAAATTCTTCTCAGCTTGGTGGGGGAAATTATTTTCTCAGTGTTACTCAGAGATTTGAGATTTGCTGTAGTCATGTGTTTTTTGACTCTTGTATCTTTTTTTAATTTAATTTTTTAAATTTTTATTTATTTATTTATTTTTTGTGATGGAGTCTCGCTCTGTCGCCCAGGCTAGAGTGCAGTGGCGCGATCTCAGCTCACCACAACCTCCACCTCCCGGGTTCAAGCAATTCTCCTGCCTCAGCCTCCTGAGTAGCTGGGATTACAGGCATGCACCACCACACTTGGCTAATTTTTATATTTTTAGTAAAGATGGAGTTTCACTGTGTTGGCCAGGCTGGTCTTGAACTCCTGACCTTGTGATCCACCCACCTCAGCCTCCCAAAGTGCTGGGATTACAGGCGTGAGCCACTGCGCCTTGCCTGACTCTTGTATCTTTAAATCAAAGGTAATTATACCATTTGGGGAGTGCTTTACATCAGCTAAAACAGAAACCATCATCTCAGTTTTTCTCTTTAATACAAGAATTAAATTAAAAATTTTCTATTCCTAACTATCTGAGCCTAGAAAGAGGCAGCTAAGAAAGTGCGAGAAAATAAGCTGGGCACGGTGGCTCATGCCTGTAATCTCAGTACTTTGGGAGACTGAGGCAGATGGATCACCAGGTCAGGAGATAAAGACCATCCTGGCTAACATGGTGAAACCCCGTCTCTACTAAAATACAAAAAATTAGCCGGGCGTGGTGGCACATGCCTGTAGTCCCAGCCACTCAGGAGGCTGAGGCAGGAGGATTGCCTGAGCCTGGGAGGTGGAGGTTGCAGCGAGCTGAGATCACACCACTGCACTCCAGCCTGGCGACAGAGCAAGATTCGTCTCAAAAAAAAAAAGAAAAAGAAAAAAAAAGAAAATGTGAGAAAATAATGCCCTCTTCAGGCACCCACCAGTACTGCTGACCTTTGGTTTATGTACATGGACACAAAGGGTCTTTATTTTTCTGTTTGATATAGAAGTACATCCAGGAAGCCAGGACTATGGGCAGCACTATCCGCCAGCCCAAACTGTCCAACCTCTCTCCATCAGTGATTGCCCAGACCAATTGGAAGTTTGTAGAGGGCCTGCTGAAGGAATGCCGCAATAAGGTAAGCTGTGGACATCTCTGTATGTGTGCTATTTCTGTTAGCAGCCAAGGTAAGACCAAGGATTGGCTCTGACCACTCCCTCTGGATTTTAAAAATACTGTTGGCTGGGCGTGATGGCTCATGCCTGTAATCCCAACACTTTGGGAGACCATGGCAGGAGGATTGCTTGAGCCCAGGAGTTCAAGACCAACTTGGAGAACGTAGTGAGATCCTGTCTTTACAAAAGTATTAAGATGGGCATGGTGGCACACACCTGTAGTCCCAGATACTTGGGAGGTTGAAGTGGGAGGATTGCTTGAACCTGGGAAGTCAAGGCTACAGTGAGCTATGATGGCACCACTGCACTCCTGCCTGGGCAACAGAGCGAGACTCTGTCTTAAAAAAAAAATCGTTAATATAATGAGACAGTACTAATTTTAAGATCCTGTTAATTTGAAATTAGGTATATTTGTTTTAAATAAAATATACCATTAATTGAGAGCATGCATGCTTTGCTTGATAAAAACTTAATGTATACTCTATAAAAATGAACAACAAGCTGGGCGCAGTGGCTCACACCTGTAATCCCAGCACTTTGGGAGGCTGAGGCAGGCAGATCACGAGGTCAGGAGTTCAAGACCAGCCTGGCCAACATGGTAAAACCCCGTCTCTACTAAAGACACAAAAAATTTAGCCGGGCGTGGTGGCATGCACCTGTAATCCCAGCTACTTGGGAGACTGAGGCAGGAGAATCTCTTGAACCCGGGAGGCGGAGGTTGCAGTGAGCCGAGATCGCGCCATTGCACTCCAGCCTGGGCGACAGGGCAAGACTCCATCTCAAAACAAAAAAAAGAACAACAGAGAGATGTAGTTTTTAATTTAATAAAAAACTTTTTTAAAGACAGGATCTCACTATATTGCCCAGGCTCGCCTTGAAGTCCTGGGCTTAAGTGAACCTCCTACCTCAGCTTCCTGAGTAGCTGGGGTTACAGGCATAGTTTTAAATTTTTGACATTTTACAGTACTTTAAATCAGACTAGTCTTCACTCTAACTTACTTCAACAGATTAGTCTTATGTATTTGCAGATATTTTTTCCCCTTTATTTTTATCTGATAGCAATGATATCTTATATCTAGAAACAGAAATTTACTGGGTACCTACTATGTGCCAGGCTAAAATGTGTCATTCCGTTTAAGCTTAGATTGTTTGGGTGTTTTTCTCTGTTCTACAAAGACATTCATTCTTAATTTTTAATGTTTTAATTATGAATTTAAATGTCTTTTCTAATAAAAAGAATCTTTCAACCAAGGCAGCATACCATAATTTTAGGGCATTTCAACTAACTCAGTCTCTACTACATCCTATTTATTTATCAATGGAATAAAAATAGTCTCCTGCACTTTCAGTTCTAAGTGGTGCCCATTTGAAGTGATGTTCATTTATAGGAGGGAATAAAATATGCTGTCTCTTGCAGAATAAATTATTACTGTTTAAAGCTAGATTGGCAGGGCACAGCGGCTCATGCCTGTAATCCTGGCACTTTGGGAGATTGAGGTGGGTGAATCACTCGAGCCCAGAAGTTTGAGGCCAGGCTAAGCAACATGGCAAAACCTCATCTCTACTAAAAAAAAAAAAAAAAAAAAAAAAAAAAAAAAAAAAAATTAGGCGTGGTGGTGCACACCTTTAGTCCCAGCTACTTTGGTGGGCTGAGGTAGGAGGATCATTTGAGCCCTGGAGGTCAAGGCTGCAGAATGAGACCCTCTCTCAAAAAAAAAAAAAAAAAAAAAAAAAAAAAAAAACCTGATTAATATATCAGTACTGATATTTTAAATTTAGGTTAAAAAAAACTCTGGCCAGGCATTGTGGCCAGTGTGTGTGTGTGTTTGTGTAAAACTTCTGTCAGTTCACTCTGAGTAATTAATATCTGTGATTTTTTTTTCCATACAATTTTGTCTCTTCTGCCTTTCTACTATGAAGAACATTGGTGATGCTGCATTTCTGCATTTTTTTTTTCTAAGCTGCTGGACTGTCATTCTTTTTTTTTTTTTTTTTGAGATGGAGTCTCACTGTGTCACCCAGGCTGGAGTACAGTGACACAATCTCGGCTCACTGCAACCTCTGCCTCCCAGGTTCAAGCAATTCTCGTGCCTTAGCCTCCCGAGTGGCTGGGATTACAGGAGTGCACCACCATGCTTGGCTAATTTTTGTATTTTTAGTAGAGACAGGGTTTCATCATATTGACCAGGCTGGTATTGAACTCCTGACCTCAAGTGATCTGTCTGCCTCGGCCTCCAAAGTGCTGGGATTACAGGTTTGAGGCACTGCACAACTGGCCTGGACTGTCAAAATTCTTAAGTCATGAGATGCATGACCTGGCTGTGACAACTTCCTATTCCTAGCCAATGATGACTGTGAAATACATATCAATTTTAGACATGTTAATATGTGGGAAAATATACATCTAGAATTGAAGAAATATAGTAATCAATGTAACATCACAAAGTATTGGCTTGCACGTGAGGCAACAGGCTGTTGAAAGTATAAATTGGTATGATGATTTTGGAAAACAGCATAGTATTGTTTAGTAATTCTTCTCCTAGGTATATTCCCTAGAGAAACTTTTGGAGCATGTCCCAAGAGATATGTACAAGAAGTTTACAGCAGCATTCTTTTAATAGCCCCAAACTGGAAACAACCAATCAGTTGAGAAAGCCAATCAGTAAGAGAATTAATAAGTATATTGTGGTGTATTCATGTGGTGGAATGCTATACAACAATGGAAATGGATAACAGTTATACACATCAGTGTGGATGAATTTCACAAATATAAACGAGTGAAAAAGCAAATCAGAAGCCAGGAGTATCAGCACACACCTGTGATCCCAGCTACTTGGGAGGCTGAGGTGGGGGGATTGCTTGAGCCTGGGAGTTCGGTTCCAGCCAGGGCAACATGCTGAGACCCAGTTTCTTAAAGAAAAAAAAAAAAAAAAAATCACAAAAGAAACATGCATGCCTATAGTCCCAGCTACTGCGGGGGCTGAGGTGGGATGATCAGTTGAATCTGGGAAGCTGAGGCTACGTGAACCATGATCGAGCCACTGCACTCCAGTCTAGGCAACAGAGAGAGACCCTGTCTTAAAGATACATACAGGCAAACCAAACCATATATTTTAGGGTTAAAAATATAGGTAATAATTTTCTTGCTTTTCTGTAGTTTCGTTGGGTAAGTGGTCACTTCTAGAGTGGGAAGGTGAATGGAAGAGGGCACGTAGGGTGCTTCAAAGATATAAACAGACAGTATTTATAAATAAAATACTGGCCAGGCGCAGTGGCTCATGCCTGTAATCCCAGCACTTTGGGAGGCTGAGGTGGGCAGATCACTTGAGGTCGGGAGTTTGAGACCAGCCTGACCAACATGGAGAAACCCCATCTCTACTAAAAATACAAAATTAGCCAGGCGTGGTGGTGCATGCCTGTAATCCCAGCTACTCGGGAGGCTGAGGCTGGAGAATTTGCTTGAACCGGGGAGGCGGAGGTTGCAGTGAGCCGAGATTGTGCCATTGCACTCCAGCCTGGGCAACAAGAGCGAAACTCCATCTCAAAAAAAAAAAAAAAAAAAAAAGAAGGAACTGGCCTGGCGCTGGTCATAATGATGTAATAGCATATATATATTATATATTTCACAATAAGAAGGTTAAAAACTAACAGTGGAAAGAAATATGCCAAAATATTAAGAGTTGTTGCTTCTGAAAAGTAGGATTGGGGTGATTTGTTTTCCTTTTCTTAGATTTTTATATATCACAAATTTATAGCATAGTTAAATCTTACTTTTGAACTTGGACTCAAAGTTCAGGCAGATATGGGTTCAAAGGCCAGATCTATTGCTACTTTGCTGTTTCATTTTGGACAATATATATATATATATAATTTAATAGAGTGCTATATTACGTATAGATTTTGGGCAAGTTACTTAAGAGAATTAAACTATACTTAGACTATAAATATACTATATTGTTTTATACTATGTTTAAATTTAGTATATTGATTACTGTATTTCTCAATTTCCGTATTGGTAAATTGGGAACAATAATAATAGTTACCTCAGATTGTTAGGAGGCTTAAATGAGATAATGAAATGCTAAGTACAATGCCTGACATAGTACTTAATAAAAACTGTGATTATCATTATGCAGTATGTGTTTTCTTGGTTATGATCTTACAATAAGCAGTTGAAAATTTTTATGTAAAATAAATTACCTCCTCAATTTTTGTCCCCTTGACAGTTATTTCAGATATGTTTCTAAGTTGTATGTATGCTCAAAGGTTTGTTTGGTAGGGTCATTTAAGCAGTGGGAATCAGACAATGTCAGAGATAAGCATGACTGAAGGGTTTATTTGTTTCTTGCATAAATGCAAAAACTGAATACAGAGTGATGAAATCACTGGCCAGGAGTCATAAAGATTGCTGTGTTCTTATCCTTTCCTTAACTACATATTTTTTTTTTTTTGAGACGGAGTCTCGCTCTGTTGCCCAGGCTGGAGTGCAGTGGCGCGATCTCAGCTTGCTGCAAGCTACGCTTCCTTGGTTGACGCCATTCTCCTGCTTCAGCCTCCTGAGTAGCTGGGACCACAGGCGCCCGCCACCACACCTGGCTAATTTTTTTGTATTTTTAATAGAGACGGGGTTTCACCGTGTTAGCCAGGATGGTCTCGATCTCCTGACCTTGTGATCCGCCCAACTAGGCCTCCCAGAGTGCTGGGATTACAGGTGTGAGCTACCACACCTGGCCTTTCTTAACTAAATTTTTAAAGCATGCACTCCCTTGTAACCTGACCTACATGGGTATAAATATATTCTGTGTCCTTGGGGCTAATTCATCCTGTCCTTCCCAGCCCAACAGATGTACTGTGCAGGCTGTCAGAACCCTCTCCGGTTGTATGTAATCCTGCTCACTGTGGTTATTTAATCCTGTTGACTGCTTCCTTGTAGACCAAGAGGATGCTGGTGGAAAAGATGGGCCGAGAAGCTGTGGAGCTAGGGCATGGGGAGGTGAACATCACAGGGGTGGAAGAGAACACCCTGATTGCCAGCCTTTGTGATCTCCTGGAAAGGATCTGGAGTCATGGACTACAAGTGAAACAGGTAATGTATGTCTTGCCTCTCATTGCTGAGCAAATTGTCTTCCTGTTTTCAGTTACTAGCTTTCCCACACTCTTTTTGTCCAGCTGACTGGCTTTGAAGAATGGTGCACAGTGCCCTGGAGTGAGATTTGAAATAAACAATTAAATAAATGTGATCCAAACTATTTTCCTTAAAGATAGGCTTTATAAATCTGTGTGTTTGTCAGACTTTTAAAAAGAGGCATCTTTCTTCCTGGGGGTAGAGCTGAAGGCCAACCTGATAGGTCCTGTTTGGCAGCTGGCCCTAGTCTAGAGATAGACCAGAAAGAGAGAAGTTGGAGCTCAGGAAGTACCAGTCATACACTAAAGGTTCTTCACTAATCATATATTCACAGTGGAAAAAAAGTCTGTCATTAACATTTCTTTTGTATGCAGATGGTTTAACTAAACATTTGAGAGAAGGCCTCAGGAAGTTGAGTAAGTTTGATTTTTCCACTTAATACCCAGAGAATTTCCTTATTTCAAAATACTCTGTTTTCAATTGGTAGTCAAGATAGATACCTTTTATTTTTATGTATTTTTAAATTTGAAAATAACTTGAAATTTTTTGAAAAGAAGTTTTATCATGGAAAAATTAGAAAATACATATTAGTATCCATTGGTATTTCTCAAGGGCCTACTATGTCAGGTACTGTTGTAGGCACTAGAAATACCTCAGTGAACAAAACAGACCAAGATCTCTTGCCTTCCTGTGTCATTCTAATGGGTATAGCAACAATCTTCCACACATGTTCTTCAGAGCATTCTTCTGTGTACATATGCCCATGCGTATATAGCTGTATATTTAAAAACCCAGTGGAACCACAATGAGATACTATTTCACATCCACTGGAGTAGTTAAAATAAGTAACAAGTGTTAAGGATGTGGAGAAATGGGAACTTTCATACATTGCTGATGGGAATGTAAAATGGTGCAGCCACTTTGGAAAACAGTCTGGCAGTTCCTCAAAATGTTAAACAGTTCTTATATGACCTAGCAAGCCCACTTCTAGATACATACTCAAGATAAGTGAAAACATATGTCTACACAAAAACTTGTATACAAATGTTCATAGCAGGCCAGGCGCAGTGGCTCACACCTGTAATCCCAGCACTTTGGGAGGCCAAGACAGGTGGATCACTTGAGGTCAGGAGTTTGAGACCAGCTTGATCAACATGGTGAAACCCCGTCTCTACCAAAAATACAAAATTAGCCAGGTGGTGGTGCATGCCTGTAATCCCAGCTGCTTGGGAGGCTGAGGCAGGAGGATCGCTTGAACCCAGGAGGCAGAGGTTGCAGTGAGCCAAGATTGCACCATTGCACTCCAGCCTAGGCAACAAGAGTGAAACTCTGTCTCAAAAAAAAAAAAAAAAGAAAAAAAAGTTCATAGCAGCATTAGTCATAATAGTGTCATCTTATGTGGCTATTATGACCCAGATATTTATCAGCTGATGAGTGGGTGACCTAAATTTGGTATAATACATTGGAATATTATTGAGCAATAAAGGGAATAAAGTACCTACATGTGGTACAACATGGATGAACTCTGAAAACATACTAAGTGAAAGAAGCCAGACACAAAAGGCCACAGATTGTGTGATCTCATTTATACAAAATGTCTAAAATAGGCAAATCCACAGACAGAAAGTAGATTAAGGGTTGCCAGAGGCTAGAGGAAGGGAGCAATGGGAAGTGACTACTAATGCATATGGAGTGTCTTTTGGGGGTGATGAAAATGTTCTAGAATTAGATAGTGGTGATGATTGCACAACTCTATACTAAAAACCAGATTTTTTTGTTCAGAAAATTGCATACTTTAAAAGTGTGAATTTTATGGTAATATGAATTATATCTCAATGAAGTGGTTTTTTAAAAAATCCAAATGAGTTAATACTGTATGTAATGCTTTGCAACTTGCTTTGTTTTTATCTCATATCTTTTCTATGTCCTTAACTAATTTTTAGATGATAGTATAGTAAGTGTTTAAGAGCTTGACTGTAAAACAGACAGATCTGGGTTTGAAGTATGATTTCCACTTAATAACTTTATGAAACTAAGCAAGTTACCTAGCTTCTCTAAGCCTGTTTCCTTATATGTATGATGGAATTTTATTTTATTTTATATTAATTTAATTTAATTTAATTTTTGAGACAGCATCTTGCTTTGTTGCCCAGGCTGGAGTGCACTAGCATGATCTCTGCTCACTGCAGCCTTGACCTCCTGTGCTCAACTGAGTCTCCCACCTCAGCTTGGAGACTCTTGGAGACTGAGACTACAGGTGTGTGGCACCATGCCCAGCTATTTTTTTTTTTTGTAGAGATGAGGTCTCCCTATGTTGTCCTGGCTGGTCTCAAACTCCTGGGCTCAAGTGATCCTCCTGCCTCAGCCCCCCAAACTGCTGGGATCACAGGCAAAAGCCACTGTTCCCTGCCTGATGGAATTTTAAAAGTACCCACATCCATTGGGTCCTTGTGTGGATTCGATAATTAATGTAAAGCACTAAGCTCAGAGCCTGGTTTCTGGCTCTTTGGATGTTTGTGGTTATTGTAAAATCTCAGTTTTAATGACTACATCTGTTGTATAGATGTGCCATACTTTAATCAATCTCTTATTATTAGTCATTTAGGTTAATTCTGATTTTTCAGTATTGTAAACAACACTGCATTTATAGTTTTTTAAATGTTAAAAATTGTGTATTGCATTCCTAAAATTTTGAGACTGGTGTAGTAGCAACACTATGAACTGTGAGTCAGAAAGACTTGGGTTTGAATCCTGGCTCCACTGGATGACTTTAAATAAGCAACTTGCACTTTCTGAAATCCAAATCCATGAAAGATAGATAGTTAATAAAAACCTGTCTTTCAGAATATTAATTGTTCTACCATAAAGACATATGCACGTGTATGTTCATTGCAGCACTATTCACAATGGCAAAGTTATGATCAACCTAAATGGCCATCAACGGTAGACCAGATAAAGAAAAGGTGATACATACACACCATACAACACTACACAGCCATAAAAAAGAACTAGATCATGGCCTTTGTAGCAACATGGATGCAGCTGGAGACCATAGTCCTAAGTGAACTCATATAGGAACAGAAAACCAAATACTGCTTGTTCTCACTTATAAGTGGGAGCTAAACATTGAATACCCATGGACACAAAGAAGGGAACAACAGGCACCAAGGCCTGCTTGAGAGTGGAGAGTGGGAGGAGGGAGAGGACTGAAAAACTACCTGTGGGGTACGAGGCTTATTACATGAATAATGAAGTAATCTGTACACCAGACCCCTGTGATACGCAGTTTACCTATATAACAAACTTGCATGTGTGCCCCTGAACCTAAAATAAAAGTTAAAAGAATTAAATAAATATCTTTCAGCTGTGATCATTAGAGGCAATGAAAGGAAATACCTGGCGTGTGATAAGTATCCAACATATGACAGCTATTATTATGCTGGGTTCTGTATGGAAGGGTTTGTTTCTTTTTCTCTATAATAAGTGAGTAGAATACATATAATCCTTTTATCATTTTCCATAACATTTAGCAAGCCTGGCACTATAGTTGAGCTCTTTTAGCTTTGAGGTAAAACATATATGCTGAAAACTTTTAAATATTTACTGCAAAAATTTCTAGGGAGTTAGTGAAGCTTCTTCCTGTATTTTGAAAAATAGTATCGTATCATTATATGTTCTAAGTCTGTGTTCTACTGTATTCTGCAGTAATTCTCACCATAGGAGGAATTTATTATTCTGCAGGAATTCTCACAGTAAGAATATCTTCCTTCCTTCCTTCCTTCCTTCCTTCCTTCCTTCCTTCCATCCATCCTTCCATCCCTCTGTCCCTCCTTCCCTCCTTCCCCTTTCCCTCCCCTCCCCTTCTCTCTTTCCTTCGAGAGTCTCGCTCTGTCACACAGCCTGGAGTGCAGTGGTATGATCTCAGCTCACTGCAACCTCCACATCCTGAGTTCAAGTGATTCTCCCACCTCAGCCTGCCAAGTAGCTGGGACTACAGCTCCGCACCACAATGCCTGGCTAATTTTTGTATCTTTTTTTTTTTTTTTTGAGACGGAGTCTCGCTCTGTTGCCCAGGCTGGAGTGCAATGGCGCGATCTTGGCTCACTGCAACCTCCACCTCCCTGGTTCAAGCAGTTCCCCTGCCTCAGCCTCACGAGTAGCTGGGATTACAGGCTCAGGCCACCACGTCCGGCTAATTTTTTTGTATTTTTAGCAGAAGTGGGGTTTCACCATGTTGGCCAGACTGGAATTTCTTTTAGAGTTCATTTGAGCCCCCTCTTATTTTGGAGAGTTAGGCTGCTTGTTTGGTGAGAAACCAGTGCAAAATAATGGGGGCTTTTTAGTTGAGGTTCCATTTTGTTCTGAGTCCTGGCTTTTGGAGCTCTGGAAGTGAAGCAGTGACAGTGTCACCAGAGGAGAGTGAGGATCTGTTCTTGCTGGCATGGCGTTAATGCTCTTAGGGATACGTGTTCAGCTGGAGATTGACCCTGATGATCTATGTTGGGTTCCTAACACCATGTTCTCCCTAGGCCTCCATTTTGCTGGCTTTATCCTGCTGAGACATTCTTCAGTTATCTTCCAATCCAGCGGTCACACCCTGGTTACCTGCTGTCCTTTATCATACACCCAGATTGTGACTAAATTTGCTCTCAGAGGGTGATTTTATTATGCCCTTGTGGGGGTACCTTCCTAAGCAACCGCCCATTATTATCTGCTCAGAAAGTAGAGAGAACCCAAACAGCATTTTTGCTGCTGGCCTCTTAAATTTTGTTACTAGCCTTGACTGCTTGGATGTAAGGCTGCCTGCAGCAAGTCTTCATAAGAACCTCTGTTATCCTCACCACTCTCTTTGGCTTTCAGTGACATCTTCCAAGGAGATGGGCTTCCACCTATAGTATGTTTTTCTATCAGATAGAGGTTTGGTTTTTCATACTGGTTTTGTAACTGCTGCCATTTAGGGTTGACACATGAAAAGGAGTTGTTACTTATCTTTCTTGCTTATGACATTCTTGTAGAATCTGATGCAGTTTATTGTGTGTCCATGTCCATAAATGGATAGTCAGGCTGTATTGAACCTTGCAATCCCAATCAGACCCTTTGCAAAAGAGGAAAAAGAGTAGGCCATGTCTCTTGAACTAGAAAGACCAAAGAGCAGCCCAGCTGCTGCTCTTCCACTCCTGCCCTTGCTCTTTCTCCTCACCTCTGTAAACATTGTGAGCCAGGGGCTTCCTTCTTCTGGTATAGTGGCCTGATTTTGCCCTTGTCCTTGGCTCTTTAGTGTTATTGCATGTCAGGCTCTCTGGTCACCAGCTGTACTTAATGTGTGCCACATTCAGACAGTTCTATTAATTTATCTTAGGCTGCTTTCCTAGTCTGCCTAGATGCTGGGGAGCCTACTTTCTAATGGTTGTGGTAGATGGAAGGATGAATGGATTTCTAGAAGTTGAATTACTAAGTCAAAGACCATAAATATTTTAAGCTCTTATATTATCTGTTAGATACATTAATAGACCTTTTTTTTTTTTTAAATGGAGTCTCACCCTGTTGCCCAGGCTGGAGTGCAGTAGTGCCATCTTGACTCACTGCAATCTCTGCCTCCTGGGTTCAAGCAGTTCTCCTGCCTCAGCCTCCTGAGTAGCTGGGATTACAGGTGCCTGTCACCATGCGCGCCTAATTTTTGTATTTTAGTAGAGATGGGGTTTCCTCCTGTTGGCCAGGTTGGTCTCGAACTCCTGACTTCAGGTGGTCCACCCACCTCGGCCTCCCAAAGTGCTGGGGTTACAGATGTGAGCCACTGCGCCCAGTCAACCTTCTTTTTTTTTTTAAGTTTTTTAAATTAAAATTTTTTTTTCTTTTTGGCTCCCAACAGGAAACAATAGACCTTCTTAGAAGCAGTTAGTATAGGATTTGTAAGTCTCATTAATGTTGTTAGACATTTTTTTTTTCAAATATTTGTTATTTGGATGAATAAAACCTGGTATTTTCTAATTTTAGTTTTTATATATTTTAAAAATTGTCTTTGAAGTTGTTGGGTTTTAAGTTTATGAATTTTGTAGGAAGTACAAACATACAGCAAGCTTATTTTGACAGCTTGCTGATCTATAGCGAGGGTTTCCTACCATTCAGATGTTTGTTTTTTTTTTTCCCCAGAGTAGATCAAGTTTGTGAATAGAAACAAAATAGACCCTCAGTATTCTCATGGGGTATATCTTAAGACCTTAAATCTTCACATTAATTCCATAGCACAAAATTTTCCTCAGAAAGTATAACTTAAAAAGTTAAATGATCTTTTCAGAAGCATCTCGTGTAGCATAGTTATTAAGAGCAATGGTTTTGACATTAGATAGACTTAAGCTTGAATCCCAACACTCTGCTTACTAACGGTGTGACCTCTTACAAGTTAACTTAACCTTTCCGATCCTCAATTTCTTCTTCTCTACAGAAAATAGGGATAGAGATATCTACCTTATTAGACTGTTGGGAGCATTAATTAAAATATTGTATTTTGAACATCTGACATAGTGCTTAGTTCATAGTAAGCCTCAAGACCTGGTAGCTTCTATCATTATTATAGAACCAAAGTCATTTATAAAATTATTGTAATCTTACTAAAACAAACATACCACCTTTATATTATTTTATTATCTGCATGGGAACATTTACCATGAATCTGAAATAAAGTTATCACTTAACAAGGGTTATGATGTACTGAACGATGATTAGAAAGAGACAAAGCAGTTGCTGGGTGACCAGCTGGGCTCACTCATTACCCAGGTGAATTACTCCCTCACATCAGGCTTGCAAATACTATTCAGGTTTGTGCCTTGGCAAAATGACAAATTGCTACATATCTCAAATGGTTTAAAGTGCAGTTCTTACCTTTCCAAACGCCAAGGTTCTATTATATTGACTGTAGTTTATTTCAGCCATGCAGTTAAGTACCAGCCTACCTTTCTGCACATTTCTTCAACTATACCTTCAATAGTAAATCCTTGTTATAGTGATGACTTACTCTCCCTGGCCTGCACTAACAACTTATAAGGTAGCCAAAGATACCACAGTTTCCCCCACTTAACAGAGAAGGAAACTGACATTCAGAGAAGTTCACCAAACTGCTTTGCCTAGTTCACCAAGTAGCAAAATCAGGACTAGAACAATATTTAAAGGAATAACTTTAAATATTTTAGGAAATTCAGGAGCTAAGATGGAAGCTTATAGGCTGGATATCCACTCCTCTGTGCAAAAGCCATCAAGCTGACATAAAACCAGCAGACCATTTAGAGGATGATAGGTCATTTGCTTCTTTTTTTTTTTTTTTTTTTTTTTTTTGAGAGGGAGCCTCATTCTGTCACCCAGGCTGGAGTGCAGCGGCATGATCCTGGCTCACTGCAACCTCTGCCCCCCAGGTTCAACTCCCTCCACCTCCCAGGTTCGGTTCGAGTGATCCTCTTGCCTCAGCCTCCCGAGTAGCTGGGACAGCAGGCGTGTGCCACCACTCCCGGCTAATTTTTGTATTTTTAGTAAGGGTTTTGCTGTGTTGGCTAGGCTGGTCCCGAACTTCTGACCTCAAGTGATCCGCCCGCCTTGGCCTCCCAGTGTTGGGGTTGGGATTACAGGTGTGAGACACTGTGCCTGGCCTGCTTTTTTCTTTCTTTCTTTTTTGTTTTTTTTTTTTTGAGACGGCGTCTCACCCTGTCGCCCAGGCTGGAGTGCAATGGTGCGATCTAGGCTCACTGCAACCTCTGCCTCCCGGGTTCAAGTGATTCTCCTGCCTCCTGAGTAGCTGGGATTATAGCCATGCACCACCACATCCTGCTAATTTGTGTATTTTTAGTAGAGACAGGGTTTCACCATGTTGGCCAGGCTGGAATCGAACTCCTGACCTCAAGTGATCTGCCCGCCTCGGCTTCCTGAAGTGTTGGGATTACAGGTGTGAGCCACCGTGCCCAGCTGCTTTTTTCTTTCTTATCCACTGGTCCCTTACCAGGCTCTCTTTCCCATCTCCTTTCTATTCCCAGTAGGGGACCCTTTCCTTTTTCTGTTACCTTCCATTGTTTATATTTCTTCTGGATTTTAGTAAATTGATATATTTGCATACACTGTGTCCTGGATGTACATTGAAACAAGAAACAGTACATATATTTTTTTAGCAAAAGCTTCTATCTGTATGTTGAAAGCCTTGACCCCTGAAATCTAAACTGATAGGTGTTTCTCCCTTGCATTGGTTCCAGGGGAAATCAGCCTTATGGTCCCACCTGTTACATTATCAGGACAACCGGCAGAGAAAACTCACATCAGGAAGCCTCAGTACCTCAGGTAAGATAGTCTCTGCAATGGAGAGTCTGCCCTCTCTCCACTTTTCCATCACCCACTGGCGTGATCACTTTGAAGCAAACTATTCCAGGTCGAAGAAGCTTTTGCTCTGGAATGTTTTCTCTTTTAAATATGGAGCCACCAGACTCTCTGAACCACAGAGCATACCAAAACCATGGCATTTGCTTTCATTATGTATTTCTATACCCTTTTTATCGGCAAGATAGAAAATTTATTTGGGCAAGAGGCCAGTCTCAGAATGAATATGGGTTTTACTGTGGTACTGGTGTCCTGGGTTTGGAGCAGGCTGTTTTCAGAGTCTTTTGTTTTATTTCTCTGACATGGGCATTATGATTATCTATCCCGTTAGTCAAGAGAGCTGTTGGTCAGTGTCCTTCCTTGGACCTCCTCAAAGTCAAGTCCTGGTGTGAATGATCCCTTATACTTCCTTTCTGTTTCTAACCTAATAAAAATGTCAGAGTTTGTGGCAACTCCAGAGGTCATCTAGTCCAGGCCCTTTATTTTACAAGAGGAGGAAACGAGTCTGGAGAGGAATTGAATTTACTTAAGATCACAAAGTGAGCTCATGGAAGAGGCCAAACAAGAGCCAGTCATCTTATCTCCTGCTCTGATGTTTAGACCATCCTACAGTGTCCTTTCCAGGCTAGTCTCCCTGCTTCTTTTACTTCTTGGGTGCATCTCCCCTTCACATCATCCTTTGTTCTCCACTCTGCCAGACATTTGTTTACCTTTCTTGGATGTTTTTATCTTAATGGTAAAGGTGAGTTAAATGGGGTAAAAAGATGGGCATGAACTCGTTGCCCTTGAACTAGTTGACCTTAACTAGCACTGAACCTGGGGAGATAATTGGCTGAAAACTAGAGACAAGAGTTCTCCAGGTAGGCTTATGAGGAATTTTTTTGGCCCGCTTTCTGGATGTGTAAAAGCAGGTTCTTATTAAGAATGCTATAGAAGTCATTGCTGAGGAATAAACTGTAGCCAAAAATTCTCAACAGCTTGATGATGAAAATACTAAGTTTTAAACATTAGGCCAGACATGAGGATATAAAGGTATTATATCTTCTCTTCTCCTAGAGGTCCTATCATTCTGGAACAGAACCAGAACATTCTTGTTCTTTATATATTCTCTTGGGCTTTTGTAGGCTGCTGTGAAGCCAGAACAGGATGTGAGTAGTGGCTCCAAGTGGAAGCACTGCTTCTGTGGATCATGGTGAGAGCATGATAGACTAGGAGCCAGGAGGTCTGTGTTCCAGTACTGACTTTGCTGCTTGGTGACATAGGCAAAGCAGCTAACCTCTCTGAATGTCATTTTCCTTCTCTGTTAAGTGGGGGAAATTGTGATATCTTTTTTGGCTACCTTATAAATTGTTAGAGAATTAAATGAGATAATATCCATAAAAATGTAAAATTCGGTCTCTAGTAGGAATTTC